>NC_000012.12:132571344-132918326 GCF_000001405.40 Homo sapiens | reverse complement strand
AAACTCTGGTTTCCATTCCAACCAGGTATCCCCAAATTAAATCTGAATTATCATCAGTTTTCAATTTGTTGTCATCCATAAGCATCCAGATACACCCCCACACCCAAAGAAGCAGCTGTTCCCTTTCAGTTTCTTGTCTGTTCCTTTTATCCTCAGTGAGAGTGAGCTGAAACGTCTCCAGCCTGATCCTGTCTACTTAACCCCCTTCCTTGCAGGACCACCCACTTCTGTTAATTTTTTACACCCCTTTAACTTTCCTGCTTTAGGACAATGAACAATTAGCTGTCATTTGGTCCATCCCATAGGCAATTATGTGGGTTTGTTTTCTAAAGCACTGGTAACTATAATTAGATGGTTCAAATAATATTAAAAACTAGTGTTTTCTATGGCACAATTATGCATTTGTCAAAATATACACAACTTGCCCGCTGCAGTGGCTTATTCCTGTAATGCCAACTACTAGGGTGGCAGAGGCGGAAGGATCACTGAGCTCAGGAGTTCCCGACCAGTGTAGGCAACATAGCAAGACCCCATCTCTCTTTTTTTTTTTTTTTTTGAGATGGAGTCTCACTCTGTCACCCAGGCTGGAGTACAGTGGTGCGATCTCAGCTCACTACAACCTCCGCCTCCCAGGTTCAAGGAATTATCCTGCCTCAGCTTCCCAAGTAGCTGGGATTACAGGTGTGCACCACCATGCCCAACTAATTTTTTGTATTTTTAGTAGAGACAGGGTTTCACCATGTTGACCAGCCTAGTCTCGAACTCCTGACCTCAGGTGATACACCTGCCTCAGCCTCCCAAATTGCTGGGATTACAGGTGTGAGTCACCACGCCCAGCCAAGACCCCATCTCTAAAAAAAAATTTTTTTTAGGCTGGACCTGGTGGCTCAAGCCTGTAATGCCGGCACTTTGGGAGGCCAAGGCGGGCAGATCACGAGGTCAGGAGTTCGAGACTAGCCTGGCCAATATGGTGAAACTCCATCTCTACTAAAAATACAAAAATTAGCTGGGCGCAGTTGTGGGCTTCTGTAACCCCAGCTCCTCTGGAGGCTGAGGCAGGAGAATCACTTGAACCTGGGAGGCAGAGGTTGCAATGAGCTGAGATCGTACCACTGCACTTCAGCCTGGGTGACAGAGCAAGACTGTCTTGGAAAAAAAAAAAAAATTTAGCCTGATGTGGGAAGCTGAGGTAGGAGGATTCCTGGAGCCCAGTCTGAGGCTACAGTGAGTTATCACACCATTGCACTCTAGCCTGAGCAACAGAGTGACGGAGTGAGTGAGACCCCATCTCTAAAACAAAACAAAAGCAAACACACACAACTTGATATAAAAAAGTAGGCCAGGCACGGTGGCTCACACCTGTAATCCCAGCACTTTGGGAGGCCGAGGCGGGCGGATCCCAAGGTCAGGAGATCAAGACCATCCTGGCTAACACGGTGAAACTCCATCTCTACTAAAATATAAAAAAAAAAAATTAGCTGGGCGTGGTGGCAGGCCCCTGTAGTCCCAGCTACTCGGGAGGCTGGGTCAGGAGAATGGCGTGAACCTGGAAGATGGAGGTTGCAGTGAGCCGAGATAGCGCCACTGCACTCCAGACTGGGGGACAGAGCAAGACTCTGTCTCAAAAACACACACACACACACACACACACACAAAAGTAGATTTTACCCTTCTAACGTGTACATGAGAAATAAGGAAAGATTTTTAAATCAGTAATTTAAGTTTCTACCTCAGGAAACTAGAAAAACAAGTGCAAAATAAATCCAAAACAAGTGCAAGGAAGAAAATGATAAAGAACTGAAGTCAGTGATTGAAAATAGGACAACTAAAGCTCATTCTTAAAAAAATTAACAAAAATGATTAACTTATAGCAACATTGACAGAAATAAAAAGATACAAATCACCAGTATTAAAAATGAAATACTTTATTACAGACCTTGCCAACATCAAAAATAAAAAAGGATCTCTACTAACAACTTCACACTTATAAATTCAACAGCTTGGAAGAAATGGATTAATTTCTTAAAAACCACAAACTACCAAAACTCACCCATGATGAAGTTGAGTATCGAAAAGCCCTATATCCAGTAAAGAAATTGAACTACTAATGATCTACCCAAACAGAAATCTCTAGGCCCAGATGGAGAACTGTACCAGTCATTTAAAGAATAATTTATATCAGCTTTACATGATATTCCAGAAAAATAGAAGAGGGGGAATATATCTCTCAACTCATTTTATGAGGCCAGTATTACACTACCCTGATAACAAACCGAAGACAGCATGACTGCATGCACACGTGTGCACACACACACAACTACAGGCCAATATCTGTCATGAACTTACATGTGAAAATCCTCAACAAAATATTTGAAAACAAAATTCAAAATATATAAGAAGTATGCACCATGACCAAGTGGGATTTATTCCACGTATGTAAGGGTAAGTTGAATATTTCAAAATACATCAATGTAATTCATCTTTAAAACTGTACAGCAGGCCAGGCGCAGTAGCTCACACCTGTAATCCCAGCACTTTGGGAGGCCGAGGTGGGCAGATCACGAGGTCAAGAGATTGAGACCATCCTGGCCAACATGGTGAAACCCCGTCTATACTAAAAATATAAAAATTAGCTAGGTGTGGTGGCATGCACCTGTAATTCCAGCTACTCGGGAGGCTGAGGCAGGAGAATCGTTTGAATCCAGGAGTTGGAGATTGCAGTGAGCCGAGACTGTGCCATTGCACTCCAGCCTGGGTGACAGAGCAAAACTCCATCCCAAAAAAAAGAAAAAAAAAACATTATAAAATGGGCAGTAGACATTAACAGATATTTCACTGAGAAAAACATACAGATGACAAGCACATGAAAAAACATTCACTATCATTAGTGATTTGGGAAACGCAAATTCAAATCACAATGAAGTGCTACTACACACCTATCAAGATATCAAGATGGCTTAAGTAAAAAATAGTCTGAGGCAGGAGGTTGGTGTGAACCTGGGAGGTGGAGCTTACAGTGAACCGAGATTGTGTCCCTGCACCCCAGCCTGGGCGACAGAGCGTGACTCCGTCTCAAAAAAGAAAAGAAATAGTGACAGCGGCTGGGTGCAGTGGCTCATGCTTGTAAGCCCAGCACTTTGGGAGGCTGAGGCGGGTGGATCACGCGGTCAGGAGTTCGAGACCAGCCTGGCCAAGATGGTGAAACTCCATCTCTACTAAAAATACAAAAATTAGCCAGGCATGGTGGTGCGCACCTGTAATCCCAGCTACTCGGGAGGCTGAGGCAGAGAACTGCTTGTACCTGGAGGCGGAGGTTGCAGTGAGCCAAGACACGCCATTGCACTCCAGCCTGGGCAACAGAGCAAGACTCTGTCTAAAAAAAAAAAAAAAAAAAATAGTGACACCATCAAATGTTGAGGGTACATAGAAGCTGTATCACTAATACATTACCAGTGGGAGTGGAAAATGGTACAGCAATTCTAGAAAACAGTTTGGCAGTTTCTTATGAATTAAACATCAAATTACCATATAACCTAGCAATTGCACTTTTGGGGATTTATCCCAGATAAATATATTTTCTCACCAAAACCTGTACACAGATTAATATCAGTTTATTTGAACAGCCAAAAACTGAGAATAAGGTAAATGGTTAAACAAATTGTGGCACACACATATGGAATGCTATTCAGGAAAATAAATGGACTACTGATACACACAAAAACTTGGATTAATCTCTAGAGAAGTACACCAAATGCAAGAAATCAGTCCCATAAGGTTGCATATTGTATTATTCCATTTATATAACATTTCTGAAATCATAACATTTTTAATGGAGGACAGATTCTTGTGTTGCCAAGGTTTAGGAATGGGGGTAGAATGGTGGGAAGTGGGTAAGTGTTGTTATAAAAGATCTGTATGTTGAAAACGTCAAAACGCTTATGAGAGAAATAAGGGAAATCCAAATCCTAAATAAATGGAAATATGTATCATATTTGTGGTTTGGAACAATAAATAGTAGAATGTCAGTTCTCTCTAGATTTACCTATAAATTTATTGCGATCCCAATGGAAATTCCAGCAGGAGTTTTTGTAGACATTAACAAGTTAATCAAATTTATTTGGAAAAGCAGAAGAAACTAGAATAGCCAAAACATCTTTTGTCAAAGAGGAACAGAGCTGGAAGACTCGCACTCCCTGACTTCGAAACTTACTGTAAAGATACAGCAATCTAAACATTGTGTCAGAGAAAGGATAAACACATAGATCATGGACCATAATTGAGAATACATAAATAGACCTTCGTGTATATGGTCAATTGATTTTTGACAAAGTTGCAAGGGCAAATCAATGAAAATAGTGGTTTAAAAAAATGGTGCTGCAACAATTGAAAGTCAATATACAAAACAAATGAACCTCAATCCATAACTCATCCCATATTCAAACTTAATAGATGAAGATTTAAATGTAAAACCTTCACTTAACAAAAATTCTAGACACTGCACCACAGCAAAGATAAAGAGTTTACCACTAATAAACCCTCAATGAAGGAACTTCCAAAGATTGCCATCAGAGAAAAGTAGTGGGTGAAGCCAAGAGGTAATACATGTGAACCTAAACTAGTATTGGCTATGTAAACTAACAATAATAATGTTATGTTACTGGTTATGCAACAAAAATAACGCAGAACTAAAACAGTGAGTAACATGGTATGTGTTCAGGATGATCAGAGATAAAAATGTTGGGACGCTGGGTGCAGTGGCTCACGCCTGTAATCCCAGCACTTTGGGAGGCCAAGGCAGACAGATCACCTGAGGTCAGGAATTCCAGACCAGCCAGACCAACATGGTGAAACCCTCTCTCTACTAAATACAAAAAATTAGCCAGCTGTGGTGGTGGGTGTGTGTAATTCCAGCTACTTGGGAGGCTGAGGCAGGAGAATCGCTTGAACCTGGGAGGTGGAAGTTGTAGTGAGCCAAGACTGTGCCACTGCATTCCAGCCTGGGCAACAAGAGTGAAAACTCTGTCTCAAAAAAAAAAAAAAAAAAATTGGAGCCAGGCGTGGTGGCTCACACCTGTAATCCCAGCACTTTGGGAGGCCGAGGCTGGTGGATCACCTGAGGTCAGGAGTTCGAGACCAGCCCGACCAACATGGAGAAACCCCAGTCTCTACTAAAAATACAAAAATTAGCTGGGCGTGGTGTCAGGCACCTGTCATCCCAGCTACTCAGGAGGCTGAGGCAGGAGAAATGCTTGAACCTGGGAGGAAGAGGTTGCAGTGAGTTGAGATCGCGCCATCGCACTCCAGCCTGGGCAAGAAGAGCAAAACTCTGCCTCAAAAAAAAAAAAAAAATTGGGATGCCTCTCTGTTGGTTATGGAGAGAGCAGATTAAGTGATTACCTTTAGACTTTGTTAAGTCTTGTATACATAGCAAACACCTTAACATTAACACTTAAAGAATAGATATTGAAAATGGAAGTGAGAAAGCTTGATTAAATCCAAAAGAAGATAGAAAATAATAAGGGACAAAAAACACAAGGCCAATGGAAAGCAAAAAGTAAAATGATAGAAATAAACATAACTGTATCAATAATCTTTTTTTTTTTTTTTTTTTTTTTTGAGACGGAGTCTCGCTCTGTCGCCCAGGCTGGAGTGCAGTGGTGCCATCTTGGCTCACTGCAAGCTCTGCCTCACGGGTTCACGCCATTCTCCTGCCTCAGCCTCCTGAGTAGCTGGGATTACAGGCACCCACCACCACACCCGGCTAATTTTTTGTATTTTTAGTAGAGATGGGGGTTCACCATGTTAGCCAGGATGGTCTCGATCTCCTGACCTAGTAATCTGCCCACCTCGGCTTCCCAAAATGCTGGGATTACAGGCGTGAGCCACCGCACCCAGCCAACTGTATCAATAATCACAAATCATATAAACTCATCGGTTTAAAAGCAGAATGTCGCATTATGCTTTAAAATATTCCATGTATATGTTTATAAAATAAATGCATAAAAATGTTATAAAAAGTGAGTATGAGTGGAAAAATATATACCTGGCAAACATTAATTGGGTAACATAAGCTTTAGGGAAACCATCGTTAGGAATAAAAAGGGTCATTATATAAGGATAAAAGTACAATTTTCTATGAAGATATAATGATTCTATGTTCAAAATTTCAAATTAACATAGACCAAAGAATGTATTATACAAAATAGGACAATTAGAGGAATAAACTACAAATCCACATTACCATTTGGAAATTTTTGCACACTTTTCTTAGGAATTGATAGAGCAGGACAGCACATAATTGGTAAGTGATCTGGTTTGGCTGTGTCCCCACCCAAATCTCTTCTTGAATTGCAGCTCCCTTAATTCCCACATGTGGGAGGGACCTGGTGGGAGATAACTTGTTTTGGCTATGTCCCCACCCAAATCTCATCTTGAATTGCAGCTCCCACAATTCCCACATATTGTGGGAGGGACCCAGTGGGAGATAACTGAATCTTGGGAGTGGTTTCCCTGATACTGTTCTCATGGTAGTGAATAAGTCTCATGAGATCTGGTGATTTGACAAGGGGTTTCCTTTTTGCTTGGTGCTCTGATTCTCTCTTGCCACCAGCATGTCAGAAGTGCCTTTCACCCACCATGATTATGAGGCCTCCCCAGCCACATGGAACTGTGAGTCCATTAAACCTCTTTTACTTTATAAATTACTCAGTCTTGGGTATGTCTTTATCAGCAGCGTGAAAATGGACTAATACAGTAAGTATATGAAAAATTTGATTTATACAATGAATACGGTGGGTTTAACTGATATAGGACACCACACAAAATGGGATATAATCTAAAGTGGCACTTACTGGAAAATGCATTACCCCAAATGCCTCTATTAGGAAAACAGGATCAATGGAAATGTAAGTGTTAAGCATCCAACCCAAGAGATTAGGAAGAATCCTAGAAAATATCCAAATAAAAGTAGCAAAAAGGAAATAATGAAGATGAAAATGAGAATTAACAGATAATAAATCCACATCTAAAAGCTTCTTTCTTGAAAAGACTAGTGAGGCAGGGCGCGGTGGCTAACGCCTGTAATCCCAGTACTTTGGGAGGCCAAGGCAGATGGATCACGAGGTCAGGAGATCAAGACCAGCCTGGCCAACATGGTGAAACCCCGTCTCTACCAAAGATGCAAAAAATTAGCCAGGTGTGGTGGTGTGTGCCTGTAATCCCAGCTACTTGGGAAGCTGAGGCAGGGGAATTGCTTGAACCCTGGAGGTGGAGGTTGCAGTGAGCCGAGATTGTGCCGTTGCACTCCAGCCTGGGCGACAGGGTGAGACGCTGTCTGAAATAAATAAATAAATAAAGACTAATGAAATGCAAAACTTCCATTGCTAGATTAGAAATAGACCCAGAATAGTCAACACAGTATTGAAGGAGAAGAGCAATGTTGGGGAGCTGACACTACCCAACTTCAAAATTTCCTATAAAGCGATAGTAATGGAGACACTCTGATACTGGCAGAAGAATGGACAAAGAGGTCAGTGGGGCAGAATAAAGAGCCCAGAAGCAGCGCCACACAAATATAGTCAACTGATGTTTGACAAAGGAGCAAGGGCAATGCAATGGAGAAAGGATAGTCTTTTTAGCAAATGGTGCTGGAAAAACTGGACATCCACAGGCAAAAATGTGAATCTAGACAAAGACCTTATACCTTTCACAGAAACTAACTCAAAATGGATCAAAGACCTGAATGTGAAATGCAAAACTATACAACTCCTGGAAGACAGCACAGAAGAAAATCTAGGTGATCCTGGGTTTAGTGATATTTTCTCAGATACCATACCAAAAGTACAATCTGTGAAACAAAAAACTGATAAGTTGAACTTCATTAAAATTTAAAACTTGTGGCCAGGCGTGGTGGCACATGCCTGTAATCCCAGCTACTTGGGAGGCTGAGGCAGAAGAATCACTTGAACGCGGGAGGTGGAGGTTGCATGGGGCCGAGATCGCGCCATTGCACTCCAGCCTGGGCAACAAGAGCAAGACTCCGTCAGGAAAAAAAAAAAAAAGGGCCAGGCGTGGTGGCTCACGCCTGTAATCCCAGCACTTTGGGAGGCTGAGACGGGTGGATCACAAGGTCAGGAGTTCAAGACCAGCCGGGCCAAGAGACCAGCCTGGCCAATATGGTGAAACCCCGTCTCTACTAAAAATACAAAAATTAGCCGGGCGTGATGGCGGGCACCTATCATCCCAGCTACTTGGGAGGCTGAGGCAAGAGAATTGCTTCAACCCGGGAGGCAGAGGTTTCAGTGAGCCGAGATCGTGCCATTGCACTCCAGCCTGGGCAACAGAGCGGGACTCCGACTCAAAAAAAAAAAAAAAGTAAACTATAAACTTCAGTTAATAATAATATATTAATATTGGTGTATCAGTTGTAACAAATGTACCAGAGTAATATGAAACGTAAATATAGGGGAAACACTATGGTAGAACATAAGGGGAACACTAAGGTAGAAAGGGATGGGGGGAACTCCTTGTTCTTTCCAGTTGATTTTTCTGTAAACCCAACACGCTCTAAACAAAAATAAAATATATTAATTTTTTTTTAGTGCAACTAAACAAGGTCCATGAAAAAGAGAATATTGGGTGGGCGCGGTGGCTCATGCCTGTAATCCCAGCACTTTGGGAGGCTAAGGCAGGAGGCTCGCTTGAGACCAGTCTGGGCAATAGAGTGAGACCTCGTCTCTATAAAAAATTTAAAAATTAGCTGAGTGTGGTGACACACACTTGTAGTCCCAGCTACTCGGGAGGCTGAAGTGGGAGGATTGCCTGAGCCCAGGAGGCAGAGGTTGCAATGAGATTGTGGCACTGCACTCCAGCCTGGGTGACAGAAAGAGACCCTGTCTCCAAAAAAGAAAAAAATATTACAGGTTGGTCTTAGGATATATATTTTTAAATCCTGGTGAAGGATAAGTGAGCTTTTCTCAGGGAAGCAGGTGGGACAGAGGGGAATCACTTTGGGAGTGGCCTCCCACTAGTGACCTCACAGACCCCCTCACTGACCCGGCAGACCCCACATCACTGACACGTAAGACCCCAGATGACGAGGCCTGCACATCTCCTGTGACGGACAGCTGAGACCCCGTACCACTGCCCGGACCCAGCCCTGGCCCAATGGGGCTCGCACCTCCAAAGCCCACGTCCACACGTTCCGAGCCCGCCGTCCCATCGCAAACATCCGGGGGCCGCCACTGCGCCTAACGACCGCCCATCTCTGACGCCTCGGGTCGGCGTTTGATTTTTAACCCAAGAAAAGAGTAAAAGTCAAGCGGAAATCAACGCAGAAGCGGTGCTGCAGCCTCTGAGCTTCCTGACGGCCGTGTCCAGAGCCGGGCTCCTCCTCCGGCGGCAGCCGCCGGGCTCACTTCAGTGCGCTCAGCTTCTCGCGGGGACAAGCGTCTGGGCGGGGACGGCCCGAGGCGGGGGTGTGGCGAGGCTGGAGAACGCTGAAAGCTGGTGGGCTTGGGAAGACAAACGACGCTCTGAAATTTGGCTCCCAGGTAATACGTTCCGGCACTTCGCGGCGGCTCAGTCAGCGCTGCTGGGTTCCACCCCTCCTATGCGTTGCTCAGGGACAGGTTTCTTAGTGACAGGCCCCTCACTATTCCCATTGGCCAGGACGCCCAAGGCCCACGCAGCCGTTGGCTAAAATTGTTGTCTGTTTCAGACACGTTGGCGAATTCCCCGCCTCTACGTTGCCGGGAGACAGCATGTTGCCTAGCAGCGTGCGGCTCCCATTGCCTTTGGGCGCGGCTCTCCGCCCCGACCCGCCCCTCTGGGACCCATCCGGGTCTGCGCCTCAGCTAGACAGGGCGGGCTGCGGCGCGCAGTCTTAGGCGTGCGCTTCGGGGAAGGGGCCCTCGCGTGGGAGGAGCGCGTCTGCGAGGGATGCGCCGGCGCAGGCGAGACCCGGAGCCGCGTGGTCTCTGCGCAGTGCGTCGTGTGGGGCGGCCGACCCCGGCCCGGGTTTCCCTGCTCGTTTTCGTCCGGGCGGGCGTCTTGGTTCCCGTTCCAGGCCAGCCCCATCCTAGGTCGCTGCTTCATCCAGCGCTTGGGGCATTTGTGTCGTTGGCGTTGTTTTCCTCTTAACTACAAACTTTAAATGTGTTCATCTACTCGTGACGGCGAGTTTAGCAGACTTTCATTCCCAGAAGACGTGTCACACGATCTGTATATTTTTCATACAGAAATTGACGGACGTCGTTACTTCTAAATTTCCACAGGGGCTGGTTCATCCCGCGGCTTTACCTAGAGAAAAACGTCTGAGGCCGGGCGCGGCGGCTCCCGCCTGTAATCCCAACACTTTGGGAGGCCGAGGCGGGCGAATCACGAGGTCAGGAGTTCGAGACCAGACTGGCCAACATGGTGAAACCTCGTCTCTACTAAAAATACAAAAAAAAAAAAAAAAAAAAAAAAAAAAAAAAATAGCCGGGCGTGGCGGCGCATGCCTGTAATCCCAGCTACTCAGGAGGCTGAGGCAGGAGAATCGCTTGAACCCGAGATGGTGCCACTGCACTCCAGCATGGGCGATAGAGCGAGACTCCGTCTCAAAAAATAATAATAAAATAAAAACCATGGACAATGGGAGGAGAACATCACACACCGGGGCCTGTCGGGGGTGGGGGGCCAGGGGAGGGATAGCATCAGGAGAAATACGTAATGTAGATAACTGGTTGATGGGTGCAGCAAACCACCATGGCACGTGTATACCTATGTAACAAACCTGCAGGTTCTGCACATGTACCCCAGAACTTAAAGTATAATTTTAAAAAGAGAGAGAGAAGCGTCTGAGCGTTTCTCAGGGACGGCGGGTGGCAGCCAGGACGGGCTGGGGCGGTGAAGTGCGGGGCGGGAAGCGACGCGTGCGCCTCCTGCGCTGGCTTCTGTGAAAGGAGGGACTGATTGGAGATCACTGCTGAAAAGTGGACTACGCATCAGTGAATAGTTAGTGAAATATGAGCTTCTACATTCAAAACCATTTGTGCTTTAAAGATTTTGTTTCACCATGGTATCGTATTTATCTGAATCCTATGTTGCTTTTGCTTTGTAATCTGAATTGTCTGTCACTCCCCCAGTCTCAGTTTTTTGTTAACTGTTCAATATTCATAGAAATGTCTCTACATGGGACCCTTTAACAGAGAGAGTAATCTGTCATAGCAAGTATTTCCTGAGTAGTTTCACTGATTCTATGTTTTTAGCAGGTCAATGTTTTCCTGGTTAGTTTTATGATTTTATCTCAATTTTTACCAGTTTGTAACCAGAACTGGAGTATTAATGAGAAGATATATAATTGTAAGTAAATATTCTATTTATTAGAAGAATAAATCACCCTGACAGTCAACAAATAATCTTTTTAAAATTTTTCATTGATGTATTGATTTATTTATTAGAGGGAGAGTCTCTGTCGCCTCATCTGGAGTGCAGTGGTGCCATCATAGCTCACTTCAGCCTCGAACTCCTGGGCTCAAGTGGTCCTCCCGCCTTAGCCTCCCAAGTAGCTGAGACTACAGGCACGTGCCACTGCGTCAGGCTGATTTTTGTATTTTTATTGGAGATGAGGTCTGCCTAGGTTGCCCAGGCTGGTCTCAAACGCCTGGGCTCAAGCCATCCTCCCGCCTCAGCCTCGCAGAGTGCTGGGATTAGAGGCACGAGCCACCACACTCGGCAATAATAACAATCTTTTTAATGGATCCACTCAAACAAAATAGAACCTGCTCAACTAAAATTTCCTGTCTATCCTCAAATAATATTAAAAACCATCCTATCTTAATATGAATTACCCTAAAATCTATTATTGGCAAATATAAGTTTTCAGTACATCAGTGAATGCTGAAGTTAGTTATATTGGGGAAACTGGCTTTTGAAATATATTTTTTAATCGATTGTAGATAGCATTGTGTGTTCAGAAGCTGTGATGGAAGTGGCATTCTACACCGGACATCTGCTGATACAATACACATCTCTATAGAATCTACTTATTATAAGGACCACTTCATGTATTATCATTATGAAAATCATGATCTGCGAAAATAGGAAGAAAATTAAAGCTAGAAATGTATGTGATTTAATCTCTCTGTTTTGGCTGGCCTCAATTCTGCAGCTTCCTAACACGTTTGAAGCAAGGGTCCTTGCCTGTGATTGTATTATTAATACATTCTATGTAAGCTTAGTTTAAATGATATTGTTCCAGCCAGGCGTGGTGGCACCTATAGTAACAGCTACTCAGGAGGCTGAGGTGGGAGGATCCCTTGATCCTAGGAATTCGAGGCTTCAGTGAGCTATAATGGTGCCAGTGCACTCCAGCCTGGGTGACAGCAACACCCTGAAAAAAAATTAAAAATAAGATAAAATGATATTGTTCATGTGAAAGAATGCCCATTCTTTTGCAAAGATAGTGCTCTTTTGGTAGCTTTTAGAAGTTTTGGATTTGGAAGTTGAGTTCTTCAAGTTCATTATTATTCAGGGTTGTATTTACAATTCTAGGTTTACAAACAGTTTGTCAACATCTACGAAATTAATTGCGGGGATTTTTGTCGGAGCGGCACCAACTCTACAGTTGGGAAGAATTGACATCTTAGCAATATTGTGACTACAATAATGAAAAAGGAGTATGCTCCGGTTATGTTTTCCTTTTTTTTCTCTCTTTCTCTCTCTTTCTTTTCCGTCCCTCCTTTCCTTCCTTCCTTCCCTCCCTCCCTCCCTTAAGATAGAGTCTCCCTCTGTTCCCCCGGCTGGAGTGCAGTGGCCCCATCATGGCTCACTGCAACCTCCCTCTCCAGGGCTCAAGCCATCCTTCCATCTCAGCCTCCCGAGTAGCCGGGACTACAGCCGCACACCACCAAGCCAGTCTAATTTTTGTATTTTTAGTAACGACAGGGCTTGGCCATATTTCCCAGGCTCCTCTGGACTCCTGACCTCAGGCGAGCCCTCTGTGCTCCGGACCTTCCGGAGTGCTGGGATTACAGGTGTGAGCCACTGCGCCGGCCTACGTTTTCTTTTAATAGTGTTTCATAGTTTTCTGGATACAGATGGTTTCATATTTTGTTAGAGCAAGGATTTCTTGGATTTGTTGTATCCAAGGATTTCTTTTTGTTGTTTTATTGCAAACGGTAGGCCTTTAAAGTTTTCCAGTTTCAGTTGACTTTAATATATTGGCTTTGTACTTTTGCTTCTTGTTACCTCCCCCACTCCTATCAAGCCACAGAAGAGGAGGCTCCACCGCACTTTTGATCTCCAAAATTATAGTTTAGGAGATACGGTTCAGAAAAGAGCGGGGAGGCGCGCTTCTTTCGCTGATGGGGTGCGCTCAGCTCCTGCGCTGCCCCTGGTGGCCGGCAGGGCGCGCCCAACCCTACGATTGTGGCTCGTGGCGCGCATGCGCATTCCGCCCGCGGCGTCGCCACAGGGTGAGGGAGCTTGGCTTCCTGAGAAGCCACCCAGGAGCCCCGGCTTGGGGATGACTTGAGGCCGCGTCTTCGGTGAGGAAAAGCTTCCCAGAGGAACTCTGCCGGGGAATCTCTAGAGTCATTGTCCTTTTTTAAAAATGTTTTTATAGGCCGGGCGCGGTGGCTCTCGCCTGTAATCCCAGCACTTTGGGAGGCCGAGGCGGGTAGATCATGAGGTCAGGATATCCAGACCAGCCTGGCCAACAAGGTGAAATCCAGTCTCTACTAAAAATACAAAAATTAGCCGGGCGTGGTGCCGCGCGCCTGTAATCCCAGCTACTCAGGAGGCTGAGGCAGGGGAATTGCTTGAACCTGGGTGGCCGAGGTTGCAGTGAGCCGAGATCGTGCCATTGCACTCCAGCCTGGGCAACTTGAGCAAGACTCCGTCTCTAAATAAATAAATAAATAAATAACGTTTTTTCGCTTTTTTTTTTTTTTTCTCTGAGACAGAGTCTGTTTCTGTCGCCCAGGCTGGAGGTGGTTTCGGCTCACTGCAACCGCCGCCTCCCGGGTTCAAGCGATTCTCCTGCCTCAGCCTCCAGGGTAGCTGGGATTACAGGCTCCCGCCACCACGCCCAGCTAATTTTTGTATTTGTAGTAGAGATGGGGTTTCACCATCTTGGCCAGGCTGGTCTTGAACTCCTGACCTTGTGATCCATCCGCCTCGGCCTCCCAAAGTGCTGAGATTACAGGCATGAGCCGCTGTGCCCCGCCATGCGCCGCATTTTCTTTCTTTCTTTCTTTTTTTTTTTTTTTTTTTGAGACGGAGTCTCGCTCTGTTGCCCAGGCTGGAGTGCAGTGGCGCGATCTCAGCTCATTGCAACCTCCACCTCCCGGGTTCACGCCATTCTCCTGTCTCAGCCTCTCCAGTAGCTGGGACTGCAGGCGCCCGCCACCACGCCCGGCTAATTTTTTGTATTTTTAGTAGAGACGGGGGTTTCACCGTGTCAGCCAGGATGGTCTCGATCTCCTGACCTCATGATCCGCCCGCCTGGGCCTCCCAAAGTACTGGGATTACAGGCGCCGCATTTTCTTATCCATTCATCTGTTGATGGACATTTAGGTTGCTTCCAAATCTTGGCTGTTGTGAACAGTGCTGCAGCAAACATGGCAGTGCAGACATCTCTTAGACATGCTGATTCCCTTTCCGGTATCTAGCCATCAGGGATTGCTGGAGCTTGTGGTAGCTCAATTTTTAGTTTTCTGAGGTACCTCCAAACAGTTCTCGGTAGTGGTTGTACTAATTTACATTCCTTCCAACCGTGTATGAGGGTTCCCTTTTCTCCACGTCCACCAGAGACACTTTCCTTAAATTCATAAGCAGAGATTCCCTCATGTTCTGGAATGTTCCCATGCGTTATTCTTTACTTTCTCTGGAAAGTAAAGATCTCGGAGTGAGATCTGTTTTAGGCATTTCCCTTCACAGAGGGGTTGGCAGCGGGAAACAGAGAGCACCTGGTGTTTCCTTAATCAGGATTGTTCTGGGAGGAAATCCATGCAAGTCCAGAGAAGTGCGTGGCCCAGGTGAGACTTGCAGAGAACAGTGTTCGTGCCTACAGCTTGGGGAGTCTGGGAGAAGGAAAATGAGCACTCCTGTGGATGTGCTTTATTCATTTCTTCCTGTCTTATTTTCCCTACAGGGTTAAAGTAGTTGTAAAGAAGAAAGTTTTGCAAAGTACATGTATTAAAACTCAAAACATTAGGCCAGGTGCAGTGGCTCATGCCTGTAATCCCAGCATTTTGGGAGGCTGAGGTGGGCAGATCACACGGTCATTAGATCGAGACCATCCTGGCTAACACGGTGAAACCCCGTCCCTACTAAAAATACAAAAATTAGCCGGGCGTGGTGGCACGCGCCTGTAGTCCCAGCTACTCGGGAGGCTGAGGCAGGAGAATTGCTTAAACCCAGAAGGCAGAGGTTGCAGTCAGCCGAGATTGCGCCATTGCACTCCAGCCTGGGCAACAGAGCAAGACTCTGTCTCAAAATAAAAAATAATAAAATAGAATAAAAATCATTATTTCCACTTAAAATAGTTCATAGCGGCTGGGCACAGTGGCTCACACCAGTAATCCCAGCACTTTGGGAGGCCAAGGCAGGCAGATCACCTGAGGTCAGGAGTTCAAGACCAGCCTGGCCAACATGGTGAAACCCTGTCTCTACTAAAAATACAAAAAAAAGCAGCTGGGTATGGTGGTGCATGCCAGTAGTCCCAGCTACTAGGGAGGCTGAGGCAGGAGAATCGCTTGAACCCGGGAGGCAGAGGTTGCAGTGATCCCAGATCCCGCCACTGCACTCCAGCCTGGGCAATAGAATGAGACTCCATCTCAAAAAAAAAAAAAAAGTTCATATCAAAAGGAAAATATAGGCTGCTCTGCCTGTGGAGTAGCTATTCTTTTGTTTCTTTACATCTCTAATAAACTTGCTTTCACTTACAAAAAAAAAAAAAAAAAAAAAAGGAAAATCCTAGCACTCTGGGAAGCTGAGGCAGGCAGATCACCTAAGGTCAGGAGTTCGAGACCAGAATACAAAAATTAGCCGGGTGTGGTGGTGCATGCCTGTAATCCCAGCTACTCAGGAGGCTGAGACAGGAGAGTTGCTTGAAACTGGGAAGCGGAAGAGGTTGCAGTGAGCCGAGATCATGCCACTGCACTCCAGCCTGGGCAACAGAGCAAGACTCCATCTCAAAAAAAAAAAAAAAAGGGCTGGGCACGGTGGCTCATGCCTGTAATCCCAGCAGTTTGGGAGGCCAAGGCAGGCAGATCACCTGAGGTCAGGAGTTCGAGCCCAGCCTGGCCAACATGGAGAAACCCTGTCTCTACTAAAAATATAAAATTAACTGGGTGTGGTGGCACATGCCTGTAATCCGAGCTACTGGGGATGCTAAGGCAGGAGAATCGCTTGAACCAGGGAGGTGGAGGTTGTGGTGAGCCGAGATTGCGCCACTGCACTCCAGCCTGGGCAACAGTAGCGAAACTCTGTCTCAAAAAAAAAAAAAAAGAAAATGTAAAAGGTAATTTTACTTTTCTGGTTTTAATAGAAGCAAATTCCTCAGTAATCTTTTTTTTTTTTTTTTTGAGACAGAGTCTCTCGCTCTGTACCCAGGCTGGAGTGCAGTGGCCGATCTCGGCTCACTGCAGCCTGCGCCTCCCGGGTTCAAGCAATTCTCCTGCCTCAGCCTCCCGAGTAGCTAGGACTACAGGAGTGCGCTGCCACATCTGGCTAATTTTTGTATTTTTTAGTAGAGACAAGGTTTCATCAGGTCGGGCAGGATGGTCTTGATCTCCTGACCTTGTGATCTGCCCATCCCAGCCTCCCAAAGTGCTGGGATTACAGGCATGAGCCACCGCACCCAGCCCATCAGTAATCTTTTAAAAATGTACTTATTAGCTCACTTCATTTTCACTTAAGAGAATTTCCATGTTTGATAATTTTTTATGACTCACTGACTATCTCAAAAGGTTTTCTGTGGCCAGGTGTGGTGGCTCACGCCTGTAATCCCAGCACTTTGGGAGGCCGAGACTAGCGGATCACCTGAGGTCAGGAGTTGGAGACCAGCCGGGCCAAGATGGCAAAACCCCATCTCTACTAAATATACAAAAATTAGTTGGGCCTGGTGGTGGGCACCTGTAATCTCAGGTACTCAGGAGGCTGAGGCGGGGGAGAATTGCTTGAACCCTGGAGACAGAGGTTGCAGTGAGCCGAGATTGTGCCACTGCACTCCATCCTAGGTGACAGAGTGAGACTCTGTCTCAAAAACAAATAAATAAATAAATAAATGGGTTTTTTTTGTTTGTTTTTTGAGACAGGGTCTCACTCTGTTGCCCAGGCTGGAGTCCAGTGGTGCTATCATGGCTCATTGCAGCCTCCACCTCCCGGGCTCAAGCAATCCTCCCACCTTAGCCTCCTACATTAGCCTCCCTAGTACAGGTGTGCATCACCACATCCGGCTAATTTTTTGTATTTTTGGTGGAGACGGGGTTTCACCATGTTGGCCAGGCTGGTCTCGAACTCCTGAGCTCAGGCAATCCACCCACCTTGGCTTCCCAAAGTGATGGGATGACAGGCTTGAGCTCCCAGCCAGCTGCTAGTTTTGAGTGGGGCCCAGAACAAGTGAAGGCTCTGCAACAGATGCAGGCTGTTGTGCAAGGTGCTCTACCACTTGGTCACATGACCCAGCAGATCCAATGGTGCTTGACATGTCAGTGGCAGAGAGCGATGCTGGGTGGAGCCTTGGCAGGCCCGCATAGGAGAATCACAATGTAGACTTTTAGGATTTTGGTGCAAAGCCCTGACATTGTCTGCAGATAATTACTCTTCTTTTTTTTTTTTTTTTTTTTTTTGACTTCAACGTTTTATAACAATAGAGAGTAGCTGAAAATACTACATGCTAACACAGACAATATGATACACAACCTCGGGGGACAAGTTGGCAGGGAGCACGTGGCAGAGGCCACAGGTTTAGACTAAGAGCCTTTTGATGGACTGCTGAATGGATTGGATCTGCTGTTTCAGCTGTGAGCCTTCTTTGATGGTGACAGAACAGGTGATGACAGGCCTGGAGACCCCACAGGCTCTTCCCAGGGCCTGCTTGGAGCGCACAAATATGAAGGGCACGTTCTTGTCTTCACACAGCAGTGGAGGTGCGGAATGATCTCCTGTGGCTCGGTGTCTGCAGCCATCACGATGAACTCAGAGATGCCCCTGTTAAGGGTTTTGGTGGCCTCGTTGGCTCTTTTCTGAAGCTGCTTGTAGTTACACGACTACTGAATGAACTCCAGTGGTTTCTTGGTGAGGTGGGCATCGGCGAGGGGCTAGGCCTTCAGATTCACATTGGCCTCAGTCATGGCTGTGGTTCCGTGAGCTCGGCACTCCTAGGGCCGCGCAGCCGAGGTCTGAGAAGCGCTCTCTTCCACCCGTACTCTTCTTTTGACAACCAGCTTTTGGCTTGCTACAGGACGGTATTAGGGACTGAATAATTAAGCATGGCCCACCAAATTACTGCATGACCTGAGCTGCTCATCACGAACTCAGTGTTATCTGACCCCCCAAGCCATAAAGTGAGGCATACAGAGTAGTACTCCATCATCACGCAATGACAGTGCAAAACTCACAGAATACCTTACCCACCGTTGTGGTGTTAGAGAAACCTGTTTACCAGGCCTCTGGTTTCATAAAACATGACCAGAGTGACTCTATCTTAAGGTAAGTAGCTAGGCACTCACAAGACACCTGTAAGGTTGCTATGGTCTGAAAATAGCCACATTCTAAGCTGACCACCAATTATAATTGCAGAAATATTTATGGTCATACGGGACATCTCCCACCAAGCCTGCAGAATGTCCAGATGTCCTAAGAGTGCAGCCCACTTTACTCAGAGAGAACCTTAATGAGCAGGCTTAGGTTGAAGGATTAATGGTCACTGATAGCACCAATAGCCCTACCTTCAGTGAGCACATCTGCACATTCCAGGTTTAATTGTAGCTCCTTAAGAGTTTCCTGTACAGCATTCCTCTTCCTGCTTTCTGAGGATGCCTTACTCTGTAACAGAGTAGATTCTGATAAACTTGCTTCTTTCACGGTGCTCAGTGACTCACCTCAAATTCTTTCCTGTGTAAGATCTAAGAGCCCTTTCTTGGAGCCTGGACTGGAACTCCTCTTTTTCCTGTAACAATGACATCGCTTCTGATCGAAGAACCCACTTCACAGTAAATGAGGTGCACCGTGGGCCCATGCTCATGGAATTCATGGGTCTTGCTGTGTTCTCCATCATCCTACCGATTTTGGTTCTGTTTTTCTGGTGGAACTGACTGAGAGAAACATATAGTGAAAGGTAAGTCTTCATTACCCCTTGACTTTAAGTCCGTGTTTCAGAGGAAGCCACCGCCATTTCCTTGTGTATCCTTCTAGAGAGATTTTCATTTTCATAAACATATTTGTATGTACACATTATTAATTAAAAGAGTCAAGCTCTACAAAATTTGAAGAGGTTTATTCTGAGCCAAAAGTGAGTGATCACGGCCCACGGCACAGTCCCAAGAGGTCCTAAGACCCTGTGCCCATGGTGGTGGGGCTACAGCTTGGTTTTATACTTTTTTTTTTTTTAAAGACAGAGTCTCACTCTGTCACCCAGGCTGGAGTGCAGTGACGCAATCTCGGCTCACTGCAACCTCTGCCTCCCGGGTTCAAGCAATTCTCTGCCTCAGCCTCCTGAGTAGCTGAGATTACAGGCACCTGCCAACAAGCCCGACTAATTTTTTTTTGTATTTTTAGTAGACAAGGGGTTTCACCATCTTGGCCAGGTTGGTCTTGAACTCCTGACCTCGTGATCTTTCACTCGCGTCCGTGTGAAGAGACCACCAAACAGGCTTTGTGTGAGCAATAAAGCTTTTTAATCACCTGGGTGCAGGCGGGCTGAGTCTGAAAAGAGGGTCAGCAAAGGGGAGATGGGGTGGGGCCGTTTTATAAGATTTAAGTAGGTAAAGGAAAATTACAGTCAAAGGGGGTTGTTCTCTGGCGGGCAGGGGTAGGGGTCACAAGGTGCTCAGTGAGGGAGCTTTTTGAGCCAGGATGAGCCAGGAGAAGGAATTTCACAAGGTAATTGTCATCAGTTAAGGCAAGGACCGGCCATTTTCACTTCTTTTGTAGTGGAATGTCATCAGTTAAGGCAGGAACAGGCCATTTTCACTTCTTTTGTGATTCTTCAGTTACTTCAGGTCATCTGGGCATATACATGCAGGTCACAGGGGATGTGATGGCTTAGCTTGGGCCCAGAGGCCTGACATTCCTGCCTTCTTATATTAATAAGAAAAATAACATAAAATAGTGTTGAAGTGTTGGGGCAGCGAAAAAAATTTTTTTGGGGGGCTGGCATGGAGAGATAATGGGCGATGTTTCTCAGGGCTGCTTCCAGCGGGATTAGGGGTGGCGTGGGAACCTAGAATGGGAGAGGTCAAGTTGAAGGAGGATTTTGTGGTAAGGGGTGATATTGTGGGATTGTTAGAAGGAGCATTTGTCATATAGAATGATTGGTGATGGCCTGGATACGGTTTTGGATGAATTGAGAAACTAAACGGAAGATACAATGTCTGAATAAAAGAAGGAGAAAAATGGGTATTAAAGGACTAAGAATTGGGAGGACCTAGGACATCCAATTAGAGAGTGCCCAAGGGAGTTCAGCGTAATTACTTGCTTGGTTGGCAAGTTTTTGGGCCCTATCCTTGAGTTTTTTTATGTTGTCATACACCAGGCCAGATTAATTTAGGTAAAAACAACACTCTTCATTTAAAAATATACAGAGTCCTCCTTTTTCAGCATTGAGTAAGTCAAGGCCTCAGCGATTTTGGAGGACAGCTAAAGAGTCAACTTGGGCCTGGAGGACTGATAAAGTTTGTGATATGTCTGTGATGCTAGCAGAGAAGTCATTAGAGAGGCTACAGAAGGTTGTGACAGAGGTTGAAATGCCTGCTATCCCAGTACTGAGAGCAATAGTAGAGGCAGAAAGTCTTAAACCGACAAGCAAGGGAATTAGTGGAATAACTCTTTTTTGTCATGTTGGTGTCATGAGGGGAACAAGGAGCTTTTTGCTCCTATTGGCAAATTGAATTTTGGGAGTAAGGAAAACTAATGTGCATGTGCCTGTCCAATTAGCAGGTAGACACATGTAGGTAGAGGATCCACAGAGGAAGAAGGGACCTTGTGCCAGGCAAAATTGGAGATGCAAAGTAAAAAGATGAGAAGGAGTGCTGAAAGGGGTGTCTTGTACCTACACTCCTAGGGATCCAGCTAGGGCAGCAGCCATCAGAGGTTGTAATGGGGACTGGTGGGGTGACTGCATAGAGGGGGACGTTCGATTTTCATGGTGTATGAGAAAACGTCTAGTGTCTATGAGCAACCTTTCATGATGGGGTAACTGCATAGAGGGGAGGATCGATTTTCATGGTGTGTGAGAAAACATTGAGTGTCTACGAGCAACCTTTCATGATGGGGTAACTGCATAGAGGGGAGGATCGATTTTCATGGTGTGTGAGAAAACGTTGAGTGTCTACGAGCAACCTTTCATGATGGGGTAACTGCGTAGAGGGGGAGGTTAGACTTTCATGGTGTATGAGAAAACGTCGAGTGTCTACGAGCAACCTTTCATGATGGGGTAACTGCGTAGAGAGGGAGGTTCGATTTTCATGGTGTATGAGGAAACGCTGAGTGTCTACAAGCAACCTTTCATGATGGGGTAACTGCGTAGAGGGGGAGGTTCCATTTTCATGGTGTGTGAGAAAATGTCGAGTGTCTACGAGCAACCTTTCATGATGGGGTAACTGCGTAGAGGAGAGGATCGATTTTCATGGTGTGTGAGAAAACGTCAAGTGTCTACGAGCAACCTTTCATGATGGGGTAACTGCATAGAGGGGGAGGTTAGACTTTCATGATGTATGAGAAAATGTCGAGTGTCTATGAGCAACCTTTCATGATGAGGTAACTGCGTAGAGAGGGAGGTTCGATTTTCATGGTGTGCGAGAAAACGTCGAGTGTCTACGAGCAACCTTTCATGATGAGGTAACTGCGTCGAGGGGAGGGTCGATTTTCATGGTGTGTGAGAAAACGTCAAGTGTCTACGAGCAACCTTTCATGATGGGGTAACTGCATAGAGGGGGAGGTTAGACTTTCATGGTGTATGAGAAAATGTTGAGTGTCTATGGGCAACCTTTCATGATGGGGTAACTGCGTAGAGAGGGAGGTTCGATTTTCATGGTGTATGAGGAAATGCTGAGTGTCTACGAGCAACCTTTCATGATGGGGTAACTGCGTAGAGGAGGAGGTTTGATTTTCATGGTGTATGAGGAAACGCTGAGTGTCTACAAGCAACTTTTCATGATGGGGTAACTGCGTAGAGGGGGAGGTTCGATTTTCATGGTGTGCGAGAAAGCGTTGCGTGTCTACGAGCAACCTTTCATGATGAGGTAACTGCGTAGAGGGGAGGGTCGATTTTCATGGTGTGTGAGAAGACATCAAGTGTCTACGAGCAACCTTTCATGATGGGGTAACTGCATAGAGGGGGAGGTTAGACTTTCATGGTATATGAGAAAATGTCGAGTGTCTATGGGCAACCTTTCATGATGGGGTAACTGCGTAGAGAGGGAGGTTCGATTTTCATGGTGTATGAGGAAACGCTGAGTGTCTACGAGCAACCTTTCATGATGGGGTAACTGCGTAGAGGGGGAGGTTCGATTTTCATGGTGTGCGAGAAAACGTCGCGTTTCTACGAGCAACCTTTCATCATGAGGTAACTGCGTAGAGGGGAGGGTCGATTTTCATGGTGTGTGAGCAAATGTCAAGTGTCTACGAGCAACCTTTCATGATGGGGTAACTGCATAGAGGGGGAGGTTAGACTTTCATGGTGTATGAGAAAATGTCGAGTGTCTATGAGCAACCTTTCATGATGGGGTAACTGCGTAGAGGGGGAGGTTCGATTTTCATGGTGTATGAGGAAACGCTGAGTGTCTACGAGCAACCTTTCATGATGGGGTAACTGCGTAGAGGGGGAGGTTCGATTTTCATGGTGTATGAGGAAACGCTGAGTGTCTACGAGCAACCTTTCATGATGGGGTAACTGCGTAGAGGGGGAGGTTCGATTTTCATGGTGTGCGAGAAAACGTCGCGTTTCTACGAGCAACCTTTCATCATGAGGTAACTGCGTAGAGGGGAGGGTCGATTTTCATGGTGTGTGAGCAAATGTCAAGTGTCTACGAGCAACCTTTCATGATGGGGTAACTGCATAGAGGGGGAGGTTCGATTTTCATGGTGTATGAGAAAACGTCAAGTATCTACGAGCAACCTTTCACTATTATTTATGGGTCTGGGTATAAGTAAACAAGAAGAGGGCCTGGGAGGAGAGCCTGATGAGCAAGGGGAAGGTAGCCAAGGATGGAGTGAAATGCAGGGTAAGTGTCTTCTTAAGCAATAATTACTACTAATATTTTTAAGTTTGTCAGTATTGATAGAGGGCTTATCTGTAATATGGAGCTGGAAGGCTTCAATTGTTTCAGTGATGTGTGTAGTTGGGCTTTGGAGATGAAGAATAAAGGAACATCGAGAAGGTGAAAGGTTACCTAGGGGAATTCCAGTGGGTCTTTGCTGAGAGATACATAAAGGAGCGGCCTTGAGCAGAGTTTTTATTAAAGAGGCATTAATGATGGAGGAACTTTGCGTAGTGAGGAAACCTCTTTCAGCCTATATAACAGCATGGTGGTGCAGAATATGGAAGGCATATTTAGAGTCAGTATAAATATTGACATGTAGTCCTTTTGCAAGAGTGAGGGCGCCGGGTGTGGTGGCTCACACCTGTAATCCCAGCACTTTGGGAGGCTGAGACGGGCAGATCACCTGAGTTTGGGAGTTCAAGACCAGCCTGACCAACATGGAGAAACCCTGTCTCTACTACAAATACAAAATTAGCCGGGCGTGGTGGTGCATGCCTGTCATCCCAGCTACTTGGGAGGCTGAGGCAAAAGAATTGCTTGAACCCAGGAGGCAGAGGTTGCAGTGAGCCGAGATTGCGCCATTGCACTCCAGCCTGGGCAATAAGAGCGAAACTCCATCTCAAAAAAAAAAAAAAAAAAAAAAAAAAAAGAGTGAGGGACTGAGTTAAGGCAACTAGTTCAGCTTCCTGAGAGGTAGTGGAGGGAGGCAGAGTGGTAGCCTCAATGATAGATGTGGAAGATACTATAGCATAGCCTGCCTTTGCTAGTGAGTGGCAATTAGGCCTGGTGGAACTGCCATCAATAAACCAAATGTGATCAGGGTGAGGAACAGGAAAGAAGGAAATATGGGGTGAATGTCAGGTGGATCAGAGAGATACAGTCATGAGGGTCAGGTGTGGTATCCGGAATAATGTGGGAGGCCGAATTGAAGTCTGGGCCAGGAGCAATGGTAATTGTGGGAGACTAAAGGAAGAGTGAGTATAGCTGAAGGAGCCAGGGAGCAGAAATTATATGTATCAGGTGTGAGGAAGAAAATAGATTTTGGAAGTTATGAGAGCTGCAGAGAGTGAGTGGAGCATAGTTTGTGATTTTTGAGGGCCTCTGAAAGTATTAGGGCGGCAGCAGCCACTGCATGGAGACATGATGGCCAGCCTAAAACAGTAAAGTCAAGTTGTTTGGCCAAAAGGCTACAGGATGCAATCCTGGTCCTTGTGTAACAATTCTGACTGCACAGCTCTGCACTTCGGCTGTGTGTAATGAAAAGGGTTGGGATGAATCAGGGAGAGCTAGTGGGGGCAGTCTCTAAAACTGTCTTTAAGGAAAGGAAAGAGGAGTGGGGAAAGGATTTAGGATCTATGGGGTCAGCTAGGTTTCCTTTTGTGAGTTTATATGATGGTTTTGTTAGGATGGCAAAACCATGTATCCAAAGTTGAACGTATCTAACCATGCCTAGGAAGGAAAGGAGTTGTTTTGTAGACGGTGTTGGGGTTTGAGATATCAGTTGGACATGATCAGCAGGGAGAGCACGTGTGTCTTTATGAAGAATTATCATGAGGTAGGTAACAGATGAAGAAATTTGAGCTTTGGAGGGGGATACCTGATATCCTTTGGAGAATAAATGTTGAAGGAGCAGGAGGGTGTCTTGTTGAGAATATTCAAAGGAGGGGCTACAAAGAAGAAGGTCATCAACATATTGAATAAGGTGAGAAGCGGAGGGGTGGAAAGAAAGTAAATCATGAGAAAGAGCTTGGCTGAAGTAATGAGGGCTGTCCCCGAAACCTTGCGGCAGCACAGCCCAGGTAAGCTGCTGGGACCGATGGGTGTCAGGGTCAGTCCAGGTAAAAGCAAAGAGAGGCTGGGACGAGGGGTGCAGCGGAATAGTGAAAAAAGCATCTTTAAGATCAAGAACGGAATAGTGAGTTGTGGAGGAAGGTATTGAGGACAAAAGAGTGTACGGTGGGGCACCACGTGGTGACTAGGCAAAACAATTTGGTTGATAAGGCGCAGATCCTGAACTAACCTGTAAGACTTGTCTGGTTTTTGGACGGTAAAATGGGGGAATTGTAAGGAGAGTTTATAGGTTTTAGAAGCCCATGCTGTAGCAGGCGAGTGGTAACAGGCTTTAATCCTTTTAAAGCATGCCACGGGATGGGATATTGGCATTGAGCGGGGTAAGGTTGATTAGGTTTTAAGGGGATAGTAATGGGCATGTGATCGGTTGCCAGGGAGGGAGTAGAGGTGTCCTATATTTGTGGGTTAAGGTGGGGGGATACGAGAGGAAGACGCAAAGCAGGCCTTGGGTTGGGAAGAAGGGCGGCAATGAGATATGGCTGTAGTCCAGGAATAGTCAGGGAAGCAGATAATTTGGTTAAAATGTCTCGGCCTAATAAGGGAACTGGGCAAGTGGGGATAACTAAAAAAGAGTGCATAAAAGAATGTTGTCCAAGTTGGCACCAGAGTGGGGGAGTTTTGAGGGGTTTTGAAGCTTGGCCGTCAACACCCACAACAGTTATAGGGGCAAGGGAAACAGGCCCTTGAAAAGAAGGTAACGTGGAGTGGGTAGCCCCCGTATCGATTAAACAGGGGATGGACTTACCCGCCACTGTGAGAGTTACCCGAAGCTCAGCATCCATGATGGTCCAGGGGGCTTCCAGGGTGATCAGGCAGCGTCAGTCTTCAGCCGCTAAGCCAAGCAGATCTTGGAAGGAGTCAGTCAGAGAGTCTTGGGCTAGAGCTTTAGGGGCTCTAGGGGTGGCTGCCAGGCGAGCTGGGCAGTCTGATTTCCAGTGGGTCCCTGCACAGATGGGACACGGCTTGGGAGGAATCCCAGGCTATGGGCATTCCTTGGCTCAGTGGCCAGATTTCTGGCACTTGAAGCAAGATCCTGATGGAGGAAGTCTTGTAAGAATGCTTGACTGCTGTGGCTTAGGTGTGTGCGGCTTAGGCATTTTGAATTTCTTGTGTGCTGGAGGTGTGGCTGGGTTTTGTCTTACAGCAGAGGCAAGTAATTGTAACTCAGAAATGCGTTGCCGTCTGGCTGCCTCCTCTCTATTATTGTACACCTTGAAGGCAAGGTTGATTCATTCCTATTGTGGGGTTTGAGGGCCAGATTCTAATTTTTGAAGTTTTTTCCTAATGTCAGGAGTGGATTGGATGATAAAATGCATATTAAGAATAAGGCGGCCTTCTGGCCCTTCTGGGTCTAGGGCGGTAAAGTGTCTGAGTGTTGCTGCTAAGCAGGCCATGAACTGGGCTTGGTTTTCGTCTTTACCTTGGGTAGTTTCTTTAAGCTTGTCATAATTAACAGGTTTGTAAGCTGCCTTTTTAAGCCCTTCAACTAGGCAGGAAATCATGTAATCTTGCCTAGCTGTACCTGGGGAATCTGCCTGATAGTTCCATTGGGGATCCTCTCGGGGAACTGCTCTGATGCCTTCCTGGAGGTATGGCTCGTGAAGCCGGTGGTTATCAGCGTGAGATTGGGCTAGAGAAAAAACTCTTTCCCGTTCATCTGGGGAGAGGGTAGAAGTCAGGATGACATTTAGGTCACTCCAGGTTAACTTGTAGGACAAAGTTAGATATCGGAATTCCTGTATATGTTTAGTGGGGTCTGATGAGAAAGAGCCTAAATGTTGACTGATCTGAGAGAGGTCTGATAGAGAAAAAGGCACATGTACCCTGACTATGCCTTCAGCTCCAGCCACCTCTCTAAGAGGAAATTGTTGGGCAGGTGGGGAAGAGCTAGTCAAGGAACTAAACTGTAAGCCGGACCGGGTGTGAGGAGGGGAGGTGACAGAAAGATTATAGGGTGGAGGAGCGGAGGCTGAGGAAGAATTGGGACTTAGCTTGGCCTGGCGACGAGCAGCCTGGGGAGGAGGGGAGAGGTCAGATGGGTCTGTAGAAAAGGAAGACTGGAAAGACTCAGCGACGCTTGGGGTTGGGACTGAGGGAACAGGCAGGAGGGAGAGAAGGAGGATTTGGGAGGAATCGCATTGGGAACAGAGACTAGGGAGGGAACGAAGTGTGAAAAATGCCTGGATGTAAAGCACCTCAGATCATTTGCCTATTTTTTGACAAAAATTATTTAGGTCTTGTAGAATGGAGAAGTTGAAAGTGCCGTTTTCTGGCTATTTAGAGCCATTGTCAAGTTTGTATTGGGGCCAAGCGGTGTTGCAGAAGAAAACAAGGCGTTTAGGTTTTAGGTCAGGTGTGAGTTGAAGAGGTTTTAAGTTTTTGAGAACACAGGCTAATGGAGAAGAGGGAGGAATGGAGGGTGGAAGTTTGCCCATAGTGAAGGAGGCAAGCCCAGAGAAAAGAGAGGGTAGAGACATGGAGAGAAGGGGGTGGGGGGTGCTTGCCACCCAGGAAAGTGAAGAAGGGGTAGAGACACGGAGAGAAGGGGTTGGGGGGTTCTTGCCCCCCAAAAAAGCATTACTTGCCACTAAGGGTGAAGGACCAAGGCAGGCGTCCCTGCATGGTCAGACACCTCTGAAACGTGGGTGAATAATCAGGCAGGCGTCCCTGCGCGATTAAACACCAAGGGAAGACTGTCTTCCCGAGTCCATGACCGGCGCCGGAATTTTGGGTTCATGGATAAAACGCGTCTCCTTTGTCTCTACCAGAAAAGGAAAGGAACTGAAATTAAGAGTAGGGAGAGATTAAAGTGTGGCACCAAGATTGAAAGGAGAAAGAGGTTGAAGGATAGTGAGAGAGGTGGGAGAAGAGAGTGAAAAGAGGCCATTACCCGATTTAAAATTGGTGAGATGTTCCTTGGGCTGGTTGGTCTGAGGACCTGAGGTCGTAGGTGGATCTTTCTCACGGAGCAAAGAGTAGGACAGGGGATTGATCTCCCAAGGGAGGTCTCCCGATCCGAGTCACGGCACCAAATTTCACTCGCGTCCATGTGAAGAGACGATCAAACAGGCTTTGTGTGAGCAATAAAGTTTTTTACTCACCTGGGTGTAGGCGGGCTGAGTCCGAAAAGAGAGTCAGCAAAGGGCAGATAGGGGTAGTGGGGCCGTTTTATAAGATTTAAGTAGGTAAACGAAAATTACAGTCAAAGGGGGGTTGTTCTCTGGTGGGCAGGGGTGGGGGTCACAAGGTGCTCAATGAGGGAGCTTTTTGAGCCAGGATGAGCCAGGAGAAGGAATTTCACAAGGTAATGTCATCAGTTAAGGCAAGGACCGGCCATTTTCACTTCTTTTGTAGTGGAATGTCATCAGCTAAGGCAGGAACAGGCCATTTTCACTTCTTTTGTGATTCTTCAGTTACTTCAGGCCATCTAGGCATATATATACATGCAGGTCACAGGGGATGCGATGGCTTAGCTTAGGTTCAGAGGCCTGACATGATCCACCTGCCTCAGCCTCCCAAACTGCTGGGATTACAGACGTGAGCCACTGCGCCCAGCCGGTTTTACACCTTTTAGGGAGAAAGTTCATAGATGGATTCAAAGATTTTCTGATTGGCACTTGGTTGAAAGAGTTGTTATTATCTAAAGACCTGGAATCAATAGAAAGGATTGTCTGGGTTAAGCTAAGGGAGACAAAGTTTCTATTTTGTTATTTTTTTTTTGACAGGGTCTCTGTTGCCCAGGCTGGATTGCAGTGGCACAGACTGTGGTTTACCGCAGCCTTGTCCTCCCGGGCTCAAGGAATCTGCCCACCTCAGCCTCCTGAATAGCTGGGACTATAGGCATGTGCTGTCATCATGTCCAGCTAAGACGGGGTCTCCCCATGTTGCCCAGGATGGTCTGAATTCCTGGGCTCAAGCGATCCACCCACCTCGGCCTCCCAAAGTGCTAGGATTACAGGCTTGAGCACCACCACTCTGGCCATTCTAATGCAGATGCCGCTCCAGGCAGCAGGCTTCAGAGAGAATAGATGGTAAACTTTTCTTATCAGAGTTAAAAAGGTGCCAGAGTCTTACATTCTCTCCTGGATCAGGAAAAGATGTGGAAAAGGAAGGAGATTCTCTACAAAGTAGATTTCCCCCAGGAGACAGTTTTGCAGGGCTACGTAAAACTATGTTAAATAAATACATGTCAGGGTAAAATACTTCGTTTTCTTCCAGGGCCTGCTATTTGTCATGTGATGTATCTTAATGCTACAGACCGTTTGGTCAGCCTTAAGTTGTCTGTTTTAACGTCGACGCTGGTCAGTTATACCTGAATTCCAAAGGGAGGACAGTATAATGGGACATATCCAAACCCTGCTTCCCATCAGGGACTGAACTGGTTTTTCAGATTAACTTTGGCGTTGAGAGACTCAGTTCATTCAGTTGGTTGGGGAGGCTTACAATTTTATTTTTGGTTTACAAGGTATAGATAACTATGCCTATACCTATATATACAAATGTTTATATATGTATATATGTGTGTATATATGGTTTGTTTTACACAAATGGATGCCTACTTTATTTATTTTGGTAGCGATGAGGTCTCAGGCTAATCTCGAACTCCTGGGCTCGAGATCCTCCTGCCTAGGCCTTCCAAAGCACTTAGATTACAGGCGTAAGTCACTGCGCCCGGTCCTGCTTCACCCTCTTAAAACCGCCCTTGGGGGCTCCTCATGAGTGCAGACATTGGCGCGTTCCTCCAAACCGCACAGACTCCCCCTGCGTGGACGCGTCTCGCCGTCTTTACTCCTCTTTCGCCGACCTTTCACTTTCAGGGAATACCCTCTGGCGCCCTTCTCTGGAGCACACACGTGAACGCCGCCGGATTCCAAGAAGTGAGATACTGAGGCAAAAGTTACGCGCGTTCAGAACAGGAAGACCCCGCAAAACGCCGGCCAAGACGTGGCCCCGCGTCCACCCTGCCCACAAGCAGCCGCTCCCACTCGCGGACCGCGCCCTGTGCCTCAGACTTCGGATCTGTGTGATCCACTGTGTGCAACTGTACCCGAAAGGGTCCCCACGTGCACTACCTCGTGACAACTAAGATGGACCGTCTTCTACTCCTAGGAGTCATCCCCAGATTAGCGGGGCTCTCAGAATCCTTGGGGCTTCCAATCCGGAAGTTCCCCGTCCCTTCTGCCCCAACATAACATGGCGCCGACCGCAGCCACTTCCGTGATCCGCAGGCGACGAAGTCGCCTGGTCAGGATCAAAGATGGCCGAGCGCCCTCCACGCGCCTACTCTCGCGGGCCACTCCCGGCTCCGCTTTAGCTGCCGCTCTTGGTGAGCGCCGCCGCCAGCCAATCGCGGGGCGCAGAGGCCTCTGGCCCCGCCCCGCGGATCAGCTGAGGGAGCCGCAATGTCTCTTGACAGCGGCGGCGGCGCAGCCGGTTCCGGGTTCGGCGCGGGGCGGGGGTAAGCGCGGCTGGCGAGGGGGCTGCGGCGGGCGGCGAAGGGGGACCTGGTTGCGGCCGTGGGAGGGGGCGCCCGCCGGCGTCCAGGCCGGGCTGCGGGGCTGCGTGGGCGCGGGCGGCCGGGCCGGGGCCCGCGGGGTGGGGCGGGCGCCGAGTCTCGGCCTCTGGGGTCGGGAGTCTCCATGGGCGTTTCCGGGGTCTCCGCAGATGTGAATCCCGATGGAGCGGCCCGAGGAAGGCAAGCAGTCGCCGCCGCCGCAGCCCTGGGGACGGCTCCTGCGTCTGGGCGCGGAGGAGGGCGAGCCGCACGTCCTCCTGAGGAAGCGGGAGTGGACCATCGGGCGGAGACGAGGTGCGGGGCTGAGGCCGGGGCCGGGGGCCGGGGCCGGGCAGAGCCACCGGGTTGCGGGCAGGCCACACGGGCGGCGGTGCAGTGTGCGCTCCAGATTTTTCCGTGGAGTGAAATGTCATGTAAGAACTGGTATTTATTCGGTGTTCTGCCCACCGATTCTTGCGCATGATTCACGCACATCATTTAGCCTTCGTTACAACTGTATAAGTTAGTTGTGTTCATATACTCTCCAGAATGCAATATTGTCACGTTCGTTGCCGTACAGAGTATCTTTTCTGACTGTAATGGAACGAAATTAAAAATAATAGAAGGAAAAGTGGAAAATTCACAGATATGTGGACATGAAACACCACACTCTTAAAGCAACCGGTGGGTCAAATAAGTCTTTACAACGGGGACCTTGTTTTGAGACAAATGAAACAAAAATAGAATACACCAAAAGGTATTTAGGATGCAGCCAAGGCAGTACTCAGAGGGAAATTTATAGCTGTAGTGCTTATATTAAAAAAGATCTCAAGTCCCAGCCCCTAGAATATTTATTTATTTAATAAACCTGGAAAGCTAAAAACTTGAACAAAGTCATACAACGGGTGAGAGAAAGTTCCCTCAGCCTCCACATTCACTGCCTCCAGTCTCCCAAGTGACCATCTGGTTGTTTGATTTCCTCTGAAGCCTTTGTATGGGGAGAGAAATGCGCTGGTCCTGTCAACAAAAATGTTTAGTTTGTCTGAAAATTAATGAATTAGCTCCGACATTATACTCTAAAAAGGAGCGAGGATGGGAAATATTTGCTGTTTGGAAGCAATTTTTTTTTTTTTTTTGGTTAATTTCACCCCTTATAATGTGCTTGCACCTGGTTTTTTTTGTTTTTTTGTTTGTTTTTTTGAGATAAGAGTCTTGCTCTGTGGCCCAGACTGGGGTGCAGTGGTGTGATCTCAGCTCACTGCACCCTCTGCCTCCCGGTTCAAGTGATTCTCCCGCCTCAGCCTCGGAGTAGCTGGGACTACAGGCGTGCGCCACCATGCCTGGCTAATTTTTGTATTTTTAGTAGAGATGAGCTTTCGCCATATTGCCCAGGCTGGTCTTGAACAACTGAACTAAAGTGATTCACCTGCTTCGGCCTCCGAAAGTGCTGGGATTACAGGTGTGAACCACTGTGTCTGACCTGGTTTTGTTTTTTGGGGTGTTTTGGTAGTCTTACATTCCAGTATCAAGTCAAAGTTTATTTTACAACTTTGAAAGTATTTAGATATCATCATAACATATCAAAATTATCCCTTTAAGACAAGAGGAAGTATTTGAAGATTTTTCCCTTTGTCTTTACTTGATAGACTAGGAGGTTTGGTGAAGAGCAGAGGCCCTAGAGACAAATTATGTGGGTTTCCAATCTGTCAACACATTACTCTGGGCTAACGACATCTTTCTGCGCCTATGTACCTACTTCATAGATTTGCTCTGAGGAGTTAATGAGATCATACACGGACTGCTTAGAAGGAACTTTAGCGTTAGCACTTAGCATTAGCCATTGTTATTGTAACATGTTATACATGTTATTACATGGTAGGACATTACATGTTAAGACAAGGAGAGAAAATATGTCGTTGAGTTTATCTTTTAATAGGAACGATTTTAGTGAATTTATAAATAATGTTGCCAGCAAAAACTTTAAGATTATTGTATTAGTTTGTTCATACTACCATAGCAAAATACTACATTCTGGGTGGCTTAAGCAACAGAAATTTATTTATTTATTTATTTATTTATTTATTTATTTATATATTTTTTGAGACAGAGTCTCACTCTATCACCCAGGCTGGAGTGCAGTGGCGCGATCTCGGCCCACTGCAAGCTCCACCTCCCGGGTTCTTGCCATTCTTCTGCCTCAGCCTCCCGAGTAGCTGGGACTACAGGCGCCCACCACCACGCCTGGCAGTGGTATTTTGTATTTTTAGTAGAGACGGGGTTTCACCATGTTAGCCAGGATGGTCTCAATCTCCTGACCTCGTGATCTGCCTGCCTCAGCCTCCCAAAGTGCTGGGATTACAGGCGTGAGCTATCGCGCCCGGCCAGAAATTTATTTTTTATTTTATTTTATTTTTTTAATTTTTGAGATAGAGTCCTGCTCTGTCACCCAGGCTGGAGTGCAGTGGCATGATCTCGGCTCACTGCAACTTCCCTCTTCCAGGTTCAAGCGATTCTCCTGCCTCAGCCTCCCGAGTAGCTGGGACTACAGGCACGTACCACCACACCTGGCTTATTTTTTTCTATTTTAGTAGAGATGGGGTTTCACTGTGTTGCCCAGGCTGGTCTCGAACTCCTGAGCTCCAGCAATCTGTCTGCCTCGGCCTCTCAAAGTGCTAGGATTACAGGTGTGAGCCACTGTGCCTGGCCAGAAATTTATTTTCATGGTTCAGGAGGCTGGGAAGTCCAAGATCAAGGTGTTGGCAGATTGGGTTCCTGGTGAGGGCTCTCTTGGCTTGCAGGTGGCCACTTTCTTGCTGTGTCCTCACATGGCAGAGAGGGGGACTCTGCTTGCTCTCTCTGCCTCCTCTTAAGAGGGCACCAGCCCTGTGACATCTGATTCCCACCTAGTGACCTCATTTAACATTTATCAGCTCACAGGCCCCATTTCCAAATACAGTCACATTGGGGATTAGGACTTAAATATATGAATTTTAGGGGGGTACAGACACTCAGTTACAAACATTCAGTTCCTAACAGTTGTAGAACTTGATTATTTTATTTATTTATTTTATATATATATATGTATTTTTTTTTTTGAGACGGAGTTTTGCTCTTATTGCCCAGGCTGTAGTGCAGTGGTGCCTTCTTGGCTCAACCTCCAACCTCCCGGGTTCAAGCAATTCTCCTGCCTCAGCCTCCCGAGTAGCTGGGATTACAAGTATGTGCTACCACGCTCAGCTACTTTTTGTATTTTTAGTAGAGACGGGGTTTCTCCATGTTCGTCAGGCTGGTCTTGAACTCCTGACCTCAGGTGATCCACCCGCCTCGGCTTCCCAAAGTGCTGGGATTACAGGCGTGAGCCACTGTGCCCGGCCTGATATATTTATTTTTTGAGACGGAGTCTTACTCTGTCACCCAGGCTGGAGTGCAGTGGTGCGATCTTCACTCACTACAACCTGCATCTTCCAGGTTAAAGTGATTCTCCTGCCTGAGCCTCCAGACTAGCTGAGATTTCAGGCGTGTGCCACCACACCTGGCTAGTTTTTTGGTATTTTTAGTAGAGATGAGGTTTTACCATGTTGGTCAGGCTGGTCTTGAACTCCTGGCCTCAAATCAAATGATCCACCTGCCTTGGCCTCCCAAAGCGTTGGGATTACAGCCATGAGCCACCTCGCCCAGACAGAACTTGATTATTTTAAAGCAATGATGTGCCTGCCATTTATAAGGCATTATTTGGGGGAAAAGGGAAAGCCTAGGTAACGTGTAGGAAGGGGTGCAACAACCTTGTTTTCCCAAAGAGCTCTTTATCCAGTCTGGAGTGCAGTGGCACGATCTCGGCTCACTGCAAGCTCTGCCTCTTGGGTTCACACCATTCTCCTGCCTCAACCTCCCAAGTAGCTGGGACTACAGGCACCCGCCACCATGCCCGGCTAATTTTTTTTGTATTTTTAGTAGAGACAGGGTTTCACCATGTTAGCCAGGATGGTCTTGATCTCCTGACCTCATGATCCACCCGCCTCGGCCTCCCAAAGTGCTGGGATTAGAGGCGTGAGCCACTGCGCCCAGTCTTTTTTTTTTTTTTTTTGAGACGGAGTTTCACTCCTATTTCTCAGGCTGGAGTGCAATGATGTGATCTCGGCTCACTGCAACCTCCGCCTCCCAGGTTCAAGTGATTCTCCTTCCTCAGCATCCAGAGTAGCTGGGATTACAGGCACTCACCACCATGCTTGGCTAATTTTTGTATTTTGTAGAGACAGGGTTTCATCATGTTGGCTAGGCTAGTCTCTAAGTCCTGACCTCAGGTGATCCTCCCGCCTCGGCCTCCCAATGTGCTGGGATTACAGGTGTGATCCACCGCGCCCAGCCAAGAGCTCTTTATTCTAAGAGAGTGGCAGAAATGTACATCAACTGCTTGAAAGATTTAACCCACCAAGCGTCAAGCGCAGCAAATGCTGTGAATAGAACTTTAGCACAAAGCATCTCGGTTCCAGATTAGAATGCTGATATTCAGGCCAGGCACGGTGGCTCATGCCTGTAATCCCAGCAGTTTGGGAGGCCAAAACAGGAGGATCTCTTGACCCTATGAGTTTGAGACCAGCTAGGGCAACATAGACCCTGTATCTACAAAAACTTAAAAAATTAGCTGAGCGTGGTGGTGCATATTGGTAGTCTCAGCTACTCAGGAGGCTGAAGTGGGAGGATCACATGAGCCTGGGAGTTCAAGGCTGCAGTGAGCTGTGATTGCTCCACTGCACCACAGCTGGGGTAACAGCGCAAGGCCTTGTCTCAAAGAAAAAAAAAAAAACCTGATGTTCTGGCATGGAGACGCCTCTGTTACAAACTGGCTCTGGCGACACCGTGACTTGCACTGGTTTTGGGGCTTGAAGGAGACTGTCCTGGCAGTTAACGCTCAATGGAATGGGAAGAGCTTGACCACAGGTGATACTTGCCTTGGATACAGTACTTCCAATAGTACAGAATGTTTGCACAAATAAGATTTTTAATATCCGGTTTCATGGCAGTATCATTTACTTGTAGTAAAATTCACCTTTTTTGGGGTTCAGTTCCATGAGTTTTGGGAAATGTACTCACCAGTGCAGTCAAGATGTAGAACATGTTCGTCACCCTGAAAGGTCCCCCTGAGTCCCGGCTCCTGGCAGCCACTGATCTGGTTTCTTTGCCTTCTGCTGCTTCCAGCGTGTCGTGACACAGGGTCACAGGGTGTCTGCCATCATCTTCTGCGCCTGGCTTCTTTCCCTGGCACGCACCTTGTTGCATGGATGAGCAGTTTGCTCCTTTCTGTTACCGGGTAGTGTTCTGTGGTTTGGATGCACCATGGCTTGTTAGTTTACAACCAGTGGATGGACATTTATACTGCTTCCTGTTTTTGTAAGAAATAAAGCTAATATAAACATAAGTGTGCAGTCTTTGTAGGGACATACATTTTTCTCTTAGCTAAGTAACTATGAATGGAATTGCTGGGCCACGTGGCCAGTGTCTGTTTAACTTGCTGAGAAACTGCCGCATTGTTTCCCATGTGCTTGTCCATTTTGCAGTCCCACAGCACAGTACGAGAGTTCCAGGTTTTCCACTTCCCTTTTGGCCACTTGTAGGTGGTCAGTCTTTTTTTTTTTTTTTTTTTTTGAGACAGCGTCTTGCCCTGTCGCCAGGCTGGATTTGCAGTGGCGCAATCTCAGCTCACTGCAACCTCCGCCTCCCGGGTTCAAGCCATTCTCTTGCCTCAGCCTCCTGAGTAGCTGGGACTACAGGCACGTGCCACCATGCCCGGCTAATTTTTTTGTATCTTTAGTAGAGACGGGGTTTCACCATGTTGGCCAGGATGGTCTCAATCTCTTGACCATGTGATCCGCCCGCCTCGGCCTCCCAAAGTGCTGGGATTACAGGCGTGAGCCACCGTGCCCGGCCCGTGGTCAGTATTTTCAGCCAATTCTTATTTGGTGTGTAGTGGTATTTCATGGTTTTAATTTGCATTTCTCTGAAGATTAATGATGTTGAGCATTTTGTCATGTGCTTAATTTGCCATCCATATCTCTTCTTTGATAAAGTGTTTAAATTGTTTTAAGTTGCATTATTTACTTTCTATTTATTGAGTTATCAGAGTTCTCTATACATTCTGGATACAAGATCTTTGTCAGATATGTGTTTTACAAATATTTCCACCAGTCCATAGCTTGTCTTTTCATCTTTTTAAACAATATCTTTGAAGAACAGATTTTTACTTTTTTTTTTTTTTGAGATGGAGTCTCGCTCTGTTGCCAGGCTGGAGTGCAGTGGCACGATCTCAGCTCACTGCAACCTCCACCTCCCATGTTCTCCCACCTCAGCCTCTCAAGTAGCTGGGATTACAGGTGCATGCTACCATGCCCGGCTAATTTTTTGTATTTTTAGTCGAGATGGGGTCTCATCCTGTTGGCCAGGCTGGTCTCGAAGTCCTGGTCTGAAGTGATCCGCCCGCCTTGGCCACCCAAAGTGATGGGATTATAGGCGTGAACCACCGCCCCCAGCCTTACTTTTTTTGTTGTTGTTGAGCCAGAGTCTCGCTCTGTCGCCCAGGCTGGAGTGCAGTGGCGTGATCTCGGCTCACTGTAACCTCCGCTTCCTGGGTTCCCACCATTCTCCTGCCTTAGCCTCCCGTGTAGCTGGGATTATAGGCGCCCGCCACCATGCCTGGCTAAGTTTTGTATTTTTAGTAGAGACTGGGTTTCACCATGTTGGTCAGGCTGGTCTTGAACTCCTGACCTTGTGATCCGCCCGCCTCGGCCTCCCAACGTGCTGAGATTACAGGTGTGAGCCACCACGCCTGGCCCAGAATTGACTTTTTTTTTCTTTTTTTGAGTCGGAGTCTTGCTCTGTTGCCCAGGCTGGAGTGCAGTGGCACCATCTTGGCTCACTGCAAGCTCCACCTCCTGGGTTCACGCCATTCTTCTGCCTCAGCCTCCTGAGTAGCTGGGACTACAGGCGCCCGCCATCACGCCCAGCTAATTTTTTGTAGTTTTGGTAGAGACGTGGTTTCACCATGTTAGCCAGGATGGTCTCGATCTCCTGACCTTGTGATCCGCCCCCCCCTTGGCCTCCCAAAGTGCTGGGATTACAGGTGTGAGCCACGGCACCTGGCCCACATTTTACTTTTGACAAACCTCAGCTTATTATTATTATTTTTTCCTGGTTTGTGCTTTTTATATCCTATCTGCGAAGTCCATGCAAGACCCAACGGCACTAAGATTTTTGCCTGTCTTTTCCACTGGAAGTTTCATAGTTTTAGATTTTACATTTGTCTCTGTCTGGCCATCCTTACACAGCCACAATACTGTATTGTTTACTATAGCATGATGGTAAGTCAGTTAAGTAATATGAGTCTTCCAGCTTCATTCTTTTTCAAAATTGCTTTGGTTTTTCTACACGTTTTTTCTGTGAACTTTAGAATCAGCTTGTCAGTGTCTACAAGCCCTCTGGGATTTTGACTGGAATTGCATTGAATGTATGAAACAATCTGGAGGACAGCTGACATTTTAACAATACTGAGTCTTCTGATTCACACACCCATAGGTCAGTGATGGGAGCAAGGCTCAGGCTAAAGCAGATTCAGGGTGTCTTTCTGTGTGGAACGTTTAGGAAAAGTATGTTTGCATGCCACTGTCTCCTGACCAAACCCTTCGCTTTTTTGTCTTCTAGTATCTTTATGTATCCTTATAGATTATTATAGGCAGTAATGATTAATGATGAGATATTAAAACGCCTTTGTTCTTTTGATTTAAGGAGAGGGCAAGTATTGAGGATTTTCCCTCTTGCTTTTGTATTCAGGGCCGGGCGCTGGTGGCTCACGCCTGTAATCCCAGCACTTTGAGAAGCCGAGGCGGGCATATCACGAGGTCAAGAGATCGAGACCATCCTGGCCAACATTGTGAAACCTCATCTCTACTAAAAATACAAAAATTAACTGGCCCTGGTGGTGTGCGCCTGTAATCCCAGCTACTCAGGAGGCTGAGGCAGGAGAATCGCTTGAACCCGGGAGGCAGAGGTTGCAGTGAGCTGAGATCGTGCCACTGCACTCCAGCCTGGGCCACAGAAAGAGACTCCGTCTCAAAAAAAAAAAAAGAAAAAAAAAATCCCAAAGTGTCAGAATTACTGTATTCAGCTATAGATGCATCCCTGTATATAAGATGCAGTTTCTTATACGTGTACAAATGCCTATCGCAGGCCAGGTGCGGTGGCTCAAGCCTGTAATCCCAACACTTTGGGAGGCTGAGGCGGGTGGATCAAGAGGTCAGGAGTTCAAGACCAGCATGGTGAAACCCCGTCTCTACTAAAAATACAAAAAATTAGCTGGGTATGGTGGCGCATGCCTGTAGTCCCAGCTGCTCAGGAGGCTGAGGCAGGAGAATGGCTTGAACCTGGGAGGTGGAGGTTGTGGTGAGCCGAGATGGTGCCACTGCACTCCAGCCTGGGCGACAGTGCGAGACTCCATCTCAAAAAAAAAAAAACAAACAAAAACAAAAAAAAAAACAAATGCCTATCACAGTTGGCTCAGTCACTTTTTCTGTGACTGTCATTGCTTCAATTTTATGTTGATTTATGAAACCTAAGTTTACACAGAAAAGAAATTAAGGACTAAATTAAGATACTGAAGAATTACTTAAGCCCCTGAGTTTTTTTTTTTCTTTTTTTTTTTTTGAGACAGAGTCTTGCTCTGTCACCCAGGCTGGAGTGCAGTGGCGCCATATCGGCTCACTGCAAGCTCCTCCTCCCGGGTTCTCGCCATTCTCCTGCCTCATCCTCCTGAGTAGCTGGGATTACAAGGCGCCCGCCACCACGCCCGGCTAATTTTTTGTATTTTTAGTAGAGATGGGGTTTCACTGTGTTAGCCAGGATGGTCTCGATCTCCTGACCTTGTGATCTGCCCGCCTCGGTGTGAGCCACCGGACCTAGCCAACCCCCTGAGTTTTTTTAAAGTTCTAATAATACTCATCAGGTTAGCTGTGTATGCAAGCATATTGTAAAATTGCTTTTTTTTTTTTTTATTTCCAGTTGGAGTCTAGCTCTGTCGCCAAGGCTGGAGTGCAGTGGCGCGATCTCAGCTCACTGCAACCTCTGCCTCCTGGGTTCATGCGATTCTCCTGCCTCAGCCTCCCAAGTAGCTGGGATTATAGGCAACCGCCACCATGCCCAGCTAATTTTTGTATTTTTAGTAGATATGGGGTTTCACTGTGTTGGCCAGGCTGGTCTCGAACTCCTGACCTCGTGATCCATTCACCTCAGCTTCTCAAAGTGCTGGGTTTACAAGTATGAGCCACTGCGCCTGGCTGTAAAATTGCCATTTAAGAGGCTGTGTGTAACTGGAGGTATTGATGGGTGTCTTTGAGAGGGTGGGGATTCAGAAAGGTTCAGGATGGGCCGGGCGCGGTGGCTCACGCCTGTAATCTCAGCACTTTGGGAGGCCAAGGTGGGCAGATCATGAGGTCAAAAGATCGAGACCATCCTGGCTAACATGGTGAAACCCCGTCTCTACTAAAAACACAAAAAATTAGCCAGGCGTGATGGCGGGCGCCTGCAGTCCCAGCTACTCTGGAGGCTGAGGCAGGAGAATGGTGTGAACCTGGGAGGCGGAGCTTGCAGTGAGCCGAGATGGTGCCACTGCACTCCAGCCTGGGCGACAGAGCGAGACTCCGTCTCAAGAAAAAAAAAAAAATTTCTTTATGTCTTTCTTGGTCAAGTGTTTTTTTTTACATATGTACAATGGGGATCCTGAGTTGGAACCACATACTTTGGTAAACAAAGTGCAGTAGTGTTCACAGTTACCACGATCATATCCCGTGTTGACCCACCCTCTCTTTTTTAGGTTGCGACCTTTCCTTCCCCAGCAATAAACTGGTCTCTGGAGATCACTGTAGAATTGTAGTGGATGAAAAATCAGGTCAGGTGACACTGGAAGATACCAGGTGAGTATGTTCTGAGCTTCTTTTGGTGTTTCTTCTTGTAGCTTAAGAAGCCTGACTTCGTGCTCTGTGCTGTGTGCCACGGCTGAGGAGGAGAAGAAATGCTGTCTTTAGTGTGATAACAGCGGCTCATTTTTATAACAGCACAGTCATGTGTCCCTTAGCAACAGGGATCCAGTCTGAGAAATGTGTCAGACAATTTGATCATCTTGCAAACATCATGGAGTATACTTAAACAAACCTAGATGGTGTAGCCTACTACATACCTAGGCTATATGGTATAGCCGATTGCTCCTAGGCTATCAACCTATACAGCGTGCTACTGTACTGAATGCTATAGGCAGTTGTAACACAATGGTAAGAGTATTTATCTAAACACAGAACAGGTGCAGTAAAAATATGATATTTTAATCTTGTGGGACTCCTATCGTATATGCGTCTGTTGAAAAAAACATTATTATCAGCCCGGGCGCGGTGGCTCACACCTGTAATCCCAGCACTTTGGGAGGCTGAGGCAGTTGGATCACCTGAGGTCAGGAGCTCAAGCCCAGCCTGGCCAACATGGAGAAACCCTGTCTCTCTTAAAAATATAAAAATTAGCCGGGCGTTGTGGCATGCGCCTGTAATCCCAGCTACTCGGGAGGCTGAGACAGGAGAATCACTTGAACCCGGGAGTCGGAGATTGTGGTGAGCTGAGATGGCACCACTGCACTCCAGCCTGGGAAACGAGTGAAACTCCATCTCAAAACAAAACGAAACAAAAGTTTATTATCTGGGGCATGACTGTAGTTAATTAGGCTCCCAAGGTATTAGAAGATGTATTTCCTGGTTTCCAGGATGGGACACTTAGTGACACTTTGGTGTCTATGACCCTTCTTGAATGTATTCAAATTAAGTATGTCTCAGAAATAAGACTTAAAAGATGCTGGTAATTTTTGGTTCTTGCAAGCCTATTCAAGTTTGATTTCTTTCCCTCAAATCAAAAAATCATTTTTTAAAACTAATAAATTCTCGTTCTTGTACAACTGAAGTACAGATTGAGTATCTGAAATGATTGAAACTAGACTGTTTAGATTTTGGATTGTTTCAGATTTTAGAATATTTTCATTATACTTACCAGTTGAGCATGTCTGAATCAAAATTCTGAAATGTTCCAGTGAGTATTTTTTTGAGTGTCTTGTTGGTGCTCAAAAAGTTTTGGATTTCACATTTCTGATTAGGGACATTCAGCTTAGGGATATTCAACTTGGAAAGTGGAAAGCTTTCCAAAATCCTATTCATACGTTAAAAATGCATATGTTGGTATATATATTTTGCATAAATGCAATCACACTACACATACTGTTGTAGCGTCAGCTTTTTTCTTTCTTTCTTTTTTTTTTTTGAGATGGAGTTTCACTGTGTTGCAGGCTGAAGTGCAGTGGTACGATCTCGGCTCACTGCGACCTCCGACTCCCAGGTTCCAGCCATTCTCCTGCCCCAGCCTCCCGAGTAGCTGGCATTGTAGGCACACACTACCAAGCCCGGCTATTTTTTTGTGTTTTTAGTAGAGACGGGATTTCACCATGCTGGCCAGGCTGGTCTCGAACTCCTGATCTCAGGTGATCTGCCTGCCTCAGCCTCCCAAAGTGCTGGGATTACAGGCGTGAGCCATCGCGCCCGGCCAGCTTTTTTCACTTACGGTGTTTTATGGAGCGCTTCACATGTCACTGCATCTACATCCAGCTCATCTTTTCATTATCTTAGGATAGTTTCTTTGTCACTTCCCTTATTGGTGGACATTTATTGTTTTGACTTTTTCTTACTATAAATAACACTGCAGTGACTCTTTCCCAAACTCTGCCTTCATGTCTGTTTTCTTGGGATGATTTCTCGGAAGGGAAGTCTGTGTCAGTGTTACTCAGAATGTGCCTATTCCTTTTTTTCTCTTTTTTGAGACGGAGTCTCGCTCTGTGGCTCAGGCTGAAGTGCTGTTGGTGCGATCTCGGCTCACTGCAACCTCCGCCACCCGGGTTCAAGCGATTCTCCTGCCTCAGCCTCCCGAGTAGCTGGGATTACAGGTGCCCGCCGCCACGCCTAGCTCAGATGGGGTTTCACAATGCTAGCCAGGCTGGACTTGAACTCCTGGCCTCAGGTGATCCACCTGCCTCAGCCTCCCCAAGTGCTGGGATTGCAAGTGTGAGCCCCCACACCCGGCCAGAATGTGCGTCTTTTAAATCTGCTGCAAGTGGCAGGTGGTCTTCTAGCAGTATGTTGAGAGTGTGCTGTTCTCACTGCAGGATTTTTTTTGTTTGGTAAAGATCAGGCTCTGTGAGATTCTTTGGTAACTGATAGTTTCAGGGATAGAAGACTAGGAAGTAGGTTTTAATAGGAAGAACTGATGCTCCGTTTCCTAGTCTAATAGATATCAGATTAAGTTCTCTATTTCTTGGCACAATGGGAAAGGCAGGGTGCTGGTCCCTAGCTGTCCCGCCTGCTTCAGGGCCTGGCTTCCCCATGCTGGGTGCTGGTCCTGGGCTTTCCTGCCTACATCAGGGCCTGGCTTCTCCACGCTGGGTGCTGGTCCTGGGCTTTCCCGCCTACATCAGGGCCTGGCTTCCCCGTGCTGGGTGCTGGTCCTGGGCTTTCCCGCCTACATCAGGGCCTGGCTTCCCCGCGCTGGGTGCTGGTCCTGGGCAGTCCCGCCTGTTCCAGGGCCTGGGTTCCCTGCACTGGGTGCTGGTCCTGGGCAGTCCCGCCTGTTCCAGGGCCTGGCTTCCCCACGCTGGGTGCTGGTCCTGGGTAGTCCCGCCTGTTCCAGGGCCTGGCTTCCCCGCGCTGGGTGCTGGTCCCGGGCCTTCCTGCCTGTTCCGGGGCCTGGCTTCCTCGCGCTGGGTGCTGGTCCCGGGCAGTCCCGCCTGTTCCGGGGCCTGGCTTCCCCGCGCTGGGTGCTGGTCCTGGGCAGTCCCGCCTGTTCTGGGGCCTGGCTTTCCCACGCTGGGTGCTGGTCCTGGGCAGTCCCGCCTGTTCCGGGGCCTGGCTTCCCCGCGCTGGGTGCTGGTCCTGGGCCTTCCCACCTGTTCCAGGGCCTGGTTTCCCTGTGCTGGGTGCTGGTCCTGGGCCTTCCCGCCTACATCAGGACCTGGCTTCCCCGCGCTGGGTGCTGGTCCTGGGCCTTTCTACCTGTTCCAGGGCCTGGCTTCCTTGCGCTGAATGCTGGTCCTGGGCCTCCCTGCCTGTTCCAGGGCCTGGCTTCCCCACGCTGGGTGCTGGTCCTGGGCCGTCCCGCCTGCTTCAGGGCATGGCATCCCTGTGCTGACTGCATGGTGGTGGTACTTTCTTATGGCTATTGTAATTTACCACAAGCTTAATGGATTTAAAAAACACAAATTTGCTGTCTTACTATAGTTATGGAGGTCCAGAGTCCGATATGGGTCTGATGGGGCTAAAATCCAGGTCTGAACAGGGCTGGTTTCTTCTGGAGGCTCCAGGGGAGAATTTGTTCTCTGCCTTTTCCAGGTTCCAGAGGTGCCACGTTCCTTGGCAGAGGTGGGCTGGAGGGGAGGGGTGCTCAGGCAGAAGGAACCACGTGTGTAGGGGCCCCTGAGCATAAGCAGGGCTGTGTGGTCGGAGCGTGTGGTGAGCGGCAAAGTCACACAAGGGAGCTTGGGCTTTAGCCTGAGAGCAGTGAGGAGTCATCAAAGGGGTGTAAGCGGAGGAGTGAAATAATCAGATTTTTGTTTGGAAAGAACAGGAGGATGAGTGATGGCTGCAGTCGCCCCTCGGCATCTGGGGGGATTGGCTCCAGCCCCCTGCATGCACCCAAGTCCGTGCACACTCTAGCCCCGTAGCCAGCCCTGTGGAGCAGGAGGACACAGAAAGTCAGTCCAGCTCCAGCGCCCCTGCATGCACCCAAGTCCGTGTGCACTCCAGCCCCGTAGCCAGCCCTGTGGAGCAGGAGGACACAGAAAGTCAGTCCAGCTCCAGCGCCCCTGCATGCACCCAAGTCCGTGTGCACTCCAGCCCCGTAGCCAGCCCTGTGGAGCAGGAGGACACAGAAAGTCAGTCCAGCATATGTGTGGGATTCATTCCCTCTCATTGAAAAAAACCCGTGTATAAGTGCATCTGCACAGCTCAAAACCGCATCTTCCAGGGTCAGCTTTGTGTTGTAACAGCAGAACTCAGACACACACAGCCACTGCCTGGTTTCGGAGGTTTTACGGGGAGACGGCTGTGGCAGTTCATTTGCTTACTGTCTGCATTTGCTTTCCTGCTACAGACGGCAGAGCTGAGTAGTGGCAATGGTGACCACAAAACCTACACTGTTTACCCTCTGTTTATGGAAATCGTTTGCCACTCCCATCCCTCAGCAAACCGTGGTGGTCACTCGGATGTGAGTTCTGTCCACTGCTGGGGCCTCGGGAGTGAAGCTGCAGAGCTGAGGCCTGTGTGGTTTCAGTCGTTTTGCCCGGTTGCCGTTTTGTGTGTCGGGTATGCTGTGCTCTTGGATCTTGGTCACCTGACCAACACCTGATTTGCTGTCAGGTCTCTGCTCAGAAGTCCCCAGGAGGCACTTCCTGCCCCATCAACTTAGCCTCCTCCTGTCTGTCCCTGGGTCAGCAGCATCTGCATTGGCCTCTCCCTGGGCAGAGTACCTCAAGGGGCTTGGCAGCCAGACCACAAGCTCTGAGTGCAGGGCCATGTCCTGCAGCTGACGGCCCAGCATTTAGTCCGCTTCTGCCCAGAGCCAGTCTCTTGGGAGGGATCAGTACTCATTGGAGGCATGAGTTCACCGGGGTTGTGATGGCTGCAAGGAACAGAACTGTGGATAGCACAAGTCCAGCTCAGGGGAGGCTGGAGGTGGAAGCACCACACTGTAGACGAGGCCTCCGGGTCCACTAGGAGGCAAACGGGGAGAGAACCCAGCCCTGCAGCAGCAGAGCTGCCAAGCACGTGAGGAGGTGTAGTGGCTGGTTAGGCTGTCAGTCAGGGAGAAGTGGGCGAGCCATTTCTTGAGAGAATGGTGAGGGGTGCGTGGATGTGTGCATCGTTACGTATTTACACTGTTCCTATGAGTATTTCCAGAGTGGTCATATCGAGCTGCTTGCTAATGGTGCTAGAAAAAAAATCTTGTAACTCCAAGTTATTTTAAGTAGAATAAATTGTGTTTTTGTTTTTTTACAGCACCAGTGGAACAGTGATTAACAAGCTGAAGGTTGTTAAGAAGCAGACATGCCCTTTACAGACTGGGGATGTCATCTACTTGGTGTACAGGAAGAATGAACCGGAACACAGTAAGAGAGAGGAAGGCTTGCCGGGGTCAGACCCGCACGGGGGTGCACGTGAGGGCGCTCTCTGAACGTTCCTCCTGGCTACATCCCTTCCCATAGGAACGTTCCTCCTGGCTACACCCCATTTCTTGCTCACATGGGTTCCTGCCGTGAATAGTGTCTGTTGAGTGGGAGTGTCGACTTTGCAGCCTGAGCCCAGCCATTCCTCAGGAATACCACTGTGGCCATGAGCAGCCAATCCCAAAATGGCAGCCAAGGAGAAACTGATGGGGATGGTTTGGGTTCTACAGGAGAAGAACTTGAGTTATGGGGAATAAAACCTAGGACCAGGGGTCTGGAGGCCATTGATGGTTCTGCTTTTGGAGACCTTACAAGAAACATCAAAGGTTAGACTGGATTCCAGTAAGTTTTTTCAGCTCCAGAAGTCCCGTTTTTGTTTTGTGGAAGAACAGTATAGGACAAGGAAAGTTATGGGAGTCCTTCGAAGGTCACCCCTGAAATACTTTTTTTTTTTTGAGATAGAGTTTCGCTCTTGTTGCCCAGGCTGAAGTGTAATGGCGCAATCTCAGCTCACCGCAATCTCCACCTGCCGGGTTCAAGCAATTCTCCTGCCTCAGCCTCCTGAGTAGCTGGGATTATAGGTGCCCACCACCACGCCCGGCTCATTTTTGTATTTTTAGTAGAGACGGGGTTTTGCCATGCTGGACAGGCTGGTCTCAAACTCCCGACCTCAGGTGATCCACCCACCTCAACCTCCCAAAGTGCTGGGATTACAGGCATGAGCCACTGCACCTGGCCAATACTTATTTATTTAATTTTTTAAATAAATAAGAGACAGAGTCTCGCTCTGCTCTGTTGCGGAGGCTGGAGTGCAATGGCGTGATCTCAGCTCACTGCAACCTCCACCTCCTGGTTTCAAGCGATTCTCCTGCCTCAGCCTTCCAGGTAGCTGGGATTACAGGTGCACACCACCACACCCGGCTAATTTTTGTATTTTTAGTACAGACAGGGTTTCGCCGTGTTGGCCAGGCTGGTCTCGAACTTGGGACCTCAGGTAATCCGCCCGCCTCGGCCTCCCAGAGTGCTGGGATTACAGGCAAGAGCCACTGCACCTGGCCACCCCTGAAATACCTAAAGACCACAGTGGTGAGGGAGAATGGGGCAAATATGTCTTAGGCATCTTCAGCATAAACTTAACCAGCCCCTGGCCACACGGAAGGATCTTGTATCTGCTCCTTTGTGTAGTTTGAAATTATAAGTGAGGCATAGATTCTTCACCTTCTTCTGCCTCCTGATGCCATTTTTTCCCGAGGCTTATTTCTTTTGTGTTGGTAGAGATGTTTTAGATTACTTGTTTTGAAATCTCTTAAACTGATGAATTTGTTATTAGCTGATGAGTCAAAATAATCAACAAAAACAAATGGACTGGAGAACAGAAGAGAAAAATGAGTTCTCAGTTTGCACAGGGGCCACCACTTTTCTGATTTGATTGATTTTCTTTTAGACGTGGCATACCTCTATGAATCTTTAAGTGAAAAGCAAGGCATGACACAAGAATCCTTTGGTAAGTAAGAGTGTAGCAAAGAAGTGGGTGCATGTTAGGAGCTATAGCATTCCTTTTGTGTTTTGAGATGGAGTCTCGCTCTGTTACCCAGGCTGGAGTGCGGTGGCGCGATCTCAGCTCACTGCAGCCTCCGCCTCCTGGGTTCAAGCAATTCCCCTGCTTCAGTCTCCCATTTTTTTTTTTTTTTTTTTTGAGACGGAGTTTTGCTCTTGTTGCTCAGCCTGGAGTGCAGTGGCGCGATCTCGGCTCACTGCAGCCTCCTCCTGCCGGGTTCGAGAGATTCTCCTGCCTCAGCCTCCCGAGTAGCTGGGATTACAGGTTGCACCGTCACGCCTGGCTAATTTTGTTTGTTTGTTTGTTTGTTTGTTTTTTGAGATGGAGTCGCGCTTTGTCGCCCAGGCTGGAGTGCAGTGGCGCGATCTCGGCTCACTGCAACCTCCACCTCCCGGGTTCATGCCATTCTCCTGCCTCAGCCTCCCGAGTAGCTGGGACTACAGGCAGTCGCTACCATGCCCAGCTAATTTTTTGTATTTTTAGTAGAGATGGGGTTTCACCGTGTTAGCCAGGTTGGCCTCGATCTCCTGACCTCGTGATCTACCCGCCTCAGCCTCCCAAAGTGCTGGGATTACAGGTATGAGCCACCGCGCCCGGCACGCCTGGCTAATTTTTATATTTTTAGTAGAGACGGGGTTTCACCATGTTGGTCAGGCTGGTCTCGAACTCCTGACCTCAGGAGATACACCTGCCTCGACTTCCCAAAGTGCTGGGATTACAGGCCTGCACCACCGTGCCTGGCCTTGGGGCTGTTGCATTCTTAAGAGCATTTCAATCCCTAGAGTGTCTGCTTGAGCCCTGGTTGTGTGCTGCTTCTGCTCCTTTTGGGTTACAGAAGCTAACAAGGAAAATGTGTTCCATGGGACCAAAGATACCTCAGGTGCAGGTGCAGGGCGAGGGGCCGATCCCCGGGTCCCTCCGTCGTCGCCCGCCACTCAGGTGTGCTTTGAGGAACCACAGCCATCAACATCGACGTCAGACCTCTTCCCCACAGCCTCGGCCTCTTCCACGGAGCCTTCTCCTGCAGGGCGAGAGCGTTCCTCCAGTTGTGGTGAGGTCACATCTCATGAGGTCTTGGTGCTGGTTGCATGGTTTTTGTTCACTACTCTTTACCTGTGTTGTTACAGAGGCAGATAAGCGACTGAGGACTGGCATGAGGTTCTCAGTAGTGAGATTTCTGTAGGAGTCAATATTGAGTGTGTTGTTCCCTTCACTTCCCAAGAGAAGTGAAGATCAGGGACTCTAGTACCATTGTGTATTTTGCAGTTTCATTGAGACTATAATTCGCATACCATAAAAGTCATCCAGCCGAAGTGTACATTTCAGTGGATTTTAGTACATCACAAGGTGTGGGACCATCACCACTCATTGACACGAAAAGGAAACCGGTGCCCACCAGCAGTGACTCCACATGTCCCCTTCCCCTCGGCCCCACCAGCAGTCACTCCCCATGTCCCCTTCCCCTCGGCCCCACCAGCAGTCACTCCCCATGTCCCCTTCCCCTCGGCCCCACCAGCAGTCACTCCCCATGTCCCCTTCCCCTCGGCCCCACCAGCAGTCACTCCCCATGTCCCCTTCCCCTCGGCCCCACCAGCAGTCACTCCCCATGTCCCCTTCCCCTCGACCCCAGCAGCAGTCACTCCGCATGTCCCCTTCCCCTCAGCCCCAGCAGCAGTCACTCCGCATGTCCCCTTCCCCTCGGCCCCACCAGCAATCACTCCCCATGTCCCCTTCCCCTCGGCCCCACCAGCAGTCACTCCCCATGTCCCCTTCCCCTCGGCCCCACCAGCAGTCACTCCCCATGTCCCCTTCCCCTCGGCCCCACCAGCAGTCACTCCCCATGTCCCCTTCCCCTCGGCCCCATCAGCAGTCACTCCCCATGTCCCCTCCCCCCAGCCCCTGGCAGCTGCGTGTGCTTTCGGCCTCTGGATTTTTCTGTTCTAGACACTTCACAGACATGGAATCATGCGTGCTCTTTTTTGTTGTTGTTGAGACGGAGTCTCGCTCTGTCGCTCAGGCTGGAGTGCAGTGGTGCGATCTCGGCTCACTGCAAGCTCCGCCTCCCAGGTTCACGCCATTCTCCTGCCTCAGCCTCCCGAGTAGCTGGGACTACAGGTGCCTGCAACCACGCCCAGCTAATTTTTTTTTGTTTTTTGTTTGTTTGTTTTGAGATGGAGTCTCGCTCTGTCACCCAGGCTGGAGTGCGGTGGCGCGATCTCGGCTCACTGCAAGCTCCGCCTCCCACGCCATTCTCCTGGGTCCACGCCATTTTCCTGCCTCAGCCTCTGAGTAGCTGGGACTACAGGCACCCGTCACCACGCCTGGCTAATTTTTTGTATTTTTAGTAGAGACGGAGTTTCACCGTGTTAGCCAGGATGGTCTCGATCTCCTGACCTCGTGATCTGTCCGATCGGCCTCCCAAAGTGCTAGGATTACAGGCGTGAGCTGCCGCGCCCAGCCGTGACTGGGCTCTTTCACTTAGCGTGGTGTTTTCAGAGTTCATCCAGAAGAGGATGTTATTTAAAACTAGTTTTGCAGATGCTGTTCCTTACGGCATGACTCTTACCTCTTCCATGGTCATTGGGAAGAAATTCCATCTGGGTGCAGCGTGACGGGAATGTTTTCTGTTTTCTTTTAGGGTTTGTCACGTGGAGGATGTGTACATATGGATTCTCTAAATTGGATCGCGCTATACATATTATTTTTTTTTAATTTTCTTAGCTATTCTCTATTCTAGATTATGTTTTGAATTAGCTTTTCCAGTTTAATAGAAAAATCTTTTTGAGATTTTTGATTTGGGGAGAATTGACAGTTTTACAGAGCCCAGGAAAATGGTGTTTCTCCTTGTTTGTTAAGCTCTTCCTGTTCTTCAGTGAAGTCTCACGGCTTTCTTCGTGTCGTCTGGGCTCATTCTTAGTCCTGGAGTGCTTGGCTCTCGCGTTCTTACATTCCATAGCAGTCTGCAGATTCCTATGAACAGAAGAGCCTCTGAATCTCAGATTAGGCTGTGTTTCGATCTGACAGGAAAGCTGGTTCCCTGATAAAAAGTCCAGAAATGCCCGCTCAGCTCAGCTACTCCTGAGGTCACCAGGGCCTTCTGTGCACTCCACGCTGCTGTTTTTGCTCAGGTTTTTGCCTCGAGGTTTCACAGTGGCTGCCAGAGCTCTGAACATCACTGACACATTCATGGCAGGCACCAGGAAGCCTCCGGAGAAGGGACCTTTGCTTTCCATGGATCTGTTGGCTGATCCGCAGCAGCAAGAGCCATGTCTCCCAGAAGACTGCTCCCTCTGTCTCATGAGCCAGCCTGGCTGCTCTGCTACAGGACACTCCTTGTTTTTATGTCTCTCTGTGTATTCCAGTGGGATTTGGGGAAGGAGCGGCATCGGGTGCAGGGACTCAGTGTGCCTTCTTGAAACCAGAAACCTCTCACGCTCTCTGGGCCTGTTTCCACTTCTGTTGATGTGGTTTTTACTCCGTTGTATGCCGTTGCTCTGTCTTCACACGGGCAGCCACACCTCTCCTGTTCGTTGATGTTCTTGAGGCCTTGTTGCATCCGCTCCTTCCTTCTTCAGAGGCTCCTTTGGATGAGCCCAGCTCCTCAGCAGCAGAGTGCTCTTTATTTTCTGTTTTTTTGAGACAGAGTCTTGCTCTGTTGCCCAGGCTGGAGTGCAGTGGCGCAATCTCGGCTCACTGCAACCTCCGCCTCCCGGGTTCAAGTGATTCCCCTGCCTCAGCCTCCTGAGTAGCTGGGGTCACAGGCGCGCACCACCACCACGCCCAGAAAATTTTTGTATTTTTAGTAGAGACGTTGTTGGCCAGGCTGGTCACCAGGAGCAGAGTGTTCTAAAAGCATACCTCAGTCTGATGGATGACATCCCAGCCATCTGAAGAGTAACATCCAGATGTGTTGTAACATTCCAGTGTGTTGTAACATTCCTGTAACATTCCAATGTGTTGTAACATTCTGGTGTGTTGTAACATTCCTGTAACATTCTGGTGTGTTGTAACATTCCGGTGTGTTGTAACATTTGGTGTTACGCGGTGTGTTGTAACTTTCTGGTGTGTTGTAACTTTCTGGTGTGTTGTAACATTCTGGTGTGTTGTAACAATCGCGGTGTGTTGTAACATCCGGTGTGTTGTAACATTCCAGTGTGTTGTAACATTTGGTGTTACATGCTGTGTTGTAACATTCTGGTGTGTTGTAACATTCCCGGTGTGTTGTAACGTTCCAGGGTGTGTTGTAACATTCCGGTGTGGTGTTCCGGTCTGTTGTAACATTCCAACATTCCGGTGTGTTGGTGTGTTGTAACATTCCAGTGTGTTGTAACATTTGGTGTGTTGTAACATTCCGGTGTGTTAACATTCCGGTGTGTTGTCACATTCTGGTGTGTTGTAACATTCTGATGTGATTTCGGGACTCACCTGGGAGGACTTCTCAGGTGCTAATTGGGGACACTAAGTTGCAGGCAAGACTGTGGAGAGTGAGTGCTATGTAGTTTCCACCTGATATTTCTGGAGATAAGAGGAACAGCGGAGACCAAACCCATGACAGACAAGTTTCTACTAGCCTGTCTCCTGTAGACTAAACACAACCCCGGCTTCTCAGAGCCTCTTTGATTTACCTTTGTTTTAACATCATAACCTTAAATTTATGAGTGAAAGAAAATAACACTTCAAGATGAAAGCATCTCAGCACTGGGCACAGTGGCTCACGCCTGTAATCCCAGCACTTTGGGAGGCTAAGGTGGGCAGATCCCTTGAGCCCAGGAGTTCAAGACCAGTTTGGGCAACATGGTGAAACCGTATCTTTACAAAAAATACAATATAAAAAATACAAAAATTAGCCGGGTGTGGTGGTGCATGCCTGTAATCCCAGCTACTTGGAAGGCTGAGGAGGGAGGATTGCCTGAGCCTGGGAGGCAGAGGTTACAATGTGCTGAGATTGCACCACTGCACTCCAGCCTTGGCAACAAAGCCAGAGCCCATCTCAAAAAAAAAAAAAAAAAAAAAAAAGACCTGTAATCCCAGCACTTTGGGAAGCCAAGACAGGCGAATCACTTGAGGTCAGGAGCTTGAGACCTACCTGGCCAACATGGTGAAACCCCGTCTCTACTGAAAATACAAAAATTATCCAGGCATGGTGGCAGGCGCCTGTAGTCCCAGCTACTCAGGAAGCTGAGACAGGAGTTTCACCTGAGAGAGGAGGATCACCTGAGGCTGGGAGGCGGAGGTTGCAGTGAGCCGATACCGCGTCACTGCACTCCAGCCTGGGCGACAGACCAGGTCTCAAAAAAAAAAAGAAAAGAAAACATGCCAGATTTGAATAGCCACCTGAATGCTGAAGTTTTACCAGCTCTCTTGGGCTGTGTACCCTTCATCGTATCTTCCAGGTTCCTTAAAACCTACCCTTGGGCACAGCTGGGATGTGCACTGGCTCTTCACAGCTAGATCCAGCATGCACTGACTCTCCCCGTGCAGGGACAGCCCCAGAGGAATAGAGGTGGCGTTCCGGCCGCTCCAGCGTGGCCCACAGCGTTTCAAGTGCAGCAAGCACAGACAGGACGCGGGGTTACTAGTATTTTGGATTGACTGCAGATTTTGAACTGTCTGCCTAGATGAACTATACCATGTCCCTAGGGCCAAGTCCCATGTGCATTTTGTGGCTACTAGACCCTCTTCAGAAATCAAACACAAAATAGCTCTGGCCTGTAAAGAAAACAAACTTCACCAGTAAAATTGTTTCCTGTTCCTATCCACCAATGTGCATAGCACAGTGTGTAGTCTGGGTAATACGGTTTGCATAATTTTTTGATAATGTTCTACTTAAAAAGGGCAGCGTATTTATATATTACTTATGTAATTAAAAAAAAAATTCTTCTGGCCGGGTGTGGTGGCTTACGCCTGTAATCCCAGCACTTTGGGAGGCCGGGTGGTTGGATCGCCTGAGGTCGGGAGTTCAAGACCAGCCTGGCCAACATGGCAAAACCCCATCTCTACTAAAAATATAAAAATTAGCCAAGTGTGGTTGCGGGCGCCTGTAATCCCAGCTACTCGGGAGGCTGAGGCATGAGAATCTCTTGAACCCAGGAGGTGGAGGTTGCAGTGAGCCAATATCCTGCCACTGCACTCCAGCCTGGGTGACAGCACAAGACTCTGTCTCAAAAAGAAAATAAAAATAATAAAAAATAAAAATTCTTCTATCTGTATGCCTAAGTGTATGCATACTAACAAAATAAGTATAGTTACTGCTTATTGAGCAGCTACTAAATGTGAGGCAGTGTGCCAGGTACATTCTGTAAGTGGTAAGATGGTGCTCCTCTCCACGTTGGCTGAGCACGGGGCGCTGGAGATGATGGCGTGAGTGGGTGCCGGCTGGGGGCCGGCCCACAGGCTGTCTCTTTCCTTCTGTTCGTATATGAGGTGGTTTGTCCCCAAAACTATTCTGTTTTCTTTCAGCTGCTGTAAGCCAGTTTCTTGTGTTTTTTTTTTTCAAATAATAACACTTACATTTGAATACTGTAAGCTAGATATGTATTATGCTGTAATATGATAAACTAAGTCTTTATTAAGATATAGGTTATTCACACCTGTAATCCTTATTCACACCTGTAATCCTTATTCACACCTGTAATTCCAGCACTTGGGGAGGCCGAGGTGGGTGGATTGTTTGGGCTCAAGAGTTTGAGACCAGCCTGGGTAAAATGGCAAGACCCTGTCTCTACCAAAAATACAAAAAACAATTTAGCTGGGCATGGTGGTGCACACCTGTAGTCCCAGATACTCAGGAGGCAGAGGTGGAAGGATCGCTTTAGCCCAGGAGGCAGAGGTTGCAGTGAATGAAGATCTCGCCACTGCATTCCAGCCTGGGTGAAGAGTGAGACCCTGTCTCAAAAAAAAGATAGAGGTGATTAGAAAGTCTGCCTGTTTTTCTGCCAAGGTCATTCCTGTCGTTATGACTCTGGCTTCTTGCTCGTGGAGATAGCGCTCTCCCTACAAGTCACTGTGCTGTATCCTTCCCGTTATCACACCTCTTGTAAAATAGTTCACACGCAGCACCATCTCCACCCGTTGGAAGCTATGCATCCCTCCACTGGAGCATCTGTGCTTTACACAGACTTCTGTTTTTTTTTGTTTGTTTGTTTTGTTTTACTTTGTTTTTTTGAGACGGAATTTTGATCTTACTGCCCAGGCTGGAGTGCAATGGCGCGAACTTCGTTCGCTGCAACTCCGCCTCCTGGGTTCAAGCAGTTCTCCTGCCTCAGCCTCCCAAGTAGCTGGGTTACAGGCATGTGCCACCACACCCGGCCAATTTTGTATTTTTAGTAGAAATGGGGTTTCACTGTGTTGGTCAGGCTGGTCTCGAACTCCTGACCTCAGATGATCCACCCACCTTGGCCTCCTGAAGTTCTGGGATTACAGGCATGAGCCACCGCGCCTGGCATTTTTTTTTTTTTTTTAAGAAATGAGGTCAGGCCGGGCGCGGTGGCTCACGCCTGTAATCCCAGCACTTTGGGAGGCCGAGGTGGGTGGATCACGAGGTCAGGAGATCGAGACCATCCTGGCTAACACGGTGAAACCCTGTCTCTACTAAAAATACAAAAAATTAGCCGGGCGTGGTGGCGGGCACCTGTAGTCCCAGCTACTCAGGAGGCTGAGGCAGGAGAATGGCGTGAACCAGGGAGGCAGAGCTTGCAGTGAGCCAAGATCACGCCACTGCACTCCAGCCTGGGTGACAGAGTGAGACTCTGTCTCAAAAAAGAAAAAGAAAACAAAAGAAATGAGGTCTTGGCCAGGCACAGTGGCTCATGCCTTTAATCCCAGCACTTTGGGAGGCTGAGGCAGGTGGATCATGAGGTCAGGAGATCGAGACCATCCTGGCTAACACGGTGAAACCCTGTCTCTACTAAAAATACAAAAAAATTAGCTGGGTATGGTGGCGGGTGCCTGTAGTCCCAGCTACTTGGGAGGCTGAGGCAGGAGAATGGCGTCAACCCAGGAGGCGGAGCTTGCAGTGAGCCACTGCACTCCAGCCTGGGCAACAGAGCAAGAGTCCGTCTCAAAAAAAAAAATGAGGTCTTGCTCTGTTGTGCAGGTTGGGAGAGTGATGTGGTCATGGCTCACTGTAGCCTCGAACTCCCGGGCTCAAGTGATCCACTCACCTCAGCCTCCTGAGTAGCTGGGACCATATGCTCGTACTGTCACGCCTAGTTAATTTTTTTTTCTTTTTTGTATTTTTTGTAGAGATGGTGCCTTGCTGTGTTGCCCAGGCTGGTCTAAAACTCCTGGGATCAAGTGATCCTCCCACCTTGGCCTCCCAAAGTATTGTGATTACAGGTGTGAGCCCCATGCCCAGCCTCAGACCTCTATTTTTTATTTTTATTTTTTTTTCCCCAGAGGGAGTTTCGCTCTTGTTGCCCAGGCTGGAGTGCAGTGGCACGATCTTGGCTCACTGCAACCTCCGCCTCCCGGGTTCAAGCAATTTTTCTGCCTCAGCCTCTTGAGTAGCTGGGACTACATGCACTCGCCACCACGCCTGTCTAATTTTTTTGTATTTTTAGTAGAGATGGGGTTTCACCATGTTGGCCAGGCTGGTCTCGACCTCCTGACCTCAGGTGATCCACTTGCTTCGGCCTCCCAACGTGCTGGGATTACGGGTGTGAGCCACCGCACCCGGCCCAAAGCTCTGTTGTAACAAGTTTATGACACAGTGTGTATCATATGACCACGGGTATGTGGGTTTGCCCTGCGTTAGACTCGGTGCTCGAGGGCTAAGCCTGGTCACAGACATCTCCGCATTTGTTTCTCTGCAAATGGGCTCCTTGCCCCCAGCTCCACCCCACGTAGAGATAGGCACAAATAGAGTTAAGATGTGAGTTGAGTGAGCACACACTCCTCGTAAGCCACTTGTCATTCCTAAACTACGACATCTCAGGCTGCCAGCTGCACTGGGCTCCAGTCAGTGACACCTTACAGGCATGGTTCTCTCCTGAGCTGGATGGATCAGCACCTATCTTGTTTGATTCCTCTCACAGGGTCTGGGGGTGGTGGCATCTCCCCTAAAGGAAGTGGTCCCTCTGTGGCAAGTGATGAAGTCTCCAGCTTTGCCTCAGCTCTCCCAGACAGAAAGACTGCGTCCTTTTCGTCGTTGGAACCCCAGGATCAGGAGGATTTGGAGCCCGTGAAGAAGAAAATGAGAGGAGGTTAGTGTCTGGTTGTGTGTGTCCTCAGTCCTCTCGTGTGCTCCTGGGGCATGCGGGGGCCGCTGCCATGCTCCGTGCTGTGGGGCATTGCTTCCTGCAGGGGCATGTGGACCCTGCCTCAGGTTGATGCCTGTAACACCTCCGGCATTTTCATTCAGAAAACCTGGGCCTGTTTTTTTGCGGTTTGCATAATCCAGATAGAACTGTGATTTGCTACAGGCTGTTCTCTTGGTCTGGAAATAGTGCATTCTGAATTGCAGAATTAATCTCAAAATCCTCCTTCCTGGCCAGGTGCAGTAGTTCATATCCGTAATCCTAACACTGGGAGGCCAAGGCAGGAGAATCACTTGAGGTCAGGCGTTCGAGACCAGCCTGGGCGACAGAGCAAGACTTTATCTCTAAAAATAAAAATCAAGCCTGACACCGTGGCTCCCGCCTATAATCTCAGCACTTTGGGAGGCCAAGGTGGACGGATCATCTGAGGTCAGGAGTTCAAGACCAGCCTGGCCAACATGGTGAAACTCCGTCTCTACTAAAAATGCAAAAATTAGCTGGGTGTGGTGGTGCATGCCTGTAATCCCAGCTACTTGGAAGGCTGAGGCAGGAGAATTGCTTGAACCCGGCAGGTGGAGGTTGCAGTGAGCCAAGACTGTGCCATTGCACTGCAGCCGGGGCAACAAGAACAAAACTCCATCTCAAAAAAAAGAAAATCAAAAAGAAAGCCCTCTGTCCTGGTAGGACAATAATTTCTAAAAATGTAGCTTAAATCTTCACATTGAAGATGATTTAGGGAGAAGTCTGCACTTTGAAAGCCAAAGTTAAGATTATTAGAAAACATTTGGGAATGTTATGGTAGAAGCATTGCTGTATAGCAGTCCAGAGAGCAGCCAGCCACTGGGGCACTGTGACAGGAAGGTTCTAGGAGGGGTCCCCAGGGAAAGAAATTAGGTTATCTGACACGTGGGGTTGATCGGTGTGGGGAAGGTGTGGAAAGAGTCAGCAACAGTTACACAGGAAAAATAAGCACAGGAATGAGGAAATTTTAATTCTAGCAAACATGAAAAATTGTGTAAGTCACACAACTTAATCTAGTAAACTACTTGGCTCAGCAGTGAATACTTGCATAAGCATAATAATACAAATACAGTATCATGAACTAATGTAATCTGTTAATGTAATGTTGGCAGGGGTGTCTCAGGACAGAGTTTTTCTCTACCTTAATAGATGTCAGGAATGATGTCTAAAATTGATAAATCAAATGTACCATGATAACTTAGAAACACAGAGGTAAATACCAGAAGAAACAGCTCAAAGACATGAAAATAGTTTTCCTCCGAGGAGGGAAATTGGGTGAGGAGCGGCTGAGACGGAGGGTGACTGCCTTTGTTTTCTTCTAAATATATTATGTATACATTTTTTTAAGAGACAGGATCTTGCTTTGTCACCTAGGCCAGAGCGCCGTGGTGCAGTCTTGGCTCACTGCAGCCTCCACCTCCTGGGCTCAGACTGTCCTCCCACCTCAGCCTTCCGAGTAGCTGAGACCACAGGTGCACGCTACCATAGCTGGCTAATTTTTTTTCCCATTTTTTTAGAGATGGGGTTTCATTATATTGCCCAGACTGGTCTTGAACTCCTGGGCTCAAGCGATCTGCCCACCTCAGCCTCCCAAAGTGCTGGGATTACAGTTGTGAGCCATTGCACCTGGCTTCTTCTAAATACTTGGCTTTTTAAATTGTGTACAGTTTCTTTAATTAAAAATAAAAATTAATTGATTACCAACATCTGAGCATTATAGAAAAATAAAAACACCAGAAGAGGGTGGGGCGCGGTAGCTCACACCTGTTACCCTAGTACTTTGGGAGGCCGAGGCGGGTGGATCACGAGGTCAGGAGATTGAGACCATCCTGGCTAACACGGTGAAACCCTGTCTCTACTAAAAATACACAAAATTAGCCGGGCGTGGTGGTGGGCACCTGTAGTCCCAGCTACTCAGGAGGCTGAGGAAGGAGAATGGCATGAACCCGGGAGGCGGAGCTTGCAGTGAGCCGAGATCGCGCCACTGCACTCCAGCCTGGGCGACAGAGCGAGACTCTGTCTCGAAAAAAAAAAGACTGCATGTATTTCCTTCTCGGTTACGACAGTTAGAACACATCCCTTTCTCCTGTGGACGGGGACCTTGACCTGAACCTGCGTGTATTTCCTTCTTGGTTACGACAGAACACATCCCTTTCTCCTGTAGATGGGGACCTTGACCTGAACGGGCAGTTGTTGGTCGCACAACCGCGTAGAAATGCCCAAACCGTCCACGAGGACGTCAGAGCAGCGGCTGGGAAGCCAGACAAGATGGAGGAGACGCTGACATGCATCATCTGCCAGGACCTGCTGCACGACTGCGTGAGGTGCGACCGTGTTCACCCTTGGCTCACGGAACATGGCACTGCAGGTTCTTCGTCCCGTGTGGGGCAGGGCTGGGCATGAGACAAGCCTGCAGGTCCTGTTTGGCCTGGCATCTGCTGAGGTTACTCTGTCACCCAGATAAGTGGGTGGAGTGGGTGGAGTGGGTGGAGCTTTCTCAGCCCACTGCAACCTCTCCCTCCCAGGATTGAGCGGTTCTCTGACCTCAGCCTTCTGAGTTGCTGGGACTACAGGTGCACACCACTATGCCTGGCTGACTTTTTTTTTTTTTTTAATGTTCTAAATATTTTTTATTCCTTTTTTTTTTTTTTTTTTTTTTTTTTTTTAGATGGAGTCTCGCTCTGTCACCAGGCTGGAGTGCAGTGGCACAGTCTTGGCTCACTACAACCTCAGCCTCCCGGGTTCAGACGATTCTCCTACCTCAGCTTCCTGAGCAGCTGGGACTGCAGGCGTGTGCCACCATGCCCGGCTAATTTTTTTGTATTTTTTAGTAGAGACAGGGTTTCACCATGTTGGCCAGGCTAGTCTTGAACTCCTGACTTCAGGTGATCTGCCCACGTTTGCCTCCTAAAGTGCTGGGATTATAGGCGTGAGCCACTACTCCCAGCCACCCTGCTGATTTTTGTGTTTTTTGTAGAGACGGTTTCGCCATGTAGCCCGGGGTGGTTTTTTGTTTTTGTTTTTGTTTTTTGGAGTTAGAGTCTCGCTCTGTCACCCAGGCTGGAGTGTAGTGGTGTGATCTTGGCTCACTGCAACCTCCACCTCCCAGGTTCAAGTGATTCTCCTGCCTCAGCCTCCCAAGTAGCTGGGACTACAGGCATGCGTCACCACATCTGGCTAATTTTTTTGTATTTTTAGTAGAGACGGGAGTTTCACCATATTAGCCAGGCTGGTCTCGAACTCCTGCACTCAGGTAATCTGCCCACCTTGGCCTCCCAAAGTGTTGGGATTACAGACGTGAGCCACCCCGCATGGCTACCACTTTCATTCTACTCGTGGCACCAACAAGGAGGAAACCTGGAACCCAGAGCCGGAGGCTGTAGACCCCACAAGTTTTGAGTGTGTGGGTCGTGTGTGACCCCGTGAACTCTGCAAACAGATGAAAGGAACTCTGCACATTTTAAATGCTCCTTATCTGGGAAGGTGTATTTCGCATAGAATGAACGTAGGAGCCGCTGAGGAAGGGCCTCCTTGCTTTTCCGCGGGAACTCAAGAGTGACAACCTTCCAACTTCTGGGCCAGAAACACTTGCTGTCTCTGTTGTTTGTGTTCCTGAAGTCATAATCTACTCGCCTCTGTCTTTCCTGAAAACACAGAGGCCGTGTGGCCTCTGATTTCTTTTCATTAACCAAGACTGACTTAAAGGGTTTTTAGGTTGAACGATGGCTGGGCCCCTGTAGGCCCTTCCGTGGTGGGGCTGCTGCGGACCTTGGTCGAGGGTCGCGGTTGCATCTGTGGGACTGTCTGGACACTGTTCCTCTTGCACTTTCAGTTTGCAGCCCTGCATGCACACGTTCTGCGCGGCTTGCTACTCGGGCTGGATGGAGCGCTCGTCCCTGTGTCCTACCTGCCGCTGTCCCGTGGAGCGGATCTGTAAAAACCACATCCTCAACAACCTCGTGGAAGCATACCTCATCCAGCATCCAGGCAAGTGAGGGCATCCACACCAGCACCCGGGCACGTGAGGGCGGTCCCTCCACCACCACCCAGGCACGTGAGGGCATCCACCCAGCAGCACCCGGGCACGTGAGGGCTGTCCCTCCACCAGCACCCGGGCACGTGAGGGTGGTCCCTCCACCAGCACCCGGGCACGTGAGGGCATCCACACCAGCACCCAGGCACGTGAGGGCGGTCCCTCCACCACCACCTGGGCACGTGAGGGCATCCACCCAGCAGCACCCGGGCACGTGAGGGCTGTCCCTCCACCAGCACCCGGGCACGTGAGGGCTGTCCCTCCACCAGCACCCGGGCACGTGAGGGTGGTCCCTCCACCAGCACCCGGGCACGTGAGGGTGGTCCCTCCACCAGCACCCAGGCACGTGAGGGCATCCACACCAGCACCCGGGCACGTGAGGGTGGTCCCTCCACCAGCACCTGGGCAAGCGAGGGTGGTCCCTCCACCAGCACCCAGACAAGTGAGGGCGGTCCCTCCACCAGCACCCAGGCAAGTGAGGGCATCCACACACCAGCACCCAGGCATGTGAGGGCGGTCCCTCCACCAGCACCCGGGCACGTGAGGGCATCCACACCAGCACCTGGGCACGTGAGGGCAGTCCCTCCACCAGCACCCGGGCACGTGAGGGCGGTCCGCCCAGACCCCTCCTTCCGCAGCACTGCGCACGCGAGCTCCCAGCAGTGTGAGCTGTGTCTGCCTGCCATGTCTCACTGCCGGTGAATGGCGCTGTGTCCTTTCAATTCTAGACAAGAGTCGCAGTGAAGAAGATGTGCAAAGTATGGATGCCAGAAATAAAATCACTCAAGACATGCTGCAGCCCAAAGTCAGGCGGTCTTTTTCTGATGAAGAAGGGAGTTCAGAGGACCTGCTGGAGCTGTCAGACGTTGACAGTGAGTCCTCAGACATTAGGTAAATCATGCCCCTGGCTCAGAGCAGAGTGTGTGAGCCAGAGGAGCATCACAACCGTGACCGAGAGCTCACTACTGGGTGGACAGCATGGGTCCTGAGATCTAGTTCTGCCCTGAGCAGCCAAGCTCTTAAATGGCTTGAGCTTGTTTTCTGATATTGGATAGTATTAGCACCTCCCCTGAGAGGCGTGGCAGGGACTGGGTGAACACTTAGCGGGGTAGCCAGGGGGTAGCCAGCAGAGCGTCAGCCGCAGGCGACTGCTGTAGACATTTGCACCCTCGGCTGACACCCTTCCCTTTGCTTCGACTCGTCATGGGTGTGGCATCTCTGGCTGTGACAGAGGGACATCATTCCATGTTATTTTTTCCCACATGAGCACATGTATTCTTTGTAGTTGATCTAGCGACTATAAAGTCCTATAGTATAAATTGCAATGTTTATCATTTGTCAGGACGTTATTACAGAAGAGGCACCATCACCAGGCCAAGACAATCCCAGCCTCAGAGACCTTATTTATCTGCTGACATGTTGAGGTTTCCTAATGCACAAGACCGGGGTCTGAATGTTGGGTCGAGGCCATGATATTTAAAAAGACAATGAACGACAAAAAAAAACACTTGAAACTTTTATCTTTATTTCCTTTTGCCAAGTTTAGCATGTGACTGTTAAGCAAAAAGAAGGAAACCAAAACCACTTTAGCATTAAGATTTTGCTGCCTCTACCCAGCCATTCATACGTGTGTCATAATCGTTAACAAAATGAAATGTAATGTACTAACAAATTTTTTTTTTCTTTTTTTTTTGAGATGGAGTGTCGCTCTGCTGCCAGGCTGGAGTGCAGTGACACGATCTCAGCTCACTGAAATCACCACCTCCTGGGTTCAAGCGATTCTCCTGCCTCAGCCTCTCGAGTAGCTGGGACTACAGGCGCATGCCACCACACCCAGCTAATTTTTTTGTATTTTTAGTAGAGATGGGGTTTTACCACATTGGCCAGGATGGCCTTGATCTCCTGACCTCGTGATCCGCCGGCCTCGACCTCCCAAAGTGCTGGGATTACAGGCATGAGCCACTGCGCCCTGCCAATGGCACAATCTTGGCGCATTGCAACCTCCGCCTCCCGGGTTCAAGCGATTCTCCTGCCTCAGCCTCCCAAATAGCTGGGATTACAGGCATGCACCACCAAACTTGGCTAATTTTTTTTTCTTTTCTTTTTTTTTTTTTTTCGAGACAAAGTCTCGCTCTGTTGCCCAGGCTGGAGTGCAGTGGCATGACCTTCGCCCACTGCAACATTCATCTCCTGGGTTCAAGTGATTCTCCCGTGTTAGCCTCCCGAGGGGCTGGGATTACGGGCATATGCCACCACACCCAGCTAATTTTTGTGTTTTTAGTAAAGACAGAGTTTCACCATGTTGGCCAGACTGGTCTCGAAATCCTGACCTCAAGTGATCCGTCTGCCTTGGCCTCTCAAAGTGCTGGGATTATAGGTGTGAGCCACCGCGCCCGGCCGCTAATTTTGTATTTTTAGTAGAGACAGGGTTTCACCATGTTGGCCAGGCTGGTCTTGAACTCCTGACCTCAGGTGATTAGCCCGCCTCGGCCTCCCAAAGTGCTGGGATTATAGGCGTGAGAAACAAATTTATTTTTTGTTTGTTTGTTTTTTGAGATGGAGTTTCGCTCTGTTGCCCAGGCTGGAGTGCAGTGGCTGGATCTTGGCTCATTGCAAGCTCCGCCTCCCGAGTTCACGCCATTTTCCTGCCTCAGCCTCCCGAGTAGCTGGGACTACAGGCTCCCGATACCATGCCCGGCTAATTTTTTGTATTTTTGGTAGAGACTGGGTTTCACCGTGTTAGTCAGGATGGTCTTGAACTCCTGACCTCGTGATCCGCCCGCCTCAGCCTCCCAAAGTGCTGGGATTACAGGCATGAGAAACAAATATTTTTATGAAGCTGGGATTCGGCTGCATGTACAGCTCGGTAATGTCCCCAGCGTTTGAATTGGGAAACAGTTGCTGCTGTGCATTTCTTCCATCCGTATTTGTGCACATGCGCAGTGACGTCAATGTTTAGACGTGAAGCAGTCGAGTCACAGAGTGTGACTGGGAATTGGACCTTGATAGACGTTTGATAAGTTTGTTATCCAGACACCGATCGGAAAGGGTGCACCTAATGCACTCTACAAGGTCTGCATGAGGGCCTCTTTTTGCCAGTTTAGAAGGAGAAGTAGGTAATCTCATTTTCATTTACATTTTTTCCTTATGAAAAAAATGTCTTTTCACTGTGCCTTGTTTTTTACCTGGTTGGGTCTTACCTGTTGGCCTTATTGGCCCCTGGCCTTGGTGTGAGGCGCAGAAAAGCCTTTCAAATGGAGAGGAGAGCCTCGTGTATTTTTTCCTACAGGTTCTTTTTTTACAGTTGACATTTTTATCTGCTCGTTTTTGGAAGTACAAGGGAAGTGTGGAAAAGACAAGTGATTCGGGGCTTTGCAGGCGCCTGGTGTGGCTCCCAGTACGTTGCCCACCGCGCTCTGCTTTTAACGGGAGAGTAGGCGGGTCCTGAGGAGCACGGGGCGTGCGCGCACGTGCTGGCCCTTGCCCTGCTCTGGCGTCGTCTCCTGGGAGCACACGTCAGTGGGGACCTAGTGACCCTGGGGATGGGGCTCCAAAGCGTGGGGGCTGAGCTGGGGATGCAGAGTGGCGTGTCCTTGCCCTTCGACTCGTTCTGGTCCCTCTCTAACACTGGGGTGCTGGACAGGAATGGGGCCCGGCCCTTCCCCTCACACCAAGCAGCTGAGCGACGGTGGAGCTGAGCTGTGATGGCTGCGGACCCGCGTTGCACCGGCCCTACCTGAGAGGCTTGGGGCCTGCACACAGCTCGGCCCTGTGCTTCCTTGCAGCCAGCCATACGTCGTGTGCCGGCAGTGTCCTGAGTACAGAAGGCAGGCGGCGCAGCCTCCCCACTGCCCAGCACCCGAGGGCGAGCCAGGAGCCCCACAGGCCCTGGGGGATGCACCCTCCACGTCCGTCAGCCTGACGACAGGTGAGCCGCGCCGCCCTCAGGCCTCAGCCTTCGCGTGAGTCACTTTGTGGCTGTGCCCGGTGCTGACGTGCACGTGGCCGCGCTCTGCCCGCCTCCTGTCTGCACTGCTCGCCCCCTTTGGGCCCTGGCCTCATTGGTCTCCCTGCACTCACAGTTGGTTGCTTTTCGTGACTGATTTTGGGTTGGGAAATCAGATAAGTAACTGTTCATTCGTAGCCCCTCCTGAACACTCCTGGGAATTAACAACCCTGACCTTAATACTTGGCCTCTCCCCAGCCACTGCCTCAGGGCAGCTGATGTCCCCCAGTGGGTTTGCCAGACCCAAAGTGATGATCGCATATCTGTCCCTCAAGTAAGAGGCGGGCTTCTCCCCAGCAGTGGCGATGTCACCAGAAGCTGCCCTGCGTCACCAGAGTTGGCTTAATGCGAAATGTTTCCCCGTCAGGTGCCTTTTTCCAGCAAGGGGCTCCAGGTGCTATCCAGGAAGTCAGAGGAGAGCTGGGCAGGGGGTATGGAGGCTTCACTTCTCTGCCCTGCTCACTCCAGACTCATAGAATGGGAAGATGCCCTCAGGGGTCCTGGCTTCCTGGCCACGGGTGGGGGCTGAGCACATCACGAGGCCACTGGCCTGGGATGGATGTAGAGCCACATCCTTGTGCTGCATTCTCAGTGGCTTCTTGTAGAACCCGTGGACGGAACGGACAAAGCAGTGCTTGGCGTTGGTATGGATGCCCATCCACCAGCCTGGGTTTGCTTCCGCCACTCAGCAGCTCTGTCTGGGTCACTGGACAAGCTCCTTCCTTTGCATGGTGGGACCAGCGCCTCCCTCTGGGGTCCTGGGTCCCTCAGTGGGTGCTCAGTGAACCTGGGTGGTGAAATTGCCGTCCTTATGGCCGGCATGTTGACCTCGCAGGGTCTTTCCTGTGTGGGTGGCGAGTGTCCAGGGAACTTGGCTGTGTGGGCTCAGACTTCTGCTGCCACATCGATTGGTCTTGTGCACCGTGGCTGTCCTTTGTTTATTTGAGAGATGGCTGTTCTCTCACCTGAGCGGAAATTGAACACACAGCTTGTTTTATTCTATATCATAGGTTCTATGGGCTTGTCCTCTCTTTATAGGAAATAATAGAAAACCTTCAACAGATCGGCCGGGCACGGTGGCTCATGCCTGTAATCCCAGCACTTTGGGAGGCCGAGGCGGGCGGATCACAAGGTCAAGAGATTGAGACCATCCTGGCTAACATGGTGAAACCCTGTCTCTACTAAAAATACAAAAAAAAAAAAAATTAGCCAGGCGTGGCAGGCACCTGTAGTCCCAGCTACTCGGGAGGCTAAAGCAGGAGAATGGCGTGAACCCGGGAGGCGGAGCTTGCAGTGAGCCGAGATCACGCCACTGCAGTCCAGCCTGAGCGACAGAGTGAGACTCTGTCTCAAAAAAAAAAAGAGAACTTGCAACAGATCTTTGAAATCTTGCTCCAGCTGCTAAATCAAAGATCATTTTTGGTTATTGTTAATCTGTTTTGACTCCCCGAGTTTGGGTGGCAGAAGGTCCCCGGTGGTTTAGCAGGGCAGGTCTGCTTCTTCCCCGGCTGTCTCAGGTGCACCTCTCCTCGCTGTGCTTCCCGGCGGCCTCTCTAACCTGCTGTCTTTCTGCCCTGGGTCCCACGTGCTCCGGCTGAATGTGCGTGTGCTTCAGCAGTCCAGGATTACGTGTGCCCTCTGCAAGGAAGCCACGCCCTGTGCACCTGCTGCTTCCAGCCCATGCCCGACCGGAGAGCGGAGCGCGAGCAGGACCCGCGTGTCGCCCCTCAGCAGTGTGAGTGCCCGCGCCACCGCACGCAGGCGGGTTCCTATCTGTCCTTCAGGGGTCAGGTTTCAAAGCGGTGTTGGCCTTAGGGTAACCTGTGAAGTAAGGATGCCGTTTCTTTTTTTCCATCAGTGTGATCAGTTTTCCCCACGTCACCATATTGAATAATCTATCTTTTCCCACCATCTAGTAACATTGCCCCTTCACAGGCTACATCTCCATCCACCGGGGGCTCGGCTTGGATCTGTGTCTATCCCCTGCCAGCACTGTGGTTGCTTTATAATGTGTCACTGTTAAACCTCTTATATGAATGTTGATGCTTTAGTATACAACTCTGGCCAGGCACAGTGGCTCACGTCTGTAATCCCAGCACTTTGGGAGGCCAAGGTAGGTGGATCTTCTGTGTCCAGGAGTTTCAGACCAGCCTGGGCAATATGGTGAAACCCCATCTCTACAAAAAATACAAACATTAGCCAGACATGATGGTGTACACCTGTAATCCCAGCTACTCGGGAGGCTGAGGCCAAAGGATGGCTTGAGTCCGAGAGGAGGAGGTTGCAGTGAGCTGAGATCGTGCCACTGTACTCCAGCCTTGGCGACAGAGGGAAATCCTGTCTCAAAACAAAACATATATATATATATATATATATATATATATATATGCACACACATACAGTTATTATTAAAAATGGAGCTTGTCCTTTATTTCATGGCTGTTTTAATGTATTCCTGCAGAAATGTCTGTCTATGTCCTTTGCCTTTTTTTTATGACTTCCTAATTTGTCAGAGCTTCTTATATGTGAAAGTGTTAGGTGAAGAAAGCCCTAGCCCTGTTGAGCACCGCGGTTGGCTCCTGCCGCACACACCGGTGTTGCTCTGTGCACTGAGCCCTGTGTGAGCAGCACACAGGACCACAGCACTGGTTCTGTCTGGAATGGCTTAAAAATGTTCTGGGCACTCAGGAAACCAAACAGGTTACTGCTGGGGTCTGTACCCTGAGACTGGGCTTGGCAGGGGTGGGGCCTAGCCTGCAGCGTCGGGACACATGGCCGTGGGACACACCCGGTGATCTGGGCGGTCGCTGCCTCGGGGGTCATCCACGGCAGGCGCTGGCCACTGCTGATGCTGCACGTGGGAGGGCAGGTGAGAAGCCACAGAGAACAGCTTGTCCCATGTCTCACACACGCGGTGGTCAGCAGATGGCAGCTCGGCCCAGCTTTTCCCCAGGAATCCAAACTCTTCACTCTAATTTCACAGAGCATGCTTCGTATATAGAGGCATTGGTGAAGTGGTCGTAGGCGTTATAAGACTTAAGGACTCAATCCTGTGAGAATTTTAGCGAGGGTTTACCTAACATTATATTTTAGGGATTTCCATTGTATAGAATATCAGACAATTAAAAATAATTTCCTTTGGGAGGCTGAGGTGGGTGGATCACGAGGTTAGAAGATCAAGACCATCCTGGCTAACATGGTGAAATCCCATCTCTACTAAAATTACAAAAAATTAGCCGTGTATGGTGGCGGGCGCCTGTAGTTCCAGCTACTTGGGAGGCTGAGGCAGGAGAATGGCGTGAACCCGGGAGGCAGAGGTTGCAGTGAGCCGAGATGGCGCCAGTGCACTCCAGCCTGGGTGACAGAGCAAGACTCTGTCTAAAATAAATAAATAAATAAATAAATAACGTCTACAAAGCCAAGGTGACAACATGGAAAAATACCTAGGTAGAAAAAGGCCACCTAGGCTGGGCATGGGCTCACGCCTGTAATCCCAGCACTTTGGGAGGCCAAGGCAGGCGGATGACCTGAGGTCAGGAGTTTGAGACCAGCCTGACCAACGCGGTGAGACCCCATCTTTACTAAAAATGAAAAAATTGGCCAGTTGTGGGCATCTGTAATCCCAGCTACTGGGGAGGCTGAGGCAGGAGAATCGCTTGAACCCAGGAGGCGGAGGTTGCAGTGAGCCGAGATTGCTCCACTATACTCCAGCCTAGGCCACAGAGCAAGACTCTGTCTCAAAAAAAAAAAAAAGCCACCTGAATATGTGCAGTTGGGGGCAAGCATGTTGCATGTTCAGAGCTAGAATGAAGCCCATCGAAGCCGTGTTAGGGTGGTGGAGCAGGTGAGATTTCTTTCTTTTGTGTCTCTCACTGTTTTCCTGGGATGAGCATGTGGTGTTCAGTTTAAGAAACGATGTGGGTCTGAGGCCGGGTGCAGTGCATCACGCCTGTAAATGTTCAGTTTAAGAAACGATACGGGTCTGAGGCCGGGTGCAGTGCATCACGCCTGTAAATGTTCAGTTTAAGAAACGATACGGGTCTGAGGCCGGGTGCAGTGCATCACGCCTGTAAATGTTCAGTTTAAGAAACGATGTGGGTCTGAGGCCGGGCGCAGTGCATCATGCCTGTAATCCTAGCGCTTTGAGAGGCTGAGGTGGGAGGATCCCTTGAAGCCAGGAGTTTGAAACCATCCTGGGCAACATGGTGAGACCCTGTCTCTACAAAAATAAAAAATAAATTAGCCGGGCCTGGTGGTGTGCACCTGTAGTCCTAGCTACTCAGGAGGCTGAGGTGGGTGGATCCCTTGAACCCAGGAGGCGGAGGTTGCAGTGAGCTGTGATTGTTCCCCTGTACTCCAGCCTGGGCCACAGAGCGAGACTCCATCTCTAAAAAATAACAAACCAGAAAATGTGAGCCTCGCCTTTTTTCAGGGATACAACTCCTCGCCATCACAGTCCATCACAACCTGGGTGGCGTTAGCTGGATGTGGCCCCGCCCCGATTTCCATGAGACCCCTCCTGAACAATGTTTCCAGAAAGAGTTGAGCTCCTGAGCCTGGTGCTGACGAATTGTGTTGGAGACAGCCCTCAGCGCTGAGTGCGTGTAACGAGTGTCCTCTCTCCACAGGTGCGGTCTGCCTGCAGCCTTTCTGCCACCTGTACTGGGGCTGCACCCGGACCGGCTGCTACGGCTGCCTGGCCCCGTTTTGTGGTAATACTGGCTCTTCAGGCCCCAGTTGCTTTGACCTTTGCATGTTCTCTTGGTGAACTTGAGGGCAGGGGATGGTGGGGTCCATAGCCTGATGTTTATAGGGATGAGGCCACTGTTGGTCATCAAATGATACCTATTCCTGGCTGGACTGCAGAGGTGTGTCAAATTCGTGTTAGCTCAAAATCAAGCCTTAACAGAATTATTAGGGGAGATACTCCCAGGACAGAATCCTTGCAGCGGGGTTCTGCTGTTACGATACCAAGACCAGGTGCTGGGGAGACTCGGAGAGCTGATCTTTTTAAGGAGGGAGTGGAATGGAAATCATTTCTGCTTGTCCTCTGTTTAAAATTGAGTTTTATCATTGAACTTCTTATTCTTTCTAGAATCTGTAATGAAAAGAAATATGTTTATCCTCAGTGTCGGGCAGACAGTGCTTTCCTGCGACATCATTATAAACAGGTAACATTGCCCCTTCATCTCGGCAGAGCTCAACCTGGGTGACAAGTGTCTGGACGGCGTGCTGAACAACAACAGCTACGAGTCAGACATCCTGAAGGTACCGACTCGCTGCGGGCTGGGGAGCCGGGAGCCACATTTTCTCCCTAGTGCAGCCAGCTGGTTCTCTGCATTCTATTGGTGTTTATCTGTTTTACCTGACCCGCTGCGGGTTGGGGAGCCGGGAGCCATGTTTCCTCACTGGTGCAGCCAGCTGGTTCTCTGCATGCCATTGGTGTTTGTCTGTTTTTTCCGTATTCCAAAAATAGGTATTTCGTTTTTGTGCCTCCTGCCACCAATTCGTAGGAGCCGCTTCCCGCAGCTCTTGTTCCCGGCAGCTCTTGTTCCCACAGCTCTCGGTGAGGGCTTCTTGAAGGTGCCGCCCTTTAGCAAGACCAGGGCCTTTTCTCTGGTCCCTGTCTCTTCTGGCCATTTGCCTTCCCACGTCTAGGAAGCTACCTCGGTTTCTAGGATTTACATATGTTTAACATGCGCATTCGCCCTCCTGCCGAGCACTTTGCTGACAGCACACACAATGGTGGGGCCTTGAGGCTTGCCACAGACACACCTGGCAGGCGCCCGCTCAGCCCCACACTCTGCTTTGATGCCCACAGAAGGAGCTCAACAGCTCGTGTGTGTTTGAAGGGCACAGAGAACAGATGCCAAGTCCTCAGCTTTTCTTGTGCAACAGCCTGGGCTCGTTGCTGGGCTGTGTGCACTGTGGCCTGGCTTTCATGTCTCATTCACACCTGGGCTGTGTAGGTCTTGGCAGAACTTTTGAGAGACTCTGGTAACTGTTACACTGGAACCTTTTGGGACTTCCAGGAGGCTCTTGGACAAGACTTCTCGTGCTGCAGGCCGTGAACGTGCAGCCCTCTGCAAATGCCACTTATAAGGGTCTGAGCTTTGGCTTTGCACACTTTCAGGGGCCTTTTATGAAATGTTTTCTCTCGTTATTTCAGTGTTTCTTCCTCTAAACGAGTATTTCTTATTCCTCTCTTTTTTTGCGTCACAGAATTACCTGGCAACCAGAGGTTTGACATGGAAAAACATGTTGACCGAGAGCCTCGTGGCTCTCCAGCGGGGAGTGTTTCTGCTGTCTGGTGAGTTCTTCTGTTGCCTCCTGCTCTAAGGCGCATGTGAGTGTCCAGGGCTGTGCCTGCGTGTCTGCTCTCCCAGTGACAACTCCGACCTTCACCCACCCTGGAAGAGAGGAAAAAGATCCTGATGCTTTCAGGTTGTTTTTGTTTGTTTGTTTGTTTTTTGAGATGGAGTCTCGCTCTTGTTGCCCAGACTGGAGTGCAGTGGCATGATCTCAGCTCAAGGCCCCCTCGGCCTCCTGGGTTCAAGCGATTCTCCTGCATCAACCTCCTGAGTAGCTGGGATTACAGGCATGTGCCACCACACCCAGCTAATTTTGTATTTTTAGTAAAGATGGGGTTTCCCCATGTTGGCCAGCCTGGTCTTGAACTTCTGACTTCAGGTGATCTGCCCACCTCAGCTTCCCAAAGTGCTGGAATTACAGGCGTGAGCCACTATGCCCGGCCTTCAGGTTGTTTTTTGAAAGTTGAGCGTGGGCCGGGTGTGGTGGCTCACGCCTGTAATCCCAGCACTTTGGGAGGCTGAGGCGGGCGGATCATGAGGTCAAGAGATTGAGACCATCCTGGCTAACACGGTAAAACCCTGTCTCTACTAAAAAAAGAAAAATACAAAAAATTAGCCGGGCGTGGTGGCGGGCGCCTGTAGTCCCAGCTACTCGGGAGGCTGAGGAAGGAGAATGGCGTGAACCCGGGAGGCGGAGCTTGCAGTGAGCCAAAATCACGCCACTGCACTCCAGCCTGGGGGACAGAGCGAGACTCCGTCTCAAAAAAAAAAAAAAAAAGACAGTTAAGCATGAACCTGTATGACATATTCCAGCAGCTTCTATCCTTGTAGGGGAGGGTGGGTGTGGCCGACTGCCACTACTGCTGCTTGAGACCCTCACTACAGCAGTTACTGCTGTTACTGCTTGAGACCATCATTACAGGACTGAACAAAGGGACAAACGTAGAAATGAAAACAAAAAGACAAAAGAAACTTTTAAGGAAAGGCAACATGGGGAAGAAGAGGAGAGCTCCCTGCTTCTAGTGAGTAAAGGCTGCCCCTGAGCTTCTACAGCCCTTCATATTTATTGGGTAACAAGAGCAAGGAGGAGGTAACAACTGGGCAGCTGCTAAATTGATCACAGGTTCATACTGTTACTGACAGGCTTCAATTATGCCTAATCATAAGAAACATTTGTGTGGCCTCCAACAGGTGGGGCCAGCTTGGAGGGTCTCTACCACTTGTCTATCCAGAGGTCCTGGGGTCAGTTGTCCTGGGACCCTCGGGGACTTGGTGAATCTCTTGCTTGATGTGTCAGTCACTTGGTGAGGGTCACTCCTCTCCAGGGGGGCACACGATGCTTTGTGGAGTATGATAATTTATCACTAAGGGAGGCTGTAGAAATATATATATGAGACAGGTTCTTGCTCTGTCGCCCAGGCTGGAGTGCAGGGGCATGATCACAGCTCACTGCAGCCTCGACCTCCTGGGCTCAAGAGATCATCTCACCTCAGCCTCCCAAGTAGCTGGGACCACAAGCGTGTGCTACCATGCCTGGCTAATCTTAGTTTTTTTATTTTTATTTATTTATTTATTTTTTTTTTTGAGATGGAATCTTGCTGTGTCACCCAGGCTGGAGTGCAATGGCACAATCTCAGCTCCCTGCAAGCTCCGCCTCCCAGGTTCAACAATTGTCCTGCCTCAGCCTCCTGAGTAGCTGGGATTACAGGCACCCGCCAACATGCCCAGCTAATTTTTTTTTTGTATTTTTAGTAGAGGTGAGGTTTCACCATCTTGGTTAGGCTGGTCTCGAACTCCTGACCTTGTGATCCGCCTGCCTCGGCCTCCCAAAGTGCTGGGATTACAGGCGCGAGCCACCGTGCCTGGCCGATATCTTTGTTAATTAAGGGTATAGCACATTTTCATTTGTGTTGCAAATGTTTCCACTATAGTAGTAGTTCACTTTTGTTGTATTTATTTTAATTTTGATGTTTAAATTGTAGATAGCCAAATGTACAAATCCTTTCCTCTGTGCAATTTGGTTTTCAAGACATACTTAGAAATAGCTAATTTTCTCATTTTCTTCTTGTTTTTTGGGAGTTTTAATATTTAAATTTTATATCCATGTGGGGCCGGGCGTGGAGGCTCACGCCTGTAATCCCAGCATTTTGGGAAGCCGAGGCGGGCGGATCATCTGAGGACAAGAGTTTGAGACCAGCCTGGCCAACATGGTGAAACCCCATCTCTACTAAAAAAGTATAAACATTAGCCGGGCACGGTGGCACACACCTGTAGTCCCAGCTACTCGGGAGGCTGAGACAGGAGAATCAGTTGAACGCAGGAGGTGGAGGTTGCAGTGAGCTGAGACCCCGCCACTGCACTCTAGCCTGGGCGACAGAGCAAGACTTGGTCTCAAAAAATAAATAAAATAAATGTTATATCCACGTGGGATTGTTTTGCTGTAAGAAAATAAATTGGTGGCCGGGCGCAGTGGCTCACGCCTGTAATCCCAGCACTTTGGGAGGCCGAGGCGGGTGGATCACGAGGTCAGGAGATCGAGACCATCCTGGCTAACACGGTGAAACCCAGTCTCTACTAAAAATACAAAAAATTAGCCCGGTGTGGTGGCGGGCACCTGTAGTCCCAGCTACTCAGGAGGCTGAGGCAGGAGAATGGCGTGAACCCGGGAGGCGGAGCTTGCAGTGAGCCGAGATCGCACCACTGCACTCCAGCCAGGGCGACAGAGCGAGACTCCGTCTCAATAAAAATAAATTCGTATCTAGATTGGCTTTGTTCTTATTTTCCTAATGTGTCGCCCGTTGTCTTCACCCCATTTATGGTCAGTGCGTTAGTCTCCCACTGCTGTGAAGTCCGTGCGCTGCTGTTGGGAAGATGGTGTTGCTGGGTAACTGGCTGTGTTTCTTCCAGATTACAGAGTCACGGGAGACACCGTTCTGTGTTACTGCTGTGGCCTGCGCAGCTTCCGTGAGCTGACCTATCAGTATCGGCAGAACATTCCTGCTTCCGAGTTGCCAGGTAAGGAGCCCCCGACTTCCTCATGGCTCTAGTTCTGTCTGGGTTGGCTTCTTGGCTTCTGCCTCTCTTTTTTTTTTTTGAGACAGTTTCGCTGTTTTTGCCCAGGCTGGAGTGCAGTGGTGCAATCTCGGCTCACTGCAACCTCTGCCTCCTGAGTTCGAGCAATTCTTCTGCCTTAGCCTCCTGAGTAGCTGGGATTACAGGCACCCGCCACCACGCCCGGCTAATTTTTTGTGTTTTAGTAGAGACGGGGTTTCACCATGTTGGCCAGGCTGGTCTCGAACTCTTGACCTCGGCCTCCCAAAGTGCTAGGATTGCAGGCATGAGCCACCACGCTCGGCCAGCACTCTTTTCTTTACAGACACCCTGTTTGCACTTTGCTCAATGTTCTAAGCAGAATTTGGCCTCAGTCAGGAGCCGGCAGGACGTCAGGCCATACAGGGCTGTGGTTGTTTTAGGCCCTGGGTCTATTTGCAGTTACTCATGAGTGTAACGTGGGTTTCTAAAACAGATTTGTAAAGACATCCAATAGTCAACTGGGGTAATTTTATTTCCTCAATTGGGTTTTTATTTTTTAATTTTTATTTATTTATTTATTTTTGAGACAGAGTCTGACTCTGTCGCCCAGGCTGAAGTGCAGTGGTGTGATCTTGGCTCACTGCAACTTCCCTCTCCCAGGTTCAAGCGATTCTCCTGCCTCTGCCTCCCAAAGTGCTGGGATTACAGGCATGAACCACTGTACCTGACCCTCAGTTGGGTTTTTAGTTAAACATGTGTTTCCTTTCCTGAAATCTCAGAACGGTCCGAGGAAACTAGTTATGGAGGGACCAGAGGCCGTGCGTTTCCACCGCAGCGTCTGTCGTTGGGTCTCTGCTGGGATTCAGGTAGCTGAGTGGGTGCGTGCAATACATCTCATAGATGCGTACCCCTTCTCTTTTTCCAGTGGCCGTAACATCCCGTCCTGACTGCTACTGGGGCCGTAACTGCCGCACTCAGGTGAAAGCTCACCACGCCATGTGAGTGCAGCTGGGGGCACAGGCGTCAGCTACAGAGTGATGAATGAGTTAACTGCCTGCTTATAAATAGGCTGATATGGTCATTATGCTTCTCTCAGGTTGCATCCTTTAGGAACCGGTATCTTCATTTAGAAATCCTGCTCTTCCTTTATCCCTTCGTTTCATGCAGTTTTATCTCCGTCTTCCACTTCTGTGTCTTCCTGGCTGGAGTAGCTTTATCTGTTGTCTGAGGCATCCGGGGCACACCCCATCATTTCAGGCTTAGCCGTTTCTAAGTCGAAGGCTGCAGTCACTGAGGGCCTCAGGCCCCCCTCGCAAAGCGCTGCACAGCTGGGTTCTCGTCCGTCCCGTGAGCAGGCATTTGTGATTGCTGTCACATCGTCACCCTCACGTGGTGTCTTTCCCGTGCTCCTTAAAGGAGGTTCACAGCGCCATCTGCATTGCCCTGGGAGGCGTAGGTCAGGAGGCATCTCTTAGGTTAGGTGATCACGTAAATCACTCCTGTGGCCCAAGGAGTTCAGATTAAAGTGATGGAGACAGTGCCCTCAGGACGAGATGTTGTGTGGACTCAGAGAAAGGCGCCTCCCTCACAGGGATTTTGTGGAATAAAAACCTTGCTTTGTGTTTGAGCACAAACAGCACATGGAAGAGACCATGTTGTTACAAAAAGAGATTTCACTGTTGACTGGCAGACAGTTTTCAGTAGAAATGTGCAGCCATGCTGGTCCTCCTTGCCCACAGTCTGTGGAGAGGGAAGGTGGCCACAGGCCATCCAGCTTGGTGTGTCTGCCTCAGCCCTGTCAGCAGATGCCACGGGGATGCCTGAGGAGGTGCAGCTTTTATTCTCTTCTCTAAAAAAATTATCTAAGATGTTTGCACTTCTTTTTTTTTTTTTTTTTTTTGAGATGGAGTCTCGCTCTGTCTGCCAGGCTGGAGTATAGAGGTGTGATCTCAGCTGATTGCAACCCTGCCTCCCAGGTTCAAGCAATTCTTTTGCCTCAGCCTCCCGAGTAGCAGGGACTACAGGTGCTCGCCACCACATCAGGCTAATTTTTTAAATATTTTTAGTAGAGATGGGGTTTTACCATGTTGGCCAGGCTGGTCTCGAACTCCTGACCTCAAGTGATCCGCCCGCCTCGGCCTCCCAAAGTGCTAGATTACAGACATTAGCCACTGTGCGTGGCCAGATGTTTGCACTTCTGTTTCAAAATTTTTAAAGGGATAAAGAAGTTTACCTTTGGGGGTTAGTTTCTTTGATATTGTGAGAAGCACACACACTCTTTCTCAGGTAGCTCTTTCTGTGTATGGTTTCCGAATGCGTTTATTTGAATGCCTTTCTGATGCTCTGTTGTGTAATTTATTTGATTGCCTCTCCAATGCTCTCTTGTGTAATTTGGCCATTTTCTCCCTGCAGGAAATTCAATCATATCTGTGAACAGACAAGGTTCAAAAACTAAGCATCCAGAGGCCCTGAGCAGCTTTCAGCACTGGAGGTGAAGAGAGCGTGTTTTTAAAATACAGAGACAAGCACGTCAAGGTGTTTTCACAGCCCCCTGAGGGAAGGGACGCAGGGTCTCCGACAGGTGCTCTGGGGTGACTCTTCTGTGGAGCTTTACCCTCTGAGTGAGACCCTCCCCAGAGCCCCGGGGGCCGCAGCCCGCCCTCCTGGTGAGCGCTGGGCAGGGCTCGTGGTGGCATCAGCAGCAGAGACGAAGCCTTTCTGTAACATGCGGCCGTCCCGCCGAGAGGGGCAGTTTTGCTCTTTTGTACATTTTCCGAAACTACAGTTAAAGCAGAAGTCTGTTTTTAGGAAAAGTTTCAAGGGAGAAGGGCAAGTTTATCAAAAACATTGTTTCAGGAGAAGGGAGCATAAGTTTACAGCCTACAGGACGTACACAATATCCTGCTGCTGGGAAAACCACAGCATTTTATCTATTTTTTATTTTAATAGGTTTGGTGCTTATCTTCTAATAAGATTTAAATGTCACAAACTGTAGCACAAATAATATAATTTATAATTTACAAATTGACTAAAATTGGGTATAGTATGGTATTTGAAAGAATAAGCATATGCTTCTGTTTATTAAAAAAAGAAACCTTCCAATGTCCAAAACTGCTAACCCTCGACGTGGCCGCCAAGTTAGTCGCTCCTTGCTAACCGGTGAGTGACCGCGGCCCCGAGCCTGGGGCTGGACGCAGGTCCCAGGACATGCTGCTCCCTTGTGTGAGTGACCGCGGCCCCGAGCCTGGGGCTGGACGCAGGTCCCAGGACGTGCTGCTCCCTTGTGTGAGTGACCACGGCCCCAAGCCCAGGGCTGGAGGCAGGTCCCAGGACGCGCCGCTCCCTCATGCTGCCCGGGCCCTTCCTCCAAGACCCTACAGAGCCTGAGGGGCACCTTGGCTTCCGCCTGTGCTAGCTTTGCCATGTCATCTGGAATAATACTTGAAATTTTGATTTTTGGAAAAAAAAGTTTTTTATCTTTTGTTGAAATCACCTGTTATCCTTGTTTGTAAACTGATAACTTTTTTGCTTCTTCTCAGGAATACAGTTTTCAACTGTTGTCTTGCTCTTGATAGAAACTGAGAAGCAGCAATCTGTATTTGTGGAGGAAAGTCCTCTCTTTTGCATATTCTAATAAATGAGCCGCGTTTGCTCCTCCGCTCTCGTGTTGGGCTCGTGTCTGGGGCTGCCTCACTTCCCCATGCGAGGGAGGCAGGCCCCATGCAGAGTGAGCTCCGAGTGCCTCACTGCTAGTGATGGTCACTCTGTCACCTGCTGTCCCTCAGTGACTCCTGTGAAACCTGCTCAGGTCTCTTCATTCTGCCAATGCTGGGAAGCCACAACCTGTTCATCCAGTGTGGAGGCTTTGTCTTCAGCTGAGCACCAGAAGAAGCCACAATGCAGAGACCCTGAGTTTGTGCAAGGGTGGGGCTGAGAGGGGAGGTCCCGTGTTAGTGCAGGGGTGAGGCCGGGAGGGGAGGTCCCGAGTTTGTGTAGGGGCGAGGCTGAGCAGGGAGGTTCTGAGTTAGTGCAGGGGCGAGGCTGAGCAGGGAGGTCCCGAGTTAGTGCAGGGGCGAGGCTAAGGGGGAGGTCCCAAGTTTGTGCAGGGGTGAGGCTGAGCAGGGAGGTCCCAAGTTAGTGCAGGGGCGAGGCTGAGAGGGGAGATCCCGAGTTTGTGCAGGGGCGAGGCTGAGAGGGGAGGTCCCTAGTTAGTGCAGGGGTGAGGCCGAGAAGGGAGGTCCCAAGTTTGTGCATGGATGAAGCCAAAAGGGGAGTTTGCACGTTTGTGCAGGGGTGAGGCCAAGAAGGGAAGTCTTGAGTTGGTGCAGGGGTGAGGGAGAGGGGAGGTCCTGAGTTTGTGCAGAGGCGAGGCTGAGAGGGGAGGTCCCTAAGTGCAGGGGTGAGGCCGAGAGGGGAGGTTGCAAATTTGTGCAGGGGTGAGGCCAAGAGGGGAGGTCCTGAGTTAGTGCGGGGGTGAGGCCGAGAGGGGAGGTCCTGAGTTTGTGCAGAGGCGAGGCTGAGAGGGGAGGTCCTTAGTGCAGGGGTGAGGCTGAGAGGGGGAGGTCCCAAGTTTGTGCAGGGGTGAGGCCGAGGGGAGGTTGCAAGTTTGTGCAGGGGTGAGGCCAAGAGGGGAGGTCCTGAGTTAGTGCGGGGGTGAGGCCGAGAGGGGAGTTCCTGAGTTTGTGCAGAGGCGAGGCTGAGAGGGGAGGTTGCCAGTTTGTGCAGGTGCGAGGCTGAGAGGGGAGGCTGGCATTCGCCAATGAAGTGGGCTGGGGCTACCCTGCGTCTGTGTCTTAGAGAGATCGGTTGATACTCACTCTTCCCCTTCCCATCTCCAAAAAGTAGAAACAAGAACACTTGCCCTGTAGAGGATGCTGGTCTTTCCTCAGGACCAGCTGCACCTGTCCAGGAAGGGCAGGCAGCTCAGAGAGCCTCTGGGCTCCAGGTGTCCTAGGGACTCACTCCTGCTTCCTTAGTCCTTCAGAGAAGTCCAACTCCTGGCCCACTGTGAAGAGGATTTCTACCTGGAGCAGTCGGAACAGCTTGGGTTTGGCTGTGATGTGAGGGAGGAGGCCTTGGGAGCAGGGCAGTTATCCTCCCAGCGTGGTAAGGAGCCGTGTTTTATGGAGGCAGGGAGATCAGGGCAGTTACTCCTCGGGTGTGGTAAGGAGCTGTGTTTTATGGAAGCAGGTGGCCGTGAACTCATTCCGTCTTTTCATGAGCTTCTGTACTTCCTCGTCCTCAAGACCCAGCCATCCCACCCAGCAAAACTGACCGGCTGTGGTGGTTTTGGAGCCCTGCTCTCCTTGTGGGGTGGCTGCGTGGGTCGTCCACAGGCTTTCTGGAGGACAGCCTGGTGCTGCTGCAGATCCCACTGCTTCTTCCTGGCTCCTTGGCCCAGCCTTGGGACAAACCCAGGGCAGGGCTGCAGCTGCCCGCTGGCCCCACAGACCGTCTCCCCACGCACTCCTCATCTGCGGCTCCCTCTGTGCTCCCTGGTGCCCCTCAGAAGCGGGGGTCAGCCCTGCCCACCCCTCCGTGTGCTGCCCAGGCTCCAAGCCAGGGAAGGGGGCCTCAGGTTCTAGGTGAACCCGTCCACCCCAGTGAGGCCTCTCTGGGATGGCCTCTGTCATAGCTTCTGACTGCAGCCAGGAAGTCTGGGCAGATTGGCTTAAAACAGACTGAGGGATTCAGGCCAACCCTCCTCCCTAGGCCAGCTACAAAGGCTGTTTTAAATCTGCTTTAAGTCATCTTAATGACCTCAGGGCCAGCAGGATGGGAGTGGTCGGGCCCAGGTGTGAGAGCCGGGGTCCAGGGGCTGCTCCCAGCACCACACGGCCTTCACCCCAGGGGTGTGGCCAAGGCAGAGAGGCAGCTGAGTTTGGAAGGGGCTTCCGCCAGCAAGGGTTTCCTGGTGACAGCCCCCCAGCTTCGGGCTGGCAGGCTGGGAGAGTGGAGCAATGCTGGCCCTGAGGCAGCTGCAGCCGGCTCCCTGAAGAGGCCCCAGAGTCACTGCCAGGGCCGCTAGGTTGCCGGGAGCCCTGCACTGGGAAGGGAAGGAAAGCATGAGAACGGAGGGGATTTAGGAAAGTAGATCGTCCCTCCAGCCTGGCTTGATGGGGAAACCAGAACGCTGTCCCCGCGGCCGTGCCCGCCCTCTGCCTCCACGTGGGCTCCGTTTTGGCATGCACGCTAGCTCCTGCGCCTTCTGAGGGCGGCTGCAGCCGTGTAGAGAAGCCGGGTCTTGCCTCCCTGAGGACGGAGGGCCGCATGCAGAGCACAGCCTAGCCCTGCAGATCCGCGCGCTGACCAGCAGCAGGACGGAGCCGGGTGATCTTCGGGGGAGCCACCTCCAGAAACGCCTAGTGCTGGTAACTGGTAGACAGCCATTATTCAAGCATCCTCTACACTTAGAATTGAGTTACACTGAAAACAAAGGTGATGAGTGCTCAGGACGCACTACTTTCTAGTTAGTTTACCGCACCTGCCTGTTACCTGCAGGCCCGAGGGTGTGTGCTTCTGTGGCCTGTGTGGGATGGCACCCCTTCCAGCCTTACCCACTCAGCTCAGTTGGCCTGGTTGGAATGGGCCCTGGGAGGAGTGTTTGCACTGTGGAAATTGGTAAATGCTTCAAATCAGGGTGGTTTTTAATTTTGCTTTTGTTTTCTTCTGAAGAGAAGGTTGTTAAACACCAGCACAGTGCTGCACCAGGCAGCCAGCATATAATCATGAGAAATAAGTAGTTGTTTAAGCCACTGCATTTGGGGTGGTTTATTACATAGTAATGATAACCATATCATGGCCCTTGAAGGCCCAGCATGTATGACCCCTGCCTCCACCCCTCAGAAAACCTCTTCTCCCTACCTGCTTCTCCTGGAGCCCCTCAGGTGTTCCTCTGCTTCTCCACCGAACCAGCTAATTCTCACAAACAGCCCCTCAGGTACCAGCCCCTCCCTCTGCAGCCTCTCCTCATTCAGCTCCTGCAGGGCTGCCCCCACCCCGCCAGCCAGTCTAGTTTCCCCCCAGCACCTGTCACTATCGGAAAGGAAACATCTGTTTACCGTTTGTCTCCCCCTCTCAAAAAAATAGAGCAGGGATCTTGCCTGTCTGCCCACTGTTGTTTATTTGTCTGAAATGTTTGGCCCCAGGGCAGCATCTACTGATCACTGACCAGTTGGCTACTGAACGGTGAAGGTCTGATGAGCTGATGAGCCGTCCCCTGGGCTTGAAATCTTTCCCGCGGCACAAACAGGCGCCCCTTCCTCTGTCGCTCACTTTTCACGGTTGTCTCCTTCTGAGGCGGTGAGTCTAGATGGTGGGGTCTTAAAGTTCCTCACACAGAGCAGACACTTGGTCGTGCATGTCTGTGGAAGGAATGGACTCAGGAGAGAATGTTGAAGGCCAGTCAGACCAGGAGTGAGTGCCGTGCGCCGTGCTGGGAGCCTGTCACTGTGAGTGCCGTGCGCCGTGCTGGGAGCCTGTCACTGTGAGTGCCGTGCGCCGTGCTGGGAGCCTGTCACTGTGAGTGCCGTGCGCCCTGCTGGGAGCCTGTCACTGTGAGTGCCGTGCGCCGTGCTGGGAGCCTGTCACTGTGAGGGCCGAGCGCCGTGCTGGGAGCCTGTCACTGTGAGGGCCGTGCGCCGTGCTGGGAGCCTGTCACTGTGAGGGCCGTGCGCCGTGCTGGGAGCCTGTCACTGTGAGGGCCGTGCGCCGTGCTGGGAGCCTGGCACTGTGAGTGCCGTGCGCCGTGCTGGGAGCCTGGCACTGTGAGGGCCGTGCGCCGTGCTGGGAGCCTGGCACTGTGAGTGCCGTGCGCCGTGCTGGGAGCCTGTCACTGTGAGTGCCGTGCGCCGTGCTGGGAGCCTGTCACTGTGAGTGCCGTGCGCCGTGCTGGGAGCCTGGCACTGTGAGTGCCGTGCGCCGTGCTGGGAGCCTGGCACTGTGAGTGCCGTGCGCCGTGCTGGGAGCCTGGCACTGTGAGTGCCGTGCGCCGTGCTGGGAGCCTGGCACTCTGAGTGCCGTGCGCCGTGCTGGGAGCCTGTCACTGTGAGTGCCGTGCGCCGTGCTGGGAGCCTGTCACTGTGAGTGCCGTGCGCCGTGCTGGGAGCCTGGCACTGTGAGTGCCGTGCGCCGTGCTGGGAGCCTATCACTGTGAGGGCCGTGCGCTGTGCTGGGAGCCTGGCACTGTGAGGGCCGTGCGCTGTGCTGGGAGCATGCATTTGTGAGACCCGCCCTGCCCAGTGCTGGCCTTGAATGTGGGTCCACTTGGGCCGCTGGATCAAAACGCCGCAGAACAGGCGGCTTAAACAACAGAAAGTATTTTCTCACAGTTCTGGGGCCTGGAACTCTGAGATCAGGGTGTCAGCGGGGCCGGTTCCTCTTTGGTCTGTCTCCTTGGCTCGTGGGCAGCATCTCCTTGAGTTCTCACGTCATCTTCTCTTCATGCGTGTTTGTGCCCTAATCTCTTCCTGCGAGGACACCAGTCCTATTGGATTAGGGCCCACACCAGTGGCCTCATTTTATCTTAATCACCTCTTTAAAGACCACACCTACTAAAACTGGAACGATATAGAGAAGATTAGCATGGCCCACGTGCAGGCATGACACCCAAATTCATGACGTGTTCCATGTCTGCAGATACAGTCACCTCTGAGGTCCTGGGATTTAGGGCTTGAACATATTGTAACACTCTGCCATCAAAGCTCGCACGCCACGGGGTTTTATAAAAATTGGGTGGTTTTGTTTGTTGTTGTTTGGCAAACCCCACATGCTGGATACCATTGACACTCCGTGGTGGGCTGAGCCATGTCCCCGTCCCGCCACCACAGATACCCGTATCCGATCACTTGAGCCTGTGATGATGTTGCCTTGCACCGTAAAAGGGGCTTTGCAGATATGGTGGAATTAAGGACCTTGAGATGAGGGGAGGATCCTGGATTAGCTTGTGGGCCCTCTGTGCAACAGTAGGAGTCGTTGTAAGAGGGAAGCAAGAGGCCGGGCGTGGTGGCTCACGCCTGTACTCCCAGCACTTTGGGAGGCTGAGGCGGGCGGATCACGAGGTCAGGAGATCGAGACCATCCTGGCTAACATGGTGAAACCCCGTCTCTACTAAAAAATACCAAAAAATTAGCCGGGCGTGGTGGTGGGTGCCTGTAGTCCCAGCTACTCGGGAGGCTGAGGCAGGAGAATGGCTTGAACCCGGGAGGCGGAGCTTGCAGTGAACCGAGATCGCACCACTGCACTCCCGCCTGGGCGACAGAGCGAGACTCTATCTCAAAAAAAAAAAAAAAAAAAAAGCAAGCAAGAAGTCAAAGGCAGGAAGAGGAGGCTTGGTGACAGAGAAGAGGTGGGAGGGATGTGCTTTGCAGAGGGAGCAAGGGCCTCCAGCCAGGAGAGGAGGGCAGGCTGTCGAAGCAGAAAAGAAAACAGATCTCCCTGCAGGGCCACCAGAAGGAACCAGCCCTGCCTGCCCCTTCATTTTGGACTTCCGAGCTCCAGAACTGCAAGAGAATAAATCTAGTTTAAGCAGCAAAGTTGGTGGTAACTTCTTAGAGCAGCCACAGGAAGCTCACTACCCCCCACACACTCATCCCGTTTGGTTTTTGTTTTCAGGAAGGGTCCAGTCTGTCTCAGAGGTGCTGTGGTTGGAGGTGGAGTGTGGGGCATGGCTGAGCACCCAACATCCGCTTCACCCTCTCCCCTGCTCCCCAGCACGTTCCTTCACCCTGTAGCTCTAGGTCTCTGTGGCAGACACTCAGCTCTAACTGCTGACCTGATGGCTCCACTTGGTGTTCAAACATCCCAGATTCATGTTGTCAAAGAGAGCTGTTTCCAGTGGGGACCCCAGGCCCACCACGTACGCCCGGCAGACCTGCCCTCTCCACTGTCAGAAGATGGCATGGCCTCCCTGTAGCTCAGGCCCAACCCCAGGAGTCATCCTGCTGGCTGTCCTCAGTGCCCCAGGCTTCTCTTCAGGGGCTTCTTGTGGCTCTGATTGTTGCCCCCTCACCTCACTGCTCTTCTCCCAGATCTGTGCGTGCATTGGTCCTCCTTGTCACGCACGTTCAGCTCAAATATTACTTCCTCAAAGGTGCCTTTGAGTACTCGTTCTCCTTGCCTTTCCCTCTCCTGGGACACTGTTCCCACCAGTACCTGCATGATTCCTTTTTTTTCTTTTCCTTTTCTTTTTTTGTTTTTGAGACAGTGTCTTGCTCTGTTGTCAGGGCTGGAGGGCAGTGGCGCAATGTCAGCTCACTGCAGCCTCCACCTCCTGGGCTCAGATGATCCTCCCACCTCAGCCTCCTGAGTAGCTGGGACTACAGGTGCACACCACCACACCCAGCTAATTTTTAGTAGAGAGCAGGGTTTCACCATGTTGCCCAGGCTGGTCTTGAACTCCTGAGTTCAAGCGATCTGCCCGCCTCTACCTCCCACAGTGCTGGGATTCCAGGCGTAAGCCGCCACGCCCAGCAACTCCGTTTCTTACTTGTTGGCTCACATTCTCCTGAGAAGTCCTCCCTCAACCATCGGCCTGAAATAGCAGCGAGCCTCCCCAGGGTTGCCTCTGCCTTTTCTTGACTCTTTCTGTCACCTTCTATGCTTGTTGTCTGGTCCCCACTAGAATATACCTTCTGTAAGAGCAGGGATTTGGGACAGTGCCTAGAATAGTACTTGCAGACAGTAGGCTACGATAAATATGAATGACGGCCCCATGCAGATGGTAGCCCCTCTCGCTCGAACGCTTCACCCAGTTTTATTTTCTTTTCATCAGTTACCGCCCTCTGAAGGTATCCACACACAAACATGAAACTGGACCAAAGCAGGGACCCCCCGCACGCAGAATAGTGCTGGGCTCGCGTAAGGCACCTCAGTGGGTCCATCAGCTGATGCATGGACAGACAAAATGGGTGTATCCAGACACTGGAGTATCGTGCAGCGAGGAAACGTGCTGAGTGTGGATGGACCTTAAACACACCATGCAAGTGAAAAGGCGTCACAGAAGGCCACATACGATATGATCCCATTTCTATGAAATGTCCAGAAGAGGCACATTCATAAAGACAGAAGGTGACTGAGTGGTTGTCGGGCTGGGTGGAGGGGATAGGGAGTGAATGCAAGAAGGATCCTTCTGAGGTAACGGAAGTATCCGGAAACTGGGTTGGAGTGATGGGTGCACAGCTCTGCACATTTACTACAGTCGCTGAACTGCACACACAACACGGGTATATTTTATTGCATAGAAATTGTATTAAAGCTGTTAAGAATTTTACTTAGATTAGCATTTTTCCCACACTGTGCCATCAACTTAGTATATGATTAGATTCATTGTTTCTAACTGTATTTAAATTTAATGTTTGTCACATTTTGCTTGCTAAATTTTTAAAATTTTAAATTACTGTGGGTACATAAAAGGTGTATATATTTATGGAGTACCTTGATATTTTAATACAGACATACAATGTATAATGATCAACTCCCAGTAACTGGGGTATCCATCACCTCAAGCCTGTATCATTTCTTTGTTAGGAACATTCCAGTTCCACTCTTTTTGTTATTTAAAAATATACAATACATTATTATTAACTATATTCACCCTCCTGTGCTATGGAATACTAGATCTTATGCTAATTAAATGTTTTCCCTATTTCTCCCATTGGCTACACCTTAGGATAGTGCAATATGAAAATCAGGAAACTGAGCTTGGTGGAGTGTTTTCTTCATTCTGTCATTTTATCACATGAGGACATTCACGTAACCACGGTCACAAAATACAGAACAGTTCCATCACCACAAAAATCTCTCTCCATCTACCCCTTTTTAGTCATCCGAACCCCACCACCACTCTATAATGCTGTCATTTTGTGACATAAGTGGACACATCGTACAGTTCATGCAGTGTAGACCTTCGGAGATGTTTTCCTCCCTGGATGTAATGCCTTGGAGCTTCGTCCAAGTTATTGCACACATCAGTGGTCAGCTCCTTTTTATTGCTGAGTAGTGTCCATGGCATGGGTGGTCCACGGTTTGTTTCACCACGTCAGAGTGGCATGGGTGGTCCATGGTTTGTTTCACCACGTCAGAGTGGCGTGGGTGGTCCACAGTTTGTTTTGCCACGTCAGAGTGGCGTGGGTGGTCCACGGTTTGTTTCACCATGTCAGAGTGGCGTGGGGGGTCCATGGTTTGTTTCACCATGTCAGAGGACATTTTGGTTGTTTCCAGTTTGGGGTCAGTAATGTACAGGCTTTTGTGTAGACATAAGTTTATTTCTCTGAGTTCAATGTCTAGGAATGCAGTTGCTGGGTCATAAAATTGTTTACTTTTTGAAGAAACTGCCCAACTATATTCCAGAGTGGGTGCACTATTGCTGTTCCCATCAGCAATGTATAAGAGATTAGTTACTCCAGAATACATTATTCCCAGCATTTCATATTGCCACTGCTGTATATTATTTCAGCTGTTCTAATAGGTGTATACTAATATCCCAAGGCAGTCTTTTTTTTTTTTTTTTTTTGAGACAGAGTCTGACTGTGTCACCCAGGCTGGAGTGCAATGGTGTGATCCCAGCTCACTGCAGCCTCCACCTCCCAGGTTCAAGCGATTCTCCTGCCTCAGCCTCCCAAGTAGTTGGTATTACAGGTACCTGCCACCATGCCCAGCTAATTTTTGTATTTTTAGTAGAAGCAGGATTTCACCATGTTAGTCAGGCTGGTCTCGAACTCCTGACCTCAGGTGATCCACCTGCTTCGGCCTCTCAAAGTGCTGGAATTACAGGCTTGAGCCACCGCGCCTGACCTCAAGATAGTCTTAATGTGCATTTCTGTAATGGCTAGTGATGCTGAACCTGGTCACAAGCTTATTTGCCACTCATATATCCTTTTAGTGAAATGTGTTTTCATGTTTTTTGCTTGTCTTCTGTTTGTGTGTGTGTATGGTTTTTTTTTTTTTGAGATGGAGTCTCATTTTGTCACCCAGGTTGGAGTGCAGTGACACAATCTCAGCTCACTGCAACCTCCGCCTCCCAGATTCAAGCAATTCTTGTGCCTCAGCCACCCAAATAGCTGGCATTACAGGTGTGCGTCACCACGCCTGGCTAATTTTTGTATTTTTAGTAGAGACAGGGTTTCTCCATGTTGGCCAGGCTGGTCTCAAACTCCTGGCCTCAAGTGATTTGCCCCCTTAGCCTCCCAAAGTGCTGAGATTACAGGCATGAGCCATTGTGCCCAGAATAATTGTATTTTTTTTTACTGTCAAGTTTTGAGAGTTCTTTATATATTCTAGCTACTAGTCCTTCAACAAACGTGGTTTGAAAATATTTTCTCACAGTCTGTAACTCATCTTTTCATCCTCTTAATGTGGTCTTTCTCACAAGGTTGGTTTGTTTGTTTTGAGATGGAGTCTCGCTCTGTCGCCCAGGCTGGAGTGCAGTGGCACGATCTCAGCTCACTGCAACCTCTGCCTCCCAGGTTCAAGTGATCCCCCTGCCTCAGCCTCCCGAGTAGTTGGGACTACAGGCACACACCACCACGCCCAGCTAATTTTTTTGTATTTTTCATAGAGACAGGGTTCACCATGTTGGCCAGGATAGTCTTGATCTCTTGACCTTGTGATCCACCTGCCTCGGCCTCTCAAGGTGCTGGAATTACAGGCGTGAGACACTGTGCCCGGCTTTTTTTTTTTTTTTTGAGACGGAGTCTTGCTCTGTTGCCCAGGCTGGTGGCACGATCTCCGCTCACTGCAACCTCTCCGCCTCCTGGATTCAAGCGATTCTCCTCCAGCCTCCTGAGTAGCTGGGATTACAGGCACATGCCACCATGCCCGGCTAATTATTATATTTTTAGTAGAGATGGGTTTCACCATTTGGCCTGGCTGGTCTCAAACTCCTGACCTCAGGTAATCCGCCCACCTTGGCCTCCCAAAGTGTTGGGATTACAGGCGTGAGCCACCGCATCCGGTGAAAAGTTTCTAATTTTTTCATGAAGTTTACTCTATCAACTTCTTTTGTGAATTGTGTTTTTTTGGTCAGATCTAAGAACTCTTCCCCAAGCTCTAGATGTGAGAAATTCTGTTTTCTTCTAAAAGTTGTATATTTTACGCCTCAGTCTGATCATTTTGTGTTAGAATTTGCATTTGCAGATAACATGATGGCCCATGTAAAAAATACAAGGATTTTACAACAACAACCGCAAAACACCAAATGAACCCTCAAACTAATGAGTTCAGCGAGGTCTCAGGATAAGAAAATCAACATAGAATTCATCACATTTGTGTAGACCAACAGTGAACACGTGGAAAACGTCAAAAACGCAGTGTTACAGTTGTTTGATGTGAAATACTATAAACTTAAAAGGTGCAGAATCTGTATGCTGAAATTACAAAATGCTGGTGGAAGAAATCAAAAGACCGAAATAAATGGAGGGGCCACCAGGGACGCAGATGAAGGACCGAGTCAGCGATGCCCGTGCTCCCCAAACGATCTGCAGCAGTTCCCATCAAAATCCCAGAAAACTTCGTAGACTGAAGCGTATTCCAAAATCCGCAGAGATGAGCGCAACATCACAGAGGACCCCGAGGCGCCCTCCAGGCCATTTCCTTCCTGACAGCTGGAAGAGCGGCCTGGCGGATGAGGGAAGGTGGAAAGCCGTTCCCCAGCGGCCAGCGGCCCGCGCCGTCCAGCTTTGCCCTTTTTAAAGGGGAAGCAAATAGGGTCCAAAGCAGCGTCGCCTTTGATCTGGCACCTGAAGCGCGAAGGGCGCCGGCCGGGTGGAGGTGCGGGGTTGGGGCGGGGACCCGACTAGGGCGGGCGGGGAAGTCACGCCCACACCGAGCTCGGCCGCGCCCATGCCGAGCCCCGGCCACGCCACTTCCGCCGGAAGCTCGGTTCAGCTTCCTGAAAGAGTTGGTCCTGCAGTTCCGGAAGTTGCGTTTCTACTAGGGAAAGGTCCGCAAACTCTTAAGGTCACTTTCTGAAGGCGGCCTCATCACAGTCGGAGGTGAGCTCGATCCGGACCCTGTGGGCAGAGGGTCCCCGGCCCTAGGGTGGCCACTTGAAGAAGAGGAGGACGTTCTCTGTTCCGGAACGAAAGTAGCGCGTGCAGGCTGTTTCCGGGGACCCGAGGCCGATGCACCGCTCGCCCCGCCCCTCTCACGGCCACGTCTCCGCCGGAGCATCCGGGCCGGGCGGCCTCCGGGGCTGCCAGAGCAGCAGGGTGAGGGGCTCGGAGGCCGCGGCGCCTCGGGGCTCGGGCTCCCGCTCCCGCTCCCGCTCCCGCAGTGCATGGGCGGGGGAGGCTCGAGGGGCGGCGGCGGGGCCTGGGCGCGTCCCTGCAGCGTGGCGGGACGGCCCCGTTCCAGTCACCCCCGCCTCGCTGCGGTGGCCTCGGGCCTGGGCGCCCGCCTTCAGCTGCGGCGGAGCTGGCTCTGTAAATGCCGGTGCCCGCGAGCCCTCCTGAATGCTTGTCTGCGCCCGACGAGCGCGGCCTGTCCCGAAGCTGTCCACTGCCACCACTCGGGCAGTGCTTGCTTTAGCCTGGCCCTTTGCAGCTGAAAGGCGTGACATGGTGTCGGGTGGTTCGTGGGAAGTCGGGGTTTCAGGAGTCCGTGTACTTCCTTGTTTGTCTTTGTCGCTGGCCGACTTGTCTTCATTCCAGGTGGCCAGAGCGAGTGGGGCCGGGCGTTGTCACGGGTATGAACCCGACGAATGTCAGTCGTGTGGCGGGTCCTGGGTATTGTGGGTCTGGGTCACTGCCCCCGCGGAGCCCACCTAGGACAGGGACACCCAGGGTCGCCAGCGAGAGGGTACCGGGCGGTGGTTGGGTGGGGTCCGCTACTCTAAGTGGGAGCCTGGGGGGCGGGCGACTTCCGTGCTAAGGCCTCTATGACGAGAAGCAAGCCAGGCAAAATTGTGAGAAAAGCGCGCCTCAGGCAGAAAGTTTGAAGACCCTGAGGGCGGAGGATGTGGCCACAGTGTAATGGCAAAGGGGGAAAGCGATGGCGGTAAGGATGTTGGTGTAGGCAGGTGCTGGATTCTTAAGAGGTTGGAGTTTATTGTCACTGGGCCAGTGTAAGCCATTTACAGATGACTCATGGATTTTTTTTTTTTTTTTAAGAGACTGGGTGTGTTGCTGTATTGCCCAGGCTGGTGTGGAACTCCTGGCCTCAAGCGATCCTCCCACCCCAGCCTCCCAAAGTGCTGGTGTTACAGGTGTGAGCAGCCACACCCGTCGTCGTGGATTATTTTGAACTGTCTTTTAAACGACATCAACATAGCGCTTTATAACCCTTTAATATCTTTTCAGGCAGTATACCTTAAATGGCAAGAAGGAAATAAATCATCTGACATCACTCAGATTGAAGAGGAGCTTTTTTTCCCCCGATTGCCTTAAGAAGTAGCATACTTTCCCAAGTGAGAATGCCTTCAGTTGGCTTTTAGCGATTTTGACAAGCAACAACTAAAGGGAAAATCGTGATAATTACTGTCATTTTATTGAGGACACGGGACAGACTCTGTGCCTTGTTATATTTAATCCTGGCAAAATTTTGCGTTCATTTTCTCATTGTTTTACTGGTGAGGAAACAGGCTAAATGTGATTAAGAAATCTTTAGCCCAGGCTCTCACAGGTAAGTGGTGGAGGGTCGGGAGCTGAGGCCGGAGTCCTGACTTCCAAGCCTGCCCTTCACGTCTCTGCAGTGACATGAGGCTTGCTTGCTTTTGGTTTTCACTTTGTGTATAGATCTGTGTTTACTTTTGGATACTAGTGTGGCCTCCACCAGGTACTCTTTTCCTGAGGAAATCGTGTTTGGTTTTTGGCTGTGCTCTGTTGTTTCTAATACCCGATAGGAACAGGTGAAACGAGGTGGTGTAGATGGAGCCGTGAATGTTTGTATACAGAATTCAGGTGTGGGGGAAGCAGAAAGTCCTGTAGGTGCCTGAGGTGGTGGTTTCTCAGTATGAAGTCCCTTGATGTTACCCAGCTGTGAACCTAGGGTTGTGTGTACCTTTCGCAGTTCTAAGTGACAGCTTTGTCCTGTCTCTTCTCTCTAGAGACGCAGGAGTGCGAGTGATCATAAGTGAGACTGATTAGACTGGCCTCTTTATTTAAAATAGAGCCATGTTTGTAGTACCAGCTTTCTGTGATGCACTGGCAGTTGCTCCTCCTCCTCGCTGCCCGGAGATCGCTTTTTGTCAGTAGTCTGAGGTAATGAGGCCCTGACGACTGAGTCATTCCAAATTTTAACTAAAAATCAAGCAAGACTGGGAATCGACCGAGACTGCCAGCTTATTGCCCTACAGGGAGAAGTATCACTGTCACCAAACTCCAGGCAGTTAGTGAATTCTCTCTCTGGTCCGGCTTCAGGAGGAGCTGCCTGTAAAGAGGGGCCGTCTTTGTGACTTACAGTCACCGTCATGGGGTCTCTGTTCTGGAGAGGTGGGCTGCTTGGACACCAGCAGGGGAATTAAGTGAGCAGAATCTGTGATTGCACTGGACTCAGCTCGGTGCGGTTGGCTGTCACCATGTTGGCGTGCCCTCTCGGTGGAACCTGAGCGTCTTTGGCTGTGTTCCTTCTTGGTCAGTGTAAGGCCCAGGCGTCGTCACTGTGGGCCTCTGCAGCAGTTCTCCTCTGCAGCAGTTCTCCTCTGCATGTTCCACCTGTAATGGCTGAGTCCAGTCCTGCTGGTCATCCCATCCTTCCTTCTGTTCAGGTGGTGGTGCCTGTCTGGGCCGTGGCCGTGATGCTGCTCTTCCAGTTTCTTTTTTTTTTTTTTTTTTGGAGAATGAGAAAATAACTTTATTTCATTGTGGGGAGCGGGCTGATGTCCAGCCTCAGAACTTCTGGAACTGCTTCTTGGTGCTGGCAGCCTTGGTGACCTGGAGCACGTTGAGGTGCACTGTCTTGCTCAGAGGCCGGCAAGGCCGGCACTCGCCCACTGTGACGATGTCACCGATCTGGACGTCCCTGAAGCAGGGGAACAGGTGTACAGACATGTTCTTGTGGTGCTTCTCGAAGTGGTTGTACTTGCGGATGTAGTGCAGGTAGTCTCGGCGGATGACAGTGGTCCTCTGCGTCTTCATCTTGGTCACCACGCCAGAGAGGATCCGCCCTCGAATGGAGACATCACCAGTGAAGGGGCATTTCTTGTCAATGTAGGTGCCCTCAGTAGCCTCTTTGGGTGTCTTGAAGCCCAGACCAATGTTCTTGTAGTACCGCAGGAGCTTCTCCTTGCCAGTTTCTCCCAGCAGGACCCTCTTCTTGTTTTGAAAGATGGTCGGCTGCTTTTGGTAGGCACGCTCAGTCTGAATGTCCGCCATCTTCCCGGCCACTGAAAAAAGGTGCTCTTCCAGTTTCTAACTCCCTGGACTCCCTCATTGGAACTGAAGCTCACAGATGTTTCAGCTGGACTAGTTTAGACTTTGCTGTATTTTAAAAGGCAGTGTTGATGCTCCAGGATTCAAATACTTAATCATTTTGTTTTGGAACCATTAGCTTTGTAGCAGAGGAATGTACTCAGCAGAATCAGCAGAACTGAAGATTTAATTCGGCAAATTAAACCTGTGTTGGCACTTTAGGAGTTGGGAGTGTTCAAGGTGGTGGGAGGCAGACGGGGAATGAGTCTCTGTCTTCAAGGATCTCGCCATGTAATGGGCACACACGCAATGGCAGACATGACGTGCTGTGGTGGAGGCCACGTGAGGTACAGTGATGGCAGAGGGGGTAGACGAGACACTTTACCTGCGGGGCCAGGAGGGTCTGCACGCGCAGGCACACACCGTCGGTTCCTTTACCTGAGGGGCCAGGAGGGTCTGCACGCGTAGGCACACACGGTCGGTTCCATATAATCACCCCACCCCCGCAAGGCAGAAGCAAAGACATCACAAAGCAAAACGCAAGTTTTCTTTTGCTAGGAAATTTTCAAGAGGACCAGATGTACAGGGTACCAGTATTCAGTGGCGCAGTCGAGTCCACATTCCACCGCGTGTAGTCCTCCGTGCCAGTTTGTAATTCATCTGTCAAAGGGGCAAGCCTGTGATAAGCAGCCATCATTTTGCTGATGCTCCTCCCCTTGTTTTGTGGGTGTCTTCTCCATTCCCAGGTGGGCGTGGCCGGCTGACCCCCAGTTCTCTTGGAGTGTGTCTGGGATTGTAGCTGAGGGGCAGGCTTGGTGGAGATCGCAGTGTTTTTCCTGGAAAGTGATTTTCAGAGGGTTCTGTGCTGTGTGTAAGGACAGGTGTGTAGTTCAGATCCCTGCCTAGGCTCTAAGGCCCATTTATCACCCACCCACCCGGAAAATCCAGGGATGAGAGATGTTACTAGATGATCATAGACGCAAACATGAGATTGAGAATTCGTTGCACACAGGATTAGCTTTTGACCAGCCTTGGTAACTTCCTTCACTTCTGTGCTTCAGACATTGCTTTAATCTTTAAATATTTTTATGTGCCAGGCACCCTGAGTCAAGACATCTAGGATCCTTTGTTTACAGTAGTTTCTTGATTAGCTATGCGAGATTTATAGTTACTAATGTTAGGACACATTTCTATTCACAGTGCTTTCTGGTTACAAACCCTTAATGCTAGTTTTACACTAATAGCATACGTAACCTTTTAATATTCTGAACAACACTGTTATGAACTCATAACTGTCTCTGGCCTGTAGGATGCAAGGTGGCAGAGAGGAATGGTGGATTATTATAGTTATGAGCAGATACTCACAGGTCTGCACGCCCTTCAGTGAGTCATTGACTGTGTCAGTGGACTGGGTTACACCCACCACCCATAGGTTTCCTCTTTTACGGGTGACCAGTCTAGATGGCAGGTAGAGTAAAAACCCCTAGAAAGACAGGCACGTCCTGCTGCGGGGTCAGTGACACACATGCTCTCGAGGACCAGCCACGTGGGCTTCTCTTTTTTTTGTTGTTTTTTGTTTTTTGAGATGGAGTTTTGTGCTTGTCTCCCAGGCTGGAGTGCAGTGGCACAATTTTGGCTCACGCAACCTCTGTCTCCCAGGTTCAAGCGATGTTCCTGCCTTAGCCTCCTGAGTAGCTGGGATTACAGGCACGCGCTGCCATGCCTGGCTAATTTTTGTATTTTTAGTAGAGACGAGGTTTCACCTTGTTGGCCAGGCTGGTCTTGAAATTCTGACCTCAAGTGATCCACCCACCTTGACCCCCCAAAGTTATGGGATTACAGGCATGAGCCATCACACGCAGCCCTTTTTTTTTTTTAGACGGAGTTTCCACTCTTGTTGCCCAGGCTGGAGTGCAATGGCGTGGTCTTGGTTCAGTGCAACCTCCGCCTCCCAGGTTCAAGTGATTCTCCTGCCTCAGGCTCCCAAGTAGCTGGGATTACAGGCGCCTGCCACCACGCCTGGCTAGTTTTTTGTATTTTTAGTAGAGATGGGGTTTCACCATGTTGGCCAGGCTGGTCTCAAACTCCTGACCGCAGGTGATCCGCCCGCCTTGGCCTCCCAAAGTGCTGGGATTACAAGCATGAGCCACCGCACCCGGCCCCATGTGGGCTTCTTGTCTATACCTTCTGTGTGGGATTTGTAAGCTAGAGGCGAAGGTTGTGTAATGTTTCTCATGAAAAATGTTAAACACAGAACATAATGTAGGTTAATATGAAACTGATTTTAAAGGAATAAATGCCAACATTTCTGCAGAATGAATGGAAGCTCATGCTAGTGTCTTACCTGTTGATAAGGAAATGAGTTAATAATATCACCAGCACATTTCAGGGTGGATAATCACTTGCCAAATGTTGGGCAAAGTTTTGCTCCCCTGAATGTAGCCCGGCAGGGCAGGCTGAGAGAGCTAACCCAGCTAGAGGTAAAGACGGGAACGGGCCCTGCCGTGAGATGCCCTTTCTGTGCCCCCACTCCAAGGCAGCTGCCTTTCTGGTGTCCTTGTACACCCTGTATAGAGTTACCACATCCCATGGCACCTGCTTTTTAAAGTTTTGTTTCTCTGGATCTGAGTTGTCCAACCTGAAGGGGTGGGGCTGCCGGCAGGAGCCGTGGCCTTGGGCAGAGTCACTCACTAGCTGAGAGGGGGGCCTGTGAGTCTGGTATTGTAATTTTTAAATTGTTTTTGAGATGGGGTCTCCCTCTGTCACCCAGGCTGCAGTGCAGTGGTGCGATCTCAGCTCACTGCAACCTCCGCCTCCCGGTTTCAAGTGACTCTCCTGCCTCAGCCTCCCGAGTAGCTGGGATTACAGGTGTTCACCACCACACCCGGCTATTTTTTGTATTTTTAGTAGAGGTGGGGGTTTCACCATGTTGGCCAGGCTGGTCTTGAACTCCTGACCTCAGGTGATCTGCCTGCCTCGGCCTCCCAAAGTGCTGGGATTACAGGGGTGAGCCACCGCGCCTGGCCCAAATTAATTTTAAATAAAATTTAAAGCTCAGTTGCCCTGTGTGACACCTACTCCACAGATTCAGAGCTGCGCTGTCCCAGCAGAATGTTCTTTAGTTGGCACCGATACAGACATTAAGCTCCTTCAGGAAAGGGCCCAGTGTGGCTGGGTCAGCATCTTAGCCTCAAAACCTAGGATGTTGTGGGTGCTCCAGGATTATTTGCTGAATGAAAAAGTTTGTATTTGTTTCTTGTACGTATGCAAATTGGGAACCAAATGCTAATTTTGTAATTGATACTTGAAATCTGACAAGTTTCATAATACATTTTGTCTCTCTCTCCTGTCAGGTATCATGATATTAGCTGGTTTGACATCAAGTCATTTGTGAGTCATCAGATCTTCTCCTGAAAATGGGAGACACAGTAGGGCCCCTCCCAGGAGCTCTTGGCTGTTGCTGATGGCAGAAGCCAAGCTTGTCCAAGGTTCACTTGTAGCCCCTCAGCGTCAGCTCAGCTGGTGTCGTCCTGACCATGGACGGCGCGTCGGCCGAGCAAGATGGCCTCCAGGAGGACAGATCCCACAGTGGCCCCTCGTCTCTCCCCGAGGCCCCACTGAAGCCCCCGGGCCCACTGGTGCCACCTGACCAGCAGGACAAAGTCCAGTGTAAGTCGTGAGGTTCCTCTGTGTGCTGGTCACAGGAGGACCTGGTGTTGAGGGAGGACGTGGTGTTGAGGGAGGATGTGGCGTTGAGACCACTGTGAGCTTTTCACTTAATTCAAAGTTGTTTTTTTTTTTTTTTTTTTTTGAGACGGAGTCTCGCTCTTTCGCCCAGGCTGGACTGCAGTGGCGTGATCTCGGCTCGCTGCAAGCTCCGCCTCCCGGGTTCATGCCATTCTCTTGCCCCAGCCTCCTGAGTAGCTGGGATTACAGGCGCCCGCCACCGCGCCCGGCTAATTTTTTGTATTTTTAGTAGAGACGGGGTTTCACCGTGTTAGCCAAGATGGTCTCGATCTCCTGACTTCGTGATCCGCCCGCCTCAGCCTCAGCCTCAAAGTGCTGGGATTACAGGTGTGAGCCACTGTGCCCGGCCCAAAGTATGTTTTAGTAACTGAATGATGCCACCTTTAGATCAGGCACATTCCTGCTAAACAGAACTCCATTAAACGTGTGGGGCAGCAGCAGTGTTTCCCTGAAGGGATCTATGGGTCTTTATCATGTTCCCTGCCTAAAATTCTACCTTTTTTTTTTTTCGACGTGGAGTTTTGCTCTGGGTGCCCGGGCTGGAGTGCAATGGCGAGATCTCGTTTCACTGCAACCTCCACTTCCCGGGTTCAAGCAATTCTTCTGCCTCAGCCTCCCGAGTAGCTGGGATTACAGGCATGCGCTACCACGCCCAGCTATTTTTTGTATTTTTAGTAGAGATGAGGTTTCTCCATGTTGGTCAGGCTGGCCACGAACTCCCAACCTCAGGTGATCCGCCCACCTTGGCATCCCAAAGTGCTGAGATTACAGGCGTGAGCCACTGCGCCCAGCCATTTTTTTTTTTTTTTTTTTTTTTTGAGACGGTGTCCTGTTCTGTCGCCCAGGCTGGAGTGCAGTGGCACCATCTCAGCTCACTGCAACCTCTGCCTCCTGGGTTCAAGCGATTCTCCTGCTTCAGCCTCCCGAGTAGCTGGGACTACAGGCACCTGCCACCACACCCAGCTATTTTTTGTATTTTTAGTAGAGACGGGGTTTCACCATGTTGGCCAGGCTGGTCTCGAACTCCTGATCTCAAATGATCCACCCACCTCAGCCCCAAAAAGTGCTGGGATTACAGGAGTGAGCCACTGTGCCTGGCCGAATTCTGCCTTTTTGATTGGTCAGTTGCTGAATTTGTAATAGCTAGAATTCAGAAGTCGTCCCGTAGAGATCTAAGGATTACGGAGCACAGTGTTATGTTAGCCCCCTGGGTTATTCACGTGTCAGAGGGAAAGGGTGACTTAGTTATTCACTCAGTTCTCATGCCTCTTCCTGGCCAGGAGGTTCAGTGCTTTAAAACTGTAGACTACAGATGTGCTAATTTACTAGCAGAAGTCACAGTCTAATTCCTGTAAAATGATACTCAGGCGCTTAGGATGGCTTTGCTGGTCCTTGCTACATAAGCATCAGGTGAGGCAGATAACAACTTAGAGGCCCAAGATCAAGAGTTCTGAGACCCGCGGCCGTGGAACCTGCTCTTAGATCTGCTGCTCAGGAGCAATGTGCCCTCGAGCAAGACGCTGGGTTAATCTCAGCCTCCGCCCCTTTTTCTATTTTAAACATTTTATTACTGTTTTTAGAGTCAGGGTGTTGCTCCATTGAGCAGGCTGAAGTGCAGTGGTGTAATCATAGCTCACGGCAGCCATGAACTCCTGGGCTTAAGTGATCCTCCTGCCTTGGTCTCTGGGGTAGCGGTGACTATCGATGCGTGTCAGCACGCCTAGCTGATTTTTTTTTTTTTGAGACGGAGTTTTGCTGTTGTTGTCCAGGCTGTAGTGCAATGGTGCGATCTCGGCTCATGGCAACCTCCGCCTCCCGGGTTCAAGCGATCTTCTGCCTCAGCCTCCTGAGTAGCTGGGATTACAGGCATGTGCCACCACGCCCAGCTAATTTTGTATTTTTAGTAGAGATGGAGTTTCCATGTTGATCAGGCTGGTTTTGAACTCCCAATCTCTGGTGATCCCCCCACCTTGGCCTCCCAAAGTGCTGGGATTGCAGGCGTGAGCCACCGCGCCCTGTTGCCTGGCTCATTTTAAAAACTTTTTGTATAAACAGTCTTGCTGTTGCCCGGGCTGGTCTTGAATTCCTGGCCTTGAGTTATCCTTCCACCTCGGCCTCCCAAAGTGCTGGGATTACAGGTGTGAGCCACTGCGCCCGGCCTAACCCAGTAACTTTTATCTGAAATGCAAGGTTCCCCCTCTCCCAGCAGTGGAGCTCACGGGTCCTTTGCATGAAAGGCGTCTCAGTGCGTTGGTCGGGTGCCCGTGGTCTGGCTTCCTGTCTGGCACCCCTGCTTTTATTCTGGTTTTTCTTTCGGGAGGCATGACAGTAAGTATCTGCTGTTAGTTTGAACTCACATTTGCAAGTGAAAGAAACCTTTTCTTTTTTTGAGACGGAGTCTCGCTCTGTTGCCCAGACTGGAGTGCAGTGGCACGACCTCAGCTTACTGCAAGCTCCACTTCGAGGGTTCACGCCATTCTTCTGCCTCAGCCTCCCAAGTAGCTGGGACTATAGGCGCCCGCCACCACGCCCAGCTAAGTCTTTGTATTTTTAGTAGAGACGGGGTTTCGCCGTGTTAGCCAGGATAGTCTCGATCTCCTGACCTCGTGATCCACCTGCCTCAGCTTCCCAAAGTGCTGGGATTACAGGCGTGAGCCACCGCGCCCGGCTAAGAAACTCATTTTTAATTTGCTTGAGCAAAAAGCAAATTTGCTGTCCTGCATGCACGTGGGATCCGAGGAATGCTGACCCCTGTGAGACACGGAGGTGTTGCCGGGCCTCCAGAGCCACCGGAACCAGGACCAGAACCCCCTGAGGACCCTCCCTCCCCCCTCACATGTCTTGGTTCTTTGACTGTGAACTGGCCCACCCACCAGTCAGCAGTTAGGGGGCAGGGAAAAGACTGAAAATCACTTCATTGAAAGAAATCTTTCTTTGTTCCATTTGATGAGGAAATATGTTTTAGTTTGTGTTGTGGGTAATTTGTATATAATCATTTTAGTGGGTGAACTGAGGTAACACGTGGGTATAGAATTGTCACTGGTCCAACCCAGGCCTTTACCCAGCAGGCTGTCATCAAGCAGAAGCGCGGTTCTGGGCTGTCTCTGCTTCACGGGTGGTGTGATGACATCATCCACCTCTTCGCCTTAGGGTCCTCGCCTTGGAGGATAAGCTGAGGCTTTGAAATGACTCCAAAATCAGCCTTTGTAAATGTGAGGCTGTGACTCTGATTAACACTGCTGTTACCAGTGCCTGCTAGAAAGATTGTCAGCTGTGTTTTAAGTGTTTGTGGTTTTCGCTTGTTTTAAACTGGCGACTTTCATAAGATTTCTTATTGGTTTTACTTAAATGGAAAGGAAACATTGGCTGGGTGCGGTGGCTCACGCCTGTAATCCCAGCACTGTGGGAGGCCGAGGCTGGTGAATGGGGAGGAGTTTGAGACCAGACTGGCCAACATGGTGAAACCCCATCTCTACTAAAAAGACCAAAAATTAGCCAGGTGTGGTGGTGGGCACCTGTAATCCCAGCTACTGGGGAGGCTGAAGCAGGAGAATCGCTTGAATCTGGTGAGTGGAGCTTGCAGTGAGCTGAGCTTGTGTGACTGAACTCCAGCCTGGGCAGCAGAATGAGACTCCGTCTCAAAAAAGAGAAGAGGAAATGTTACTGTCGTTACTACATAAATTCTACAGCCAAGAGTGTGGAGGTGTGGAGGGTGAGTTCACCTTATAGTGTAGAGGTGTGGAGGGCGAGTTCACCTTAGAGCATGGAGGAGTGGAGGGTGGGTTCACCTTAGAGCATGGAGGAGTGGAGGGGGGGTTCACCTTAGAGCGTGGAGGTGTGGAGGGCGGGTTCACGTTAGAGCGTACAGGTGTGGAGGGTGGGTTCACCTTAGAGCGTGGAGGAGTGGAGGGTGAGTTCACCTTAGAGTGTGGAGGTGTGGGGGGGGGTTCACCTTAGAGCGTGGAGGAGTGGAGGGTGAGTTCACCTTAGAGTGTGGAGGTGTGGGGGGGGGGTTCACCTTAGAGCGTGGAGGTGTGGAGGGTGAGTTCACCTTAGAGCGTGGAGGAGTGGAGGGCGGGTTCACGTTAGAGTGTGGAGGTGTGGAGTGCGGGTTCACCTTAGAGCGTGGAGGAGTGGAGGGCGGGTTCACCTTAGAGCGTGGAGGTGTGGAGGGTGGGTTCACCTTAGAGCGTGGAGGTGTGGAGGGCGGGTTCACCTTAGAGCGTGGAGGAGTGGAGGGTGAGTTCACCTTAGAGTGTGGAGGTGTGGGGGGGGGGTTCACCTTAGAGCGTGGAGGTGTGGAGGGTGAGTTCACCTTAGAGCGTGGAGGAGTGGAGGGCGGGTTCACGTTAGAGTGTGGAGGTGTGGAGGGTGGGTTCACCTTAGAGCGTGGAGGTGTGGAGTGCGGGTTCACCTTAGAGCGTGGAGGAGTGGAGGGCGGGTTCACCTTAGAGCGTGGAGGTGTGGAGGGCGGGTTCACCTTAGAGCGTGGAGGAGTGGAGGGCGGGTTCACGTTAGAGTGTGGAGGTGTGGAGGGCGGGTTCACCTTAGAGTGTGGAGGTGTGGAGGGCGGGTTCACCTTAGAGCGTGGAGGTGTGGAGGGCGGGTTCACCTTAGAGCGTGGAGGAGTGGAGGGCGGGTTCACGTTAGAGTGTGGAGGTGTGGAGGGGGGGTTCACCTTAGAGCGTGGAGGTGTGGAGGGCGGGTTCACCTTAGAGCGTGGAGGTGTGGAGGGCGGGTTCACCTTAGAGCGTGGAGGAGTGGAGGGCGGGTTCACATTAGAGTGTGGAGGTGTGGAGGGTGAGTTCACGTTAGAGCGTAGAGGTGTGGAGGGCGGGTTCACGTTAGAGTGTGGAGGTGTGGAGGGCAGGTTCACCTTACAGGAAGGACGTGGACACCAGAGGGGCTGTGGGCCTTATCCTGGCCACCCCGCCTGTGGGACGGGGCCCATGGGCTGCTCCTCTCAGAGTGAAGCCTTTGTGGGATGAGAAAGTGCCGTGCTCATGAGTCTGGATCCTCTTCTCTCCTACTCCAGCTGCATGTCTGAAAAGCGACGTCACCTTGTTGTTAAAGCCATGGTGGTCCAGCGTGCTCTGTCTTTCCAGGTGCCGAGGTAAACAGAGCATCCACGGAAGGGGAAAGCCCGGATGGACCTGGCCAGGGAGGCCTCTGTCAGAACGGGCCAACGCCACCCTTCCCAGACCCTCCGTCGTCTCTCGATCCCACCACAAGCCCAGTGGGCCCTGATGCCTCTCCAGGTGTGGCTGGTTTCCATGACAACCTAAGGAAGTCTCAGGGAACTAGTGCTGAGGGCAGTGTTAGAAAAGAAGCTTTGCAGTCTCTCAGACTCAGTCTTCCTATGCAAGAAACGCAACTGTGTAAGCATCCGTTACCCCGCTTTTCCCACCCTCCACGTCCGCGTCGCTCAGCCCCTTGGGAGCAGGTGCCCTGCGCACTCACTGTCTGAGCTGTTGTGTGCCTGTGCCTGCCGTGTGCCATCTGAGTCCCACGTGGGGCTGTGAGTTTAGCAAGGAGAGCTTCAAGTTAGAGAGTGAAGATGCAGGTGGAGTCAAGGTTCTGCTGTGGTCTGACTGGCAGCAGTGCTGACGCTTTTGCGTTAAAGGCCAGCCTGCATGTCCTGTGTCACCCAGGTGCTTGGTAAGCAGACGGTGGGCATCCAGTCTGTTGTTTTGGTTTTTTTTGGTTTGCTTTTTTTTTCTGAGACAGAGTCTCGCTCTTTCGCCCAGGCCGGACTGCAGTGGCGCTGTCTCGGCTCACTGCAATCTCCGCCTCCTGGGTTCATGCCATTCACCTGCCTCGGCCTCCCGAGTAGCTGGGACTACATGCACCCGCCACCAGGCCCGGCTAATTTTTTGTATTTTTAGCAAAGATGGGGTTTCACCGTGTTAGTCAAGATGGTATTGATCTCCTGACCTCATGGTCTGCCTGCCTTGGCCTCCCAAAGTGTTGGGATTACAGGCGTGAGCCACCAGGCCCAGCCTGTTTTGTTTTTTAATTAGAGTCAGGATCTTGCTCTGTCGCCCAGGCTGGAGGCCAGTGGCAGAGTCAGAGCTCACTGCAGCCTCTGCCTCCCAGGTTCAAGGGATCTTCCTGCCTCTGCTGTCAAGTAGCTTGGACCACAGGTGCGTGTCACCACACCTGGCTAATTTTAATTTTTTGTGTGTGTAGAAACGGGGTCTCACCATGTTTCCCAGGCTGGTCTTGAACTCCTGGGCTCAAGTGATCGTCATACCTTGGCCTCCCAAAATACTGGGATTATAGGCGTGAGCCACTGTACCTGGCCTGCAGTATATTTTTAAAAATTTCTTAAAACTAAATAACAACAACAAAAAACCCTAAATTACTGAAATCAGACTGCATTTCACATGTGTTTATTTGAAACAATTCTGAAAACTCACTGCCAGCATTTAAGTTGAGAAGTAGCATGTAAAAAAGTCTAGATTCCTGATTTTTTTCAACTTAGTTTATTTACTTTGGGGTCCTGAAGTTACAGATGTGTGAGCTCTGGCCCAGGTGTCTGGGGCAGCAGCGCTGGGTCTACGTGCACACCTTTGCGGGATGCCCCTGGTCACCTGTTCCTGCTGGCGCCTGGCCCTGAGCCTATCTCCTGCGTCAGTGTTTGGTTGAAACCCTGCTTATTTTGCCGACTTATATAAATATCTGCCTGGTGGCCATAGGCCTGAATTTGCCACTTACGGTCTAGCCATCTGGACCACTTTGCCATGTGAAAAGGACTAGAGATCTTTTCAGTGATAAAATGTATAAACTAATAATGGTACATTTACAGTGAAATTCTTGGTGACTGCTCAGATGTTAGGGATTATTTAGGACAGTAGCTGCTCATCTCCTCAGCATCTACCTGTAAGGAGGGTGTCATGTGTAAAGCGTTGCTGTGTGATTATGCTTTCCTACTCTGGTCGGCACCCAGGCCGTCGGGCGGTGTCTGCTGATGGCTTAGGAAGGATGAGGCCACACACTCAGTCCTGGGAAGTGGAGCCCTGGGTTTGTAACTATAACACGTTGGCACGTACCATGCAACTCTTTCATCACCTACAATGAAAGGTCTGGGTTTTAGATATTTTAAATTCTGGTTTTGGCTAAAAAGTTGTAAATTTTCCCCTCCTGTCCCGGAGCATGACCTCGGATTGGAGTCTTGTCTGTCTGGAAACTGAGGTAACCCGCCCCCAGCCCTGGAGGGCGGAGCCTGTGCAGCATTTACCCTGCAGTGAGGCCTGGCGCCAGGCTTCAGCCATTTGAGTACCGCCAGAGCCTTATCGTAATGTGACTTGTTACTGCAGGAGCTGAGATGAGCTGTGCGTCAGAGCGGACCCCAAATGTAACTGAGCAAAGAAATGCACTCGGGGTCTCGTGACCCCACGACGGCTGAGCTCCTGTGGCTGGGTACTGCCTGTAACTCCACGGTGCCGGCGTTTCAGGTTCTCCCAGCGGGGTCACGAGAACCTGCTGTGAAGCCAGGGCAAGTTGCAGCGTGGTGAGAGCTGAGCCTGCCTCAGAGTGCTCGGCACGGCTCCAGCTTTGAACCCAGTTCTTTCTGTTGTTAAAAGGCACTTGCTGCCGGGCACGGTGGCTCAGGCCCATAATCTCAGCACTTTGAGAGGCCGAGGTGGGCGGATCACCTCAGGTCGGGAGTTCGAGACCAGCCTGACCAACATGGAGAAACCCTGTCTCTACTAAAAATACCAAAGTCGTCAGGGGTCGTGTTGCATGCCTGTAATCCCACCTACTCAGGAGGCTGTGGCAGGAGAATCGCTTGAACCCAGGAGGCAGAGGTTGTGGTGAGCCGAGATCGCACCATTGCACTCCAGCCTGGGCAACAAGAATGAAACTCCGTCTCAAAAAAAAAAAAAAAAAAGGCCGGGCGCGGTGGCTCACGCCTGTAATCCCAGCACTTTGGGAGGCCGAGGCGGGTGGATCATGAGGTCAGGAGATCGAGACCATCCTGACTAACATGGTGAAACCCCGTCTCTACTAAAAATACAAAAAATTAGCCAGGCGTGGTGGCGGGCGCCTGTATTCCCAGCTACTTGGGAGGCTGAGGCAGGAGAATGGTGTGAACCTGGGAGGCGGAGGTTGCTGTGAGCCGAGATCATGCCACTGCACTCCATTCTGGGCGACAGAGTGAGACTCCATCTCAAAAAAAAAAAAAAAAAAAAAGGCACTTGCTGCCATTTCCTGTTTTACCAGGGGAATGCCCCAGGTGGGGTGTACTCATCATGGGATCACAGACCCAGTGCCTGGCCACTGTGTCTCCTGTGAGGTAGATCCCGCCTGTGGTCCGTGTCCGGGGCTCACAGTTCTCTCTTGATCTAGAAATTGTCCTTCCAAACAAGATGGCTGTGCATTGTTTAGGTGTAAAGTATATGGGTAATTAAGTACAAAATGACCAAGTTCTTGTGCCTGATTGTTCTGCATCCTGGTATTTTATGAGTTTCCAAATTGCCCTTTTCCCACTGCAGGCTCTACAGATTCTCCCCTGCCCCTGGAGAAGGAGGAGCAGGTCCGACTTCAGGCTCGGAAGTGGCTGGAAGAGCAGCTCAAACAGTACAGGGTGAAGCGCCAGCAGGAGAGGGTGAGTCTCCCTCTCCCGAACAAGCTCATGGAAAGCTTCCTGTGCCAGAGACAACTGTTGGTCCCACATAACCCGGGGACCTGCCATTGGCTTCTCTGAGCTGCCATGGGCTCAGGGGCAACAAGCACATTTTATTTCTAAATCTGCCAATTGAAAAGCAAAGAAAGCAAACACGGGTGACCTCAGAGGTACTGTGGGTTCAGTTCTGGACCACCACAAAAATGTAAACATTGCAATAAAGCAAGTCCTACAATGTTTTTGGTTTCCTAGTGCATAAAGAAGTTATGTGTATACGCTACTGTAGTTTACTAAGTGTGCAGTAGCACTGTGTCTAAATAAAACTGATGTACCCACATTAATTTGAAAATGCTTTATTACTAAAAAATGCTAACGATCATCTGAGCCTTCAGCAAGTCGTAATCTCTTTGCTGTTGGAGCATCTTGCCTCAAGTTTGATGGCTGCTGACTCATCAGGGTGGTGGTTGCTGAAGGTTGGGCTGTGGTAATTTCTTAAAACCGCACTAAAGTTTACCATATCTTAGAAAAGATGTCTCTGTAACATGCGGTGCTATTTGATGGCATTTTACCCATTCAGGTTTTATCCTGAGATTGCAGCAATTCAGTCACATCTTCAGGCTCCACTTCTAGTTCTAGTGCCCTTGCTGTTTCCACCACATCTGCAGTCAAGTTCTCCACGGAAGCACTGAATCCCTCAACGCTGTCCGTGAGGGTAGAAATCAGCTTCTTCCACACTCCTGTTAATGTTGATATTTTGACCCCTCCACCCATGAATCATGAATGTTTTTAATGGCATCTAGAATGGTGAATCCTTTCCAGAAGGTTTTCAGTTTACTTTGCCCAGATCCATGAGAGGAATCACTATGACTATGGCAGTTGTACCCTTACAGAAGGTATTTCTTAAGTAATAAGACTTGAAAGTCAAAACTAGTCCTTGATCCATGGGCTGCAGAAGGGATGTTGTGTCTGCAGGCAGGAAAGCGACATTCACCTCCTTGTACATCTCCCATCAGAGCTCTTAGGTGATCTGGCGTATTGTCAATGAGCAGTTAAAAAAAATATATATATATATATATGTGTGTGTGTGTGTGTGTGTATTTTGAGACAGAATCTCGCTTTGTCACCCAAGCAGGTGTGTAGTGGTGCAGTCTTGGCCCACTGCAACCTCCGTCTCCCTAGTTCAAGCAATTCTCCAGCCTCAGCCTCCCGAGTAACTGGGATTAAAAGCACGTGCCACCATGCCCGGCTACTTTTTTTTTTTAATGTTTTTTTTTTTTTTTTTTTTTGAGAGACGGAGTCTCACTCTGTTGCCCAGGCTGGAGCGATCTCGGTTCACTGCAACCTCCACCTCCCAGGTTCCAGTGATTCTCTGCCTCAGCCTCCTGAGTAGCTGGGACTACAGGCACCCACCATCGCGCCCAGCCTATGTCATGTTTCAAAAGGATCTCTTCAGTAGAAGAAGATCAATAAAATGACCAGCGTGTTCTTCTTATACCTTTAAGGTTATGTTTTTAAATACTTTAATCTGGCTGGGTGCAGTGGCTCACACCTATAATCCCAGCACTATGGGAGGGTGGGGCGGGCGGATTGCTTGAGGTCAGGAGTTTGAGACCAGCCTGGCCAACGTGGAGAAACCCCGTCTCTACTAAAAATACAAAAAATTAGCCGGATGTGATGGCACACCCCTGTAATCCTAGCTACTCAGGAGGCTGAGACAGGAGAATCGCTTGAACCCAGGCGGCAGAGGTTGCAGTGAGCCAAGATTGCACCACTGCACTCCAGCCTGGGTCCATCTCAAAAAAAAAATAAAAATGCAAGTATGAAAAATGAAGAGTTATCCTAGCAGTTGTAAGATTAGTGGGAAGTATAACATTTATAACAACAAAAAGGATAAACTGAGAAATAAGTTAGAATGGCCGCAGAGGGCCTGGGTTCTAGATGGGGGTGGGGTAGCTGCTCTGTTGAGGGGCGTGCATGTAGGGTCCAGCCCCACAGGGTCAGTGGGTTTTCTCCCTGTGTGCGGAGACGAGAGAGTGTAGAAATAAAGACACAAGACAAAGAGATAAAAGACAGCTGGGCCGGGGGGACCACTACCACCAAGACGTGGAGACAGGTAGTGGCCCCGAATGTCAGGCTGTGCTGTTATTTATTGGATACAAAGCAAAAGGGGCAGGGTAAAGAGTGTGAGTCATCTCCAATGATAAGTAAGGTCACGTGGGTCACGTGCCCACTGGACAGGGGGCCCTCCCCTGCCTGGCAGCTGAGGTAGAGAGAGAGGGAGAGAGAGAGACAGCTTATGCCGTTATTTCTGCATATCAGAGACTTTTAGTACTTTCACTAATTTTGCTACTGTTATCTAAAAGGCAGAGCCACGTGTACAGGATGGAACATGAAAGCAGACTAGGAGTGTGACCACTGAAGCACAGCATCACAGGTTGATGGTTAGGCCTCCGGATAACTGTGCGCGGGCCTGACTGACGTCAGGCCCTCCACAAGAGGTGGAGGAGTAGAGTCTTCTCTAAACTCTGCTAAGTAGTGGGTGTTTTTCCTTGACACTGATGCTACCGCTAGACCATGGTCTGCTTGGCAATGGGCGTCTTCCCAGATGCTGGCGTTACCGCTAGACCCAGGAGCCCTCTGGTGGCCCTGTCTGGGCATAACAGAAGGCTCGCACTTGTCTTCTGGTCACTTCTCACTGTGTCCCCTCAGCTCCTATCTCTGTATGGCCTGGTTTTTCCTAGGTTATGATTGTAGAGTGAGGATTATTATAATATTGGAATAAAAAGTAATTGCTGCAAACTAATGATTAATGATATTCATATATAATCATATCTAAGATCTATATCTGGTATAACTATTCTTATTTTATATACTTTATTATACTGGAACAGTTCGCGTCCTCAGTCTCTTGCCTCGGCACCTGGGTGGCTTGCCGCCCACACGTGCAAGCAGATGTGGGCAGGCGGAGGAAATTATGGATTTAAGGTGGTTATAGTTCAACAGAATGTTCTTCCTTTTTGAAGAAATTTTTTTTTGTTTTGGAGACAGGGTCTCACTCTGTCACCCAGGCTGGAGTGCAGTGGCATGATCTCGGCTTATTACGACCTCCACCTCCTGGGTTCAAGTGATTCTCCTGCCTCATCCTCCCAAGTAGCTGAGATTACAGGTGTGTGCCACCATGCCTGGCTCATTTTTTTGTATTTTTAGTAGAGACGGGGGTTTCAACATGTTGGCCAGCCTGGTCTTGAACTCCTTACCTCAAATGATCTGCCCGCCTCAGCCTCCCAAAGTGCTGGGATTACAGGTGTGAACCACCACGCCCGGCCTTGAAGAAAATTTCTATGTTTATCCAAAAAAATAAAATAAACTGGAGAGTAGCCAGGAAAGTTCTGTTGAGGAAGTCTGTGGGTGGCAAGCCACTCAGGCACCGAGGCAAGAGACAGAGGACACGGGCTGTTCCAGTATAATAAAATATAAAACAAGAATAGTTACACCAGATATAGATCTTAGATATGATTATATATGAATATCATTAATCATTAGTTTGTAGCAATTACTTTTTATTCCAATATTATGATAATCCTCGCTCTATAATCATAGCCTAGGAAAAACCAGGCCATACAGAGATAGGAGCTGAGGGGACATAGTGAGGTGTGACCAGAAGGCAAGAGTGCAAGCCTTCTGTTATGCCCAGACAGGGCCACCAGAGGGCTCCTTGGTCTAGCGGTGAAGCCAGTGTCTGGGAAGACGGGAAGACGCCCGTTACCAGGCGGATCGTGGTCCAGCGGTAGCAAAAGGTGTCAAGGAACAACACCCACTACTTAGCAGACCGGGAACCGGGGGGCGGGGGGGCGGGGGTGGGGGTTGGTGTCTCCCTTTCCCCGGGGGAGTTTAGAGAAGACTCTGCTCCTCCACCTCTTGTGGAGGGCCTGACTGATGTCAGGCCTGCCCGCAGTTATCCGGAGGCCTAACCATCTCCCTGTGATGCTGTGCTTCAGTGGTCACACTCCTAGTCTGCCTTCATGTTCCATCCTGTATACCTGGCTCTGCCTTCTAGACAGCAGTAGTAAATTAGTGAAAGTACTAATAGTCCCTGATATGCAGAAATAATGGCGTAAGCTGTCTTTGTGTCTCCTCTCCCTCTCTGCCTTGGTTGCCAGGCAGGGAAGGGCCCCCGTCCAGTGGACACGTGACCCACGTGACCTTACCTATCATTGGAGGTGACTCACATTCTTTACCCTGCCCCTTCTGCCTTGTATCCAATAAATAACAGCGCAGCCCGACATTCAGGGCCACTACCGGTCTCCGCGCATTGGTGGTAGTGGTCCCCCAGGCCCAGCTGCCTTTTCTCTTGTCTCTTTGTCTTGTGTCTTTATTTCTACACTCTCGTCGCCGCACACAGGGGGAGACCCACTGACCCTGTGGGGCTGGTCCCTACAGAAGTCTGATGAGGAGGTACTTGCTGGGATGTGTTTTAAACGTGTTGAGGTCACAGTCACTGAAGAGTGTGCTTTAGACCAGAGGTGGTCATGCTGGTCACTAGAGTGGGGCCTTGCGGCAGTGAGACCACCACGGATCGGAGGCCTGGCCGCACCCTGTGTGGTGAGGGGCTGGGGAGGTGGTGCTCTCTGGTTGTCAGCGGAGGGAGTAGTGATCGGTGCCACCTTTCTGAATGGCAGTTTTAAGTATGCTGCTTGTGGATTTTAAATGTAATTTTTGTACTTTTGTTTTCTTCTCAGTCCAGTCAACCTGCAACCAAAACGAGACTTTTTAGCACGCTTGATCCTGAGCTCATGTTAAACCCAGAAAACTTACCAAGGGCCAGTACCCTGGCTATGACAAAAGAATATTCCTTCCTGCGCACCAGTGTCCCTCGGGGGCCTAAGGTGGGCAGCCTGGGGCTTCCGGCACATCCTAGGGAGAAAAAAACTTCCAAATCAAGCAAAATCCGGTCTCTGGCCGATTACAGAACTGAAGATTCAAATGCGGGGAATTCTGGGGGAAATGTCCCGGCTCCCGATTCTACCAAGGGTTCCCTGAAGCAGAACAGAAGCAGTGCGGCGTCCGTTGTGTCTGAGATCAGCCTGTCCCCCGACACTGACGACCGTCTGGAGAACACCTCCCTGGCTGGAGACAGCGTGTCTGAGGTGGATGGAAATGACAGCGACAGCTCATCGTACAGCAGCGCCTCCACCCGAGGGACCTATGGCATTCTGTCGAAGACAGTGGGCACGCAGGACACCCCCTATATGGTCAACGGCCAGGAGATTCCTGCGGATACCCTGGGCCAGTTCCCCTCCATTAAGGACGTCCTCCAGGCCGCAGCCGCTGAGCACCAAGACCAGGGGCAGGAGGTCAACGGGGAGGTGCGGAGTCGGAGAGACAGCATCTGCAGCAGGTGGTGGGGACAGCAGAGGTGGGCGGGGTGGGTGGAGGTGGGTGGGGCCAACAGAGGGGGGTGTGGGGCGGGCAGAGGTGGGTGGGGCGGTAGCAGAGGTGGGTGGGGCCAACAGAGGGGGCGGGGTGGGCAGAGACGGGCAGGGCAGGCAGAGGGCCTGGCCTGAGATGTTGCTTCCCGGGCCCACGGCTCTCCGCACTGGAACAGGTGATACACAGCTTTTCTTCCTGATTCTATCCTTAGTCTTGACATGAACATTTAATTCATAACAAGTCTGCTGCTTTTTAATCAGTAGAATTAGATCAGCAATGGTCTGTGTTACTAAAATATCCAGTCTCCCGTTTACATAGACTTGTCACTAAGCTGCACGACGCTTGCATGTCTCATGTTTCTGTAACAGTTCCCACTGCGTGAGGTGCCAACTGTTGGCAGGAATGTTCATCCGTGCATCATGCAAGCCTCAGCTCTCTACTTAAATCTCTTACTTAATTTTAAAAAATTGGGAGAGAGCAGCAGGGGTGTGTGGAATTTGGAGAATGTGGAGGAGTGTGAAAGAAAATGAGGATGGCTCGCACAGGCCTGACCCGTGCCTTTGTCCCCAGCGTGTCCTTGGAGAGCTCTGCAGCAGAAACACAGGAGGAGATGCTGCAGGTGCTCAAAGAGAAAATGCGACTCGAAGGACAGCTGGAAGCCTTGTCACTGGAGGCGAGTCAGGTAACGGACGTTCGACTGACATCTCAGCGTGCGGCGAAGTCGGAAAGCATGTGTGGCTCCTCTGTTGGGTACGAGGTTTCACAGATGTGGTTGGGAATCAGCCGCCGCAGCATGTGTGGCAGCCGAGGGTTCTGCATCTTTACGTTTTTTGTCTACTTGTCAGCCTTAGAAAGAGTTGTGAGTTTTCTGCCTCATCGTGCATGGGCGTGTTTCTCCCTGCGTCTCTACCAGAATATTTGCTAGATGTTAGGTGTCTCACAGTCCATAAGAGTCAAATTCTCTTGGTGGGTTGCAGCTTTTTCTGGCATGGTGAACCTTTTTTCTTTGTAGTGATTTCTGCTTTTTCTGATACTAATTGTGCTGTATCAGAGAAAGCTGCACACGCTGGCTTGGTTAGCATGTGCCAGAAACATCATTTTCCATCCCTTATTTCAGCTCTCCTTTGTCATTTTGTCGTATGCACTTTATCCACAGTGAAGAGCTAGGTATTTATCTTCTGTCGGCAGTTGAGTAAATCTGTTCAGTGGGGTTCAGCTGTCCGCTTCTGGCGTGGGAGGGTGAGAATGCACCCAGGCCCTGAGGTGACACAGCTGAGGGAGCCTCCTGTGGCCTGCGAGGCCGCAGAGCAGGGCTGGAGCTGCTCACAGTGTCCGGAGCTTGCCTTGCTAAATGCACGCCTCATGTCGAAGATGGTTTTCTCATACAACATGGTCCTTGGACACAAACCAACCAGTTTGTGACACCTAAAGCTGTGTCTACAGAAGAGGTGATTTCGGCTGTTTTGAGGCTAATTCTGGTTGTACGGTCGTCACTTCTCCAGTGTTACAGCGTGAGCCTCCCTCCGTCGGATGCATTTCCCCTCCTCTGTGTAGCCACTCTCTCGAACGGTGGCTTGCTGTCACTGCACTTTGTCTTCTTATCCTCTTAGGATCACTGATTGGTCCTTCGGTTGCATCCACACCAAGATCGTGAGGGTTGTTTCAGGTGTGGTGGTTGCTGGCCCCTTGCTCTAGGGTCTCCTGGAGTTTGTGGAGTTCCTCAATTGCTTTGGGTGTTTGTTGTCTTGGTGATGTGTGAACTGGATCCCTGCCCCTGTAGGCCTCAGCGTGGGGGCAGGTGGTGGGGCGATTTCCTCTGGCGATTCTCTGCTGCTCCTGGGACCACACAGCACTGCGGTGGCCACTCAGGACTGTGCTGTGTCCCGTGGCTCTGGCTGGAGCCGCACTTAGGCAGCCGCCTTTCCCTGCCTGTGTTTTTTGCCCATTTCCCCCCAGATCTGAATCCGCTTTTAATCTCTCAGGGGTCCCTCTACACGTCTGGCATTCTGTGTGTGTGCGCATACATGTGCACCCGTGTACACGTTTGGTGTTTTGAACACGTTTCCAGTGTCCTCGCAGGAGACGGGTGCTTCCCCAGCCCTGCCCTAGCGCTGCCCTGTGCAGGTGCAGTTGGGCCCAAAACCAGTGCAGGCTCCCTGTGCGTCCTGGGCCTGTTTGGAAAGTCGCCTTTTTCTGTGACGGCTGTGCTGGGAGAGCGCCTGGGGGTCTCGGGGTCCTCTGTCAGGCCTTGGGAGAGCGCCTGGGGGTCTCGGGGTCCCCTGTCAGGCCTTGGGAGAGCGCCTGGGGGTCTCGGGGTCCCCTGTCAGGCCTTGGGAGAGCGCCTGGGGGTCTCGGGGTCCCCTGTCAGGCCTTGGGAGAGCGCCTGGGGGTCTCGGGGTCCCCTGTCAGGCCTTGGGAGAGCGCCTGGGGGTCTCGGGGTCCCCTGTCAGGCCTTGGGAGAGCGCCTGGGGGTCTCGGGGTCCCCTGTCAGGCCTTGGGAGAGCGCCTGGGGGTCTCGGGGTCCCCTGTCAGGCCTTGGGAGAGCGCCTGGGGGTCTCGGGGCAGGGTCCTCTGTCAGGCCTTGGGAGAGCGCCTGGGGGTCTTGGGGTCCCCTGTCAGGCCTTGGGAGAGCGCCTGGGGGTCTTGGGGTCCCCTGTCAGGCCTTGGGAGAGCGCCTGGGGGTCTTGGGGTCCTCTGTCAGGCCTTGGGAGAGCGCCTGGGGGTCTCGGGGTCCCCTGTCAGGCCCTGACTGACTCGCTGGTTGTGTTCCTGTTAATACACTGGATGGAAGTGACTCGTTTTCTTAAAATCATTGTGGTTGTTGGGATCTTTTCAGGCACTTAAAGAGAAGGCTGAGCTGCAGGCCCAGCTGGCCGCCCTCAGCACGAAGCTGCAGGCGCAGGTGGAGTGCAGCCACAGCAGCCAGCAGCGGCAGGATTCGCTGAGCTCGGAGGTGGACACCCTGAAGCAGTCGTGCTGGGACCTGGAGCGAGCCATGACTGACCTGCAGAACATGCTGGAGGCAAAAAATGCCAGCCTGGCGTCGTCCAACAACGACTTGCAGGTGGCCGAGGAGCAGTACCAGAGGCTTATGGCCAAGGTAGAGGACATGCAGAGGAGCATGCTCAGCAAGGACAACACAGGTGAGGCTGGCCCTGGCCACGCCCTCCCCTCCCTGACTGGTCCCTGCTGCTCCCTCCTCCTTCCTCGACTGGCCCCCGCCACGCCCTCCTCCTTCCCTGACTGGTCCTTGCTGCTCCCTCCTCCTTCCTCGACTGGTCCCCGCTGCTCCCTCCTTCCTCGACTGGTCCCCGCCACGCCCTCCTTCCCTGACTGGTCCTCGCCACGCCCTCCTCCCTGGTGCTGACAGCTCTGTCGGCATGTGACTGTGCCTGTGAGGGTTGCATTGGTTTATAGTTTACACATAAGGAGGCTGCTTTTCTAAAGGAAATACAAGTTTTAGTTGAACTTGTGGAATTGTGTACATTTTTGTGTGCACATCCAGGGGAATGAATTAGGTCTTGGAGATTGACCTTGGACCCTGGAGTATCTGCGGTGATCCTGCCTCAAAAGTCCAGTGTTATTTGGGAGTATAGAGCTGCCCACTTATTCCACAGAATTGCAGATTCCATTTAAAATATTCAAGAACAGCTCCTTGACTGTCCGTCTGGCAACCTTTTCTCCCTGGATGCAGTGCGTCGGTCCAGCTGCCTCCCTATAGGGCTCGCCCAGAGAGTACAAGTAGGGCAGTGGATTGCGGAAGCCGCGGCGGGCTTCCATGTGGCTTGGCAGCACGCCTTCCACCCCCTCAGTCCCCGCCCGGGCCAGTCCCAGAGCTCACACTCCAGTGCCCAGCAGACACGGAGAAGACTGTGGTTGGCCTGCTCAGAGCAAGCGTGAACAGGAGTGGGAAGGAGAGGGCGAAGCAGGGTGGGAAGATTGAAGACAAAGCCCGAGGGGTGTAGAGTGACCCGGGTCCAGAGTCCTCCCAGGGAGGCCGCTTGGTGGGCTCATCTCTCAGGTCTTGGGATCTCCTGAGCCAGGGGTCCCTGGTGCAGCCGCTGTGAGGGCTGACTCCATGTGAGCCGGTCCGCCTATGAGGCTGTGAGACTGGGTCTTGGATGACACAGAGGAAGGTGACAAGCTGGCGTCACAGAGGCTACATTCTAATACTAGGAAAGAGAAAGCCGGCCGAGAGACAGTAGTACTCTTGTAATCGCTTTAATATTTTAGTCCTTGAGCATTTCGTGATACCCAATCCCTTAGGAAAAACCATGAAACCCAAAAAGTTCTCAACACTAAAGTAGTTTGGGGCCCTGTGGGTTGCCACGCTTCACTTGACCAGTGATCGGGGGGTGGCAAAACCAACCTGAACTTTGATGAGGCCGCCCAGTCCTAACCGGTGGGTTTAAGTTGGAATTAGCCACACGGATACCCTTGCTGTTTGTTGATGGCTGGTAGACATCGTTGGGTCGAAGACAGAGCCTCGGCGTCCATGACCATTTTCACAGATTTCCTAAGTGTGAATTTGCCGACTTGATTAAATTTGTTTGAACCACAAACTCAGTATTCATGGACACGTGTGGAGCAGCAGAGTACGTGAGTCATCCTAGGCGCCCGCTGAGGAGGGCAGGATACTCTGCCTGCCTTGGTGCTCAGCCGGGCTGCAGGCAGGAGTTCTTTCCAGGGCCATGTTTACATGTTTGTGCTTTGGGGGGTAATTTTGCAGTTAAAGATGGCCCCAAACACTGTCTAGTGTTTTTTTTTGTTGTTTTGTTGTTGTTGTTGTTTTGTTTTGTTTTTGAGACGGAGTTTCACTCTTGTTGCCCAGGCTGGAGTGCAATGGCGCCATCTTGGCTCACCGCAACCTCTGCCTCCCAGGTTCAAGCGATTCTCCTGCCTCAGCCTCCCTAGTAGCTGGTATTACAGGCGTCTGCCACCGCGCCCGGCTAATTTTGTATTTTTATTAGAGACAGGGTTTCTCCATGTTGGCCAGGCTGGTCTCGAACTCCCAACCTCAGGTGATCCGCCCGCCTCAGCCTCCCAAAGTGCTGGGATTACAGGCGTGAGCCACTGTGCCCGGCCAACACTGTCTAGTGTTTTTAAACACAGAGAGGATGTGAGGTGTTTCATGGAGAAGATGTACTTCATTTTTTTCTTTTGGTTTATTTTTTTCAATTCATCCTGTTTCTATTTTTTTAAATTTTCTTTTTGTTTTTAAAAATTCATTTGTCTTTGAGATGGGTTGCTCTGTTGCCCACGCTGGAGTGCAGCAGTGCAGTTGTGGCTCACTGCAGCCTCAAACTCCTGGGCTCATGGGATCCGCCCGCCTCAGCCTCCCAAGTGGCTGGGACCACAGATGCATGCCACCCCGCCTGGCTAATTTTTTTTTTTTGGTGGTGGGGGATCTCGCTGTGTTGCCCAGGCTGGTCTGGATCTCCTGGGCGTGCACCCCTGTGCCCCCTGCACCCCCCATGCCCCCTGCACCCCCGTGTCCGGCCACTGTTATTTCCTAGAGAATCTTTGCTCAGGCTTGTTGGTCAAGTTGCTGTTGGCCGTGAGCTCGGTGTGAATGAATCGACGCTATGTATTAGATCGGTGTCGTAAATGGAAACACTGAACAGAGGTTATGTATTGATGAGCTGGTGAAGGTGCTGTGAGCAGAGGCCTGCAGGAACCTCACCCTGCATTTCTGCCAGGAGCGGCATCTCTCAGCGCCCACTAATGCCGTGTTCACGGCGACTTCATGGAGTCAGCTATGGGGAATAACCGGAACTGACTCATTCTTGGTCTCCCCTGAGAGTCCCGCCTTGTGTCCCGCACGCGCGGAGCTGCGGACTCCCCCGTTGGCCGTCGCTGGCCTGAGCCGCTGTGCTTGCCCCATTTCAGTGCACGACCTGCGACAGCAGATGACAGCCTTGCAGAGCCAGCTTCAGCAGGTGCAGCTGGAGCGGACGACGCTGACCAGCAAGCTGAAGGCGTCGCAGGCGGAGATCTCGTCCCTGCAGAGTGTCCGGCAGTGGTACCAGCAGCAGCTCGCCCTGGCACAGGAGGCCCGCGTCAGGCTGCAGGGTGAGATGGCCCACATCCAGGTACGGCCCACATCTACCTTCCAGGGCAGGTCACGCTTCTTGTCTTCATGTAGAACGGTGCTTTTTCCTGAGATTTTTCTGTTTTTAGAGTTCACAGGCATGTTTTTGTTTTTAACCTGCTGTCCAGCCCACCCCGTGTCCCATGTAGGACGTGTCGTATGCAGGACGTGTCCCGTGGGCCCCCCCCCAACCTTCTGACATGGGAGTCCCACGGCAGCCTCTGCCAGCATTTTCAGTTCCAAAGCCTCTCTTGCTGGGCATGGTGACACATGCCGGTGAATCCTCATTTGCCTGGGTCTCGGGACCCTCCCACCCTGGCCTCCTGACTCGGCACAGTGTTGCGTGCCTGTGAATCCTCATCTGCCTGGGTCTCAGGACCCTCCCACCTCAGCCTCCCCACTCTGCTGTGATGTCTCACAGGCGTGCGGTGCCAGTGGGGTTCTCTTCCCGGTTGGAGCTTTTCCTTTCCCTGCTGCCTGAGCCCTCAGTGATACACGGGGACCACGTCTTCCCAGCAGGCCTTGCATTTTCTACGTCCTGTTGGAAAACTCTTTCCTCTCCCGTCCACTCGTTAGCGGGCACAGCCCATGTCCAGCTTGGTCCCGCATATGTGGGAGTGTGTGTCCGTCCAGGCCTGTGCCTCGGCCCACAGCAACTGCTTCGTGTGCTGGAGACGCCCAGACCGACAGGCGAATGGTTCGAGTGAACCTCGATCCGAGTCTCAGCACCTAGACTAATTAGGATGACCTCAGAGATGCTGAAGAGTACCTTTGGTCAGCCTCAGTCTTTTTGTTTTTGGTTTTTTTTTGAGACTGTGTCTCACTCCGTCACCCAGGCTGGAGAGCAGTGGTGCGATCTCAGCTCACTGCAGCCTCAACCTCTCAGACTCAAGCTATTCTCCTACCTCAGCCTCTTAACTAGCTGGGATCACAGACATTTGCCACCATGCCCGGCTAAGTTTTGTACTTTTTGTAGAGACAAGGTTTTGCCATGTTGCCCAGGCTGGCCTCCAACTCCTGGGCTCAAGTGATGCCTGCCTCAGCCTCCCAAAGTGTTGGGATTACAGGCGTGAGCCACCGCACCTGGCCTGTTATTTTTTAATTAGCTGTGGAATTTTTTTTTCCCAGATAAAATATTATAAATTTATTAAAACTTTATTTCTCAAGAGGGGAACGTGAAATACTAATTCCACCAAATGTTCCTTTTACATCTAGAGTTACAAATATACACAATAGAACTTTTCTTCAATTTTCGTTACTTTTTTGTTTGTTTTGAGATGGAGTCTTGCTCTGTCTCCCAGGCTGGAGTACAGTGTTGTGATCTCAGCTCACTGCAACCTCTGTCTCCTGGGTTCAAGTGATTCTCCTGCCTCAGCGTCCCGAGTAGCTGGGATTACAGGCGCCCGCCACCATGCCCGGCTAATTTTTGTATTTTTAGGAGAGATGGGGTTTCACCATATTGGCCAAGCTCGTCTTGAACTCTTGACCTTGTGATCCGCCTTCCTCAGCCTTCCAGAGTGCTGGGATTACAGGTGTGAGCCACCACACTCGACTGTTACATATTTTTTAAGCCAAAGAACAATACGGAAAAGCATTTGTTCTACTTACAACATAGCTTGGAAACAAATCAGTATACAAATTAATACACTTTTTTACAGCTGCAGTGCATTTATATGAGGTATTTAAAGACGTAGGCCAAGCCAGGTGTATTTTAGAAGTATAGTTTGGGCCAGGTGCAGTAGCGCATGCCTGTAATCCCAGCACTTTGGGAGGCCGAGGCGGGCCGATCACTTGAGGCCAGGAGTTCAAGACCAGCCTGGCCAACATAGCGAAACTGCATCTCTACTAAAAATGCAAAAGTTAGCCAGGTGTGGTGGTGAGTGCCTGTAGTCCCAGCTACTTGGGAGGCTGAGGCATGAGATGTGCTTGAATCCAGGAGGCAGAGGTTGTAGTGAGCCAAGATTGCGCTGCTGCACTCCACACTTCAGCCTGGGCAACAGAGCCAGACTTTGTCTCAAAAAAAAAAAACCAACAACAAGGAAGTATGGTGGTGTAGCCTGGACAACAAAAAGAGAGGAAGCTTTAAAGCAATGGTGGCTCCAGAGCCCTATCTGCTGTTTTTTCGGAGACAGGGTCTTGCCCTGTCACCCAGGCTGCTGGAATTCAGTGTTACCATCATAGCTCCCTGCAGCCTTGACCTGTTGGGCTCAAACAGTCCTCCTGCCTCAGCCCCCCAAGTAGCTGGGACATAGGTGAACACCATCACACCTGGCTAATTGTTTAAAAGTTTTCTGTAAGGACAGGGTCTCGCTATGTTGCCTAAGCAGGTTTTGAACTCCTGGACTCAAGCGATCCTCCCAGCGTGCTGGGATTACAGGATGAGCCACTGCCGGGCCCTCACTGCTTTTTCCAAATACCTTTGGAACCCAGGTTCAGCATTCCTTAATCAGAGTTTTTAATACATTTTTTTGGTACCCAAATGTATCCCTTCATTCCCAGTAACGTTCAGGAGGGAGGAGAATTCCAGGCAGTCAGTCTGCTTTCATGGTCTCGAAACACAGTCCCAGCAAAGGCTGTCTTCCCTGGCTCCGTGCACCTTCTCCTGAGGTCCTGGAGCGTGTGGCTTCTGTCACGTCTCGCACTGTGCACTCCAGGAAGCAGCATGGAGCTAGAGGCGATGCGGGCAGGTCTAGCCTCAGGCCCCAGGCTGTCCTCACACCTCCTTTTCAGTGCTACTTCCCTTGGCTGACGCCGTCCTCCTCAGGGCCATGGTCCTGGGCTTTTTCACGAGACGCTTGGCCAGCGTGGGCCTGAGCACCTGGAGGTCTGGGCCGGGCCCTAGCTGGCTGAAAAGGCTGTATCCCTGGAATGGCACCTGTCGGGCGTCTGGCTGAGGGCAGGCCCTGGTGTGTGTCTGGCTGGATTTGTTCAGTTAAGATAAGCCTCCTCACCTACAGGGGCTCAGAGATGCCCCTCCTCACCCACAGGGGCTCAGAGATGCCTTGTCAATGGGGACTTTTGGGTAGGTCCTGCTACAAACCGCAGTCTGATGAGCTACAAACAGCATGATGAGCGCTGGCTGATGGCCCGCCCGCCCTCCCACTCAGGCACGCAGAGCCCAGACAGCGCATATTTTGAGATGGGAAGACGTGTAGTGGGTAGTGGGGCTTGCGTGGGAGACACTGAGGGGGCAGCCAGTGACCCTCACCCTGGGGCCTCCAGGGACAGGCTGGTCTGCATTTCTTGCTTGAAATTGAGCAACTTTTTACTTTGTGGGTTTTTTTTTTAAGGTTGGACAGATGACCCAGGCAGGTCTCCTGGAGCACCTGAAACTCGAGAATGTGTCCCTGTCCCAGCAGCTGACGGAAACTCAGCACAGGTCCATGAAGGAGAAGGGGCGCATCGCGGCACAGCTGCAGGGCATTGAGGTGAGGCTGCGGCCGGGGCCGTGGAAGCTTAGGAGAACAGACGCAGACATCGATACCATGTGTGTTTTCTTACATGTTCCGTCTCTCTGTGTGTATCTCTTAAATATTCTCATGGATGGCGGGCAGTGACTGCTCGTTAAGGCTTTGGGACCCCCCCCCCACCCCTCATCCCTCACCTGTGGGGGCTTAGCATGGATGGCCTGCAGTGACTGCTCGTTAAGGCTTTGGGACCCCCCCCACCCCTCATCCTCACCTGTGGGGGCTTAGTGCAGTGAGCACTTGCGGCTCTTTTCCTGCAAGCCCCGCCTTGGGCCTGGGCCCCCGGCTGTCAGTCATTGCCAGTCAGGGATGGCGCTGGGTACAGAGTGGGTACGGAGGAAGGGGCCAGTGCGTTTTTGCCTGACAGCCTGTCGAAGCCTAGGGATGAGAGGATTTTCTTTGCTTACTGAGCACTCAGACTGCATTGCCATTTAACCCTCCAGCAACCACACGCTGTCGAGGTCATGGCCGCTGCCTGCACAGCCATCTCCAGAGGACAGAAATGCAGCAGCCTTGATAGCTGTTCTCCTTTAGCTGTGGGGCGCTGGACAATTTCTTACCTCTCTGAGCCGCATCTTTTTTTTTTTTGAGGTGGAATTTTGCTCTTGTCGCCCAGGGTGGAGTGCAGTGGTGCGATCTTGGCTCACTGCAACCTCTGCCTACCAAGTTCAAGCAATTCTCCTGCCTCAGCCTCCCGAGTAGCTGGGATTACAGGCACTCGTCACCATACCCTGCTAATTTTTTGTATTTTTAGTAGAGACGGGGTCTCGCCATGTTGGCCAGGCCAGTCTCAAACTCTTGACCTCAGGTGATCCGCCTGCCTCGGCCTCCCAAAGTGCTGGGATTACAGGCGTGAGCCTCATCTTTATAAAATGGGGATAGTGTCACCTACTCGATAGCCTTGTGGAAAAATTAAAGAAGAAGAAATGGTGTAAAACCCCAAGGCAGTGTATGGAGGGAGGTTCTGTGCTGGATGTTGCTGGGCTGGTCTCGTTGCCGATCTTGCCAGTTGTACAGGGAGCTCTCTGCAGCCTCACGTGGTTTCTCATCTCCTGCGACTGCTCCCACCTCTCTGTGGCATTAGCTGGGCTGCCCGGCTGGGATGAGAAGAATCACGTTGCGTCAGCCATAGTGCTTCAAGGGCTTAGTAGAGAAGAACTGAAAAGAATTTCAAGTTTCAAGTTAGGAATTTGTGTTTTCCCTAAGAAGTGTACCCCGATGTGAGGCTGTGTTCACTGCGGGGGCCTCTGGTCTCTTACCCGGTAGCACCAAGCACCGCTCTTGTGAGAGCATGTCCGGGTCTCACTCCCGAAAGGAGGCAGCTGTCGCCACACGAGAAAGTCGGGGAGGCTCTGCTCACCAGTGGGTCCAAGTCCTTCTCACGGGGTTGCTGGCCTGGGCTGGGCCTGGCCTCGGTCTCCTGGTTGGGGGGCGGCCAAGCTGCCCATCCTGGGCCCTCAGTCTGCAGTCGGTAGACAGGATGAGGAGGTGGATGGGGCCCATGCCAGGGCGGTGGGTTTCTCTGCAGAGCACGGGGCCACCGGCTGCTGTTCACTATTAAGGTTTCCTGCCTTTTTAAAAACAAGTTTCCTGGGCTCAGGCTGACATGTTGGATCAGGAAGCAGCCTTCATGCAGATTCAGGAGGCAAAGACGATGGTGGAGGAGGACCTTCAGAGGAGGCTGGAAGAGTTTGAAGGTGAGAGGGAGCGGCTGCAGAGGATGGCGGACTCGGCGGCATCCCTGGAGCAGCAGCTGGAGCAGGTAAGTCCCTGCAGCCCTTCAGGCTGGACCCAGGCCCCAGGTGATCCCGAGCAGCCAGGACTGCACACAAGGAGACCGAGCAGTCCTCTGCTGTGGGGCCACGTCCGCTCAGGTGGGAGTTGGGCTGTCGGTCAGACGCTGCTGCTGCTGCAGACCTGACCCTGTGTTTGCCCTGCTGGTTCTTCTATACCAGGATTGTGCGTGAAAAAAAGACCCTCCATAGTGTCCATCAAAATTACTTGAAACCCGAACAGGAAAAGGGCATACGCTCTCGGAGGAGGGTCAGGCGCAGCCATGTGGGCTTCATTCCTTCTCCAGGTGAAGTTGACTTTACTCCAGCGAGACCAGCAGCTTGAGGCTTTGCAGCAGGAGCACCTGGACCTGATGAAACAGCTCACCTTGACTCAGGAGGCTCTGCAGAGCAGGGAGCAGTCCCTCGATGCCCTGCAGACACACTACGATGAGCTGCAGGCCAGGCTGGGGGAGCTGCAGGGCGAGGCCGCCTCCAGGGAGGACACGATCTGCCTCCTGCAGAACGAGAAGATCATCTTGGAGGCGGCTTTGCAGGCGGCCAAGAGTGGCAAGGAGGAGCTTGACAGAGGAGCAAGACGCTTGGAAGAAGGTACCGAGGAAACGTCGGAAACTTTAGAGAAGTTAAGAGAAGAATTAGCTATCAAATCCGGCCAGGTAATGCATTCTGCTGTGTTTTGTTTTGAATCAGAACCCTCCTTGCAGGAATGATGCTGATTATTTGCTTCTTTCTTTCTTTCTTTTTTTTTTGAAACAGTCTCGCTGTGTTGCCCAGGCTGGAGTGCAGTGGGATGATCTGCGCTCACTGCAACCTCCACCTCCCAGGTTCAGGCAATTCTTGTGCCTCAGCCTCCTGAGTAGCTGGGATTACAGGTGTGCGCCACCATGCCCAGCTAATTTTTGTATTTGTAGTAGAGATGGGGTTTCGCCATGTTGGCCAGGCTAGTCTCAAACTCCTAACCTCAAGTGATCCACCCGCCTCGGTCTCCCACAGTGCTGGGATTACAGGCTGAACCACCATGCCTGGCTAATTTTTGTATTTGTAGTAGAGATGGGGTTTTGCCATGTTGGCCAGGCTAGTCTCGAACTCCTAACCTCAAGTGATCCGCCCACCTCAGTCTCCCACAGTGCTGGGATTATAGGCCTGAGCCATTGTGCCCAGCTAACTTTTGTATTTGTAGTAGAGATGGAGTTTTGCCATGTTGGCCAGGCTAGTCTCGAACTCCTAAACCCAAGTGATCTGCCTGCCTCCGCCTCCCACAGTGCTCGGATTACAGGCGTGAGCCACCGCGCCCGACCCCTTTTTTCTTTTTTTTTTTTTTTGAGATGGAGTCTCACTCTGTCGCCAGGCTGGAGTGTAGTGCGGTGATCTCGGCTCACTGCAACCTCTGCCTCCGGGGTTCAAGTGATTCTCCTGCCTCAGTCTCCCAAGTAGCTAGGACTACAGGTGCATGCCACCACACCCAGCTAATTTTTGTATTTTTAGTAGAGATGGGGTTTCACCATGTTGGCCAGGATGGTCTGCATCTCTTGACCTCATGATCTGCTCACCTCGGCCTCCCGAAGTGTTGGGATTACAGGTGTGAGCCACCTATTCTGTCTTTAAATCCCACTCTATAAGGATCAAGGGCAAGAGGAAATCATGAGCCTGTTTTCCCTCCTTTCTGAAGGAAGCTGTCACTACAAACACTGACCTGTACTAAGTGATTTTCTAGTAAAGAGGCACTCAGACAGGTCATTACTGTTTACAGTGTTGGGGGAGTAAATTTAGAGGAATTGTCCCAATTCTGTGGATGAATTTAAACTTGATTTTACTGACCATTAGCTCAGTAAGAAACAGCTGATACCTGGAAGACTGCGAGAGAGACTTTTGTGGAGCTATATGTTATTTCTCATATTGGAATTTTACCTGTGTTGTCATTACTGGCAGTTATTTAATCCAAGTTAACCTCTGGGTTGGGCTGTTTTCCCCAGGGCAGATGAAGGTGGTGGTAGCAGTGACCTTGTCTTGGAAGCTGCCTTCCCAGCTCTGAAGTCTGTTTTCCACCTGGGGACCATAGTCAGCCGACTGGGAGACGGACTGGCCTCCTGGGCCTGCCTGGTGTTGGCCACTCTGCCTGGCCTTGTCGGAATGTGCACACATCCCCGGCCATCTTTTTTTTTTTTTTTTTTTTTAAATAGATACGGGGTTTTGCCATGTTGCCCAGGCTGGTCTCAAACTCTTAGGCTCGAGTGAACTGCCCGCCTCAGCCTCCCGAAGTGCTGGGATTACAGGCGTGAGCCACTGCATTCCCTAGGCATCTAGACACAGCAGTATCCACGTGGGGGCTGAGGTTTCTCTGACCATGGCTCCCTGTTTGCTGAGTTCCAAGTCTGTTGCCCACTGTGGGAGCCGCTGTGGGACCAGGGGCAGGTGACGTGAGGATCATCGGAACGGATGAATGATGCGTGTGGAACAACCAGCACTTTGATCCTTCGCAGGGGGGCTCCTGAGGGACCGCCCTCCATATTGTAGGGAAAAAGGCTCATTCTTCAGTCATGCTCTAGTGATAACTAGGATTTGCATGCAGTGTGTTCTGTATTCAGACAGAAAACCTAGGCCCTAAACAAGCTCTTCCCTATTTCTGGAGTCGGCCGCCCCATGTGTGTGTGCACTGAGAGCTGTTTGCTGAGGTAGAGAAGTGTTTCACAAACACATGGATTCCTGAGTCCTCCGGGACCCTCCAAGTGCAGGTCCTGTGCCGTGGGTCTGTATGGAGCCCTCCGAGTGCAGATCCCGTGTGGTGGGTCTGTGTGGAGCCCTCCGAGTGCGGGTCCCGTGCGGTGGGTCTGTGTGGAGCCCTCCGAGTGCGGGTCCCGTGCGGTGGGTCTGTGTGGAGCCCTCCGAGTGCGGGTCCCGTGCGGTGGGTCTGTGTGGAGCCCTCCGAGTGCGGGTCCCGTGCGGTGGGTCTGTGTGGAGCCCTCCGAGTGCGGGTCCCGTGCGGTGGGTCTGTGTGGAGCCCTCCGAGTGCGGGTCCCGTGCGGTGGGTCTGTGTGGAGCCCTCCGAGTGCGGGTCCCGTGCGGTGGGTCTGTGTGGAGCCCTCCGAGTGCGGGTCCCGTGCGGTGGGTCTGTGTGGAGCCCTCCGAGTGCGGGTCCCGTGCGGTGGGTCTGTGTGGAGCCCTCCGAGTGCGGGTCCCGTGCGGTGGGTCTGTGTGGAGCCCTCCGAGTGCGGGTCCCGTGCGGTGGGTCTGTGTGGAGCCCTCCGAGTGCGGGTCCCGTGCGGTGGGTCAGTGTGGAGCCCTCCGAGTGCGGGTCCCGTGCGGTGGGTCTGTGTGGAGCCCTCCGAGTGCGGGTCCCGTGCGGTGGGTCTGTGTGGAGCCCTCCGAGTGCGGGTCCCGTGCGGTGGGTCTGTGTGGAGCCCTCCGAGTGCGGGTCCCGTGGGGTGGGTCTGTGTGGAGCCCTCCGAGTGCGGGTCCCGTGCGGTGGGTCTGTGTGGAGCCCTCCGAGTGCGGGTCCCGTGCGGTCTGTCTGTGTGGAGCCCTCCGAGTTCAGATCCCGTGTGGTGGGTCTGTGTGGAGCCCTCCGAGTGCAGGTCCCGTGGGGTGGGTCTGTGTGGGGCCCTCCGAGTGCAGATCCCGTGTGGTGGGTCTGTGTGGAGCCCTCCGAGTGCAGGTCCCGTGTGGTCGGTCCGTGTGGAGCCCTCCGAGTGGAGATCCCGTGGGGTGGGTCCGTGTGGAGCCCTCCGAGTGCAGGTCCCGTGCGGTCAGTCCGTGTGGAGCCCTCCGAGTGCAGGTCCCGTGCGGTCGGTCCGTGTGGAGCCCTCCGAGTGCAGATCCCGTGTGGTGGGTCTGTGTGGAGCCCTCCGAGTGCAGGTCCCGTGCGGTCGGTCTGTGTGGAGCCCTCGGAGTGCAGGTCCCGTGGGGTGGGTCTGTGTGGAGCCCTCTGAGTGCAGGTCCTGTGCGGTGGGTCTGTGTGGGGCCCGAGGCTCTGCATTTCTCACAAGCTCCTGGGCTGAATGGGCTGGGCTCCAACAGACTTTGCAGGACAAGGACCAGAGCCTGGGGTCAGCACCCTCAGCCTGTGGGCGCAGCCCAACACCGGGTTCTGTAAACTGTCACTGTAACAGCCCTGCTCGCTCGCCTGTGCTGCAAGAGCATTGCTGAGCAGCTGTGACTGACGTGCAGCCTGTGAGCTGCAGTCTTTTCCCATCAGGCATCTCCAAGAAAGGCTTGCCGAGCCCTGGGCTGCAGTGTCCCCTGGCCTCATCCCCTCTCCCACCTCCCTGCCACTCACTGTGCCTTCATGCTGTCAGTGGTGAGGAGGGAGAGCCCAGGCCTTAGGAACCACCAGTTCCCGTCAGAACACAAGTGCTTCTTCCTATAACATCTGTGCAGATGTGTGCCCTCCTGGAGCCATCAGTGTAATGTCTGTGTAGTTGCATCCCCCTCCTGGAGCCCTCAGTGTAACATCTGTGTAGATGTGTCCCCCTGCTGTAGCCCTCAGTGTAATATTCATGCACATGCATCCCCCTCTTGGAGCCCTCAGTGTAACATCTGTGCAGACACATTCCCCTCCTATAGTCCTCAGTGTAACAACTCTGCAGATGTGTCCTTTCCTGGAGCCCTCAGTGTAACATCTCTGCAGATGTGTCCCCTTCTGGAGCCCTCAGTGTAACAACTCTGCAGATGTGTCCTTTCCTGGAGCTCTCAGTGTAACATCGCTGCAGATGTGGCCCCTTCTGGAGCCCTCAGTGTAACATCTCTGCAGATGTGGCCCCTCCTGGAGCCCTCAGTGTAACATCTGTGTAGATGTGTCCCCCTGCTGTAGCCCTCAGTGTAATATTCATGCACATGCATCCCCCTCTTGGAGCCCTCAGTGTAACATCTGTGCAGACACATTCCCCTCCTATAGTCCTCAGTGTAACAACTCTGCAGATGTGTCCTTTCCTGGAGCCCTCAGTGTAACATCGCTGCAGATGTGGCCCCTTCTGGAGCCCTCAGTGTAACATCGCTGCAGATGTGGCCCCTTCTGGAGCCCTCAGTGAAACATCTCTGCAGATGTGTCCTTTCCTGGAGCCCTCAGTGTAACATCTGTGAGGATGTGTCCCCTCCTGGAGCTCTCTGTAACATTTGTGCAGATGTGTTCCCCTCCTGGAGGCTTCAGTGTAACATCTGTGCAGACAGATTCCCCTCCTGGAGCCGTCAGTGTAATGTCTGTGCACATGTCTCCCACAGGTGGAACACCTGCAGCAGGAGACTGCTGCTCTGAAAAAGCAAATGCAAAAAATAAAGGAACAGTTTCTCCAACAAAAGGTAAAAATCTGTTGTTGATTTCTTCACTTGAAACAAGCATATGAACAGAGTTTTCTGTGGTTTAATTGCTTAGCAATTCCAATGTCATTGAAGTTGAGAAGAAGGTAACATCTTGAGTTCTCTTTAAATTTTTTTTTTTTTTTTTTTTTTTTTTTTTTTTTTTTTGAGACGGAGTCTCTCTCTGTCAGCCAGGCTGGAGTGCAGTGACGCGATCTTGGCTCACTGCAAGCTCTGCCTCCCGGGTTCAAGCTATTCTCCTGCCTCAGCCTCCCGAGTAGCTGCGACTACAGGCGCCCTCCACCACGTCCGGCTAATTTTTTGTTTTTTGTATTTTGAGATGGGGTTTCTCCGTGTTAGCCAGGATGGTCTCAATCTCCTGACCTCAGGTGATCCACCCTCCTCGGCCTCCCAAAGTGCTGGGATTACAGGTATGAGTCACCGCGCCCGGCCCTCTTTAACTTTTTTTAAAGGTACTTAATCTGCAAAGTCAAGACACACTTCCACAGTGGGGTGGGGGTCTTGGCCCCTCAGATCTCCAGGGGCGGCTGTCACTGGAGCGCCTGTCAGCATACCCTGTTGTGCTCACTCCAGGGAGCTGTGTGTTGTGCAGTGTTGTTAACACACAGGTTGGGTTTGCCATTTAAAATGTCTTTGAAAAATGCACATAGAGTTCCAGCATTGAAACAAATTTTGGTTATCCAAAAAGACACGGAATATAAATTTTGTGTCAGTGAAGCCAGTACCTCCTGTTGGATTTTATGGGATCTGAGCAAGGGTGACCCCGAAGCTATATTGTGAGTGCTGCTGTGTTTTATTTCTGAGCGAGGGTGACCCCTGAAGCAGCGTTGTGAGCGCTGCTGTATTTTATTTTATTTTATTTTTGAGATGAAGTCTCGCTCTGTACCCCAGGCTGGAGGGCAGTGGTGCGATCTCGGCTCACTGCAAGCTCCGCCTCCCAGGTTCACGCCATTCTCTTGCCTCAGCCTCCTGAGTAGCTGGGACTACAGGCACCGGCCACCACGCCCGACTAATTTTTTTTTGCATTTTTAGTAGAGACGGGGTTTCACCGTGTTAGCCAGGATGGTCTCAATCTCCTGACCTCGTGATCCGCCCACCTTGGCCTCCCAAAGTGCTGGGATTACAGGCATGAGCCACCACGCCCGGCCTGTAATTTAGTTTTTTTGAGACAGAGTCTGGCTGTGTCGCCCGGGCTGGAGTGCAGTAGTGCTGTCTCCGCTCACTGCAACCTCCAACTGCCAGGTTCAAATGATTCTCATGCCTCAGCCTCGTGAGTAGCTGGGACTACAAGCATGCACCACCACGCCTGGCTAGTTTTTTGTATTTTTAGTAGAGATGGGGTTTTCACCTTGTTGGCCAGGCTGGTTGAACTCCTGACCTCAGGTGATCAGCCAGCTCGGGCTCCCAGAGTGCTGGGATTACAAGTGTGAGCCACCGCGCCCGGCCTGCTGTATTTTATTTCTGAGAGTGCTGGGATTACAAGTGTGAGCCACCGCGCCCGGCCTGCTGTATTTTATTTCTGAGCAAGGGCGGCCCCTGAAGCGGTGTCGTGAGTCCTGCTTTGCTTTATTACTGAGCCACAAGCAAGGGGATTACCTGTTGGAAGCAAAGCCGTGCAACTGAAGTCAGGAGAGAGCCAGACTCCTTGGAATAGAGGAGACGTCTATGAGGCCGGTGTGACTGCCTTGTGCACCACGCAGTCTCTCAACAGGCAGTGATGTCACCTGTGGATAAACAGTGGTGTGTCTCAGTCGATGGAGTCTTAGATTTGATGAAATGTATCTTTACCTCAAAAAAGTTATGCCCCCGATAAGTGGTAAACATTTTTGTTGAAGCCAGCTTGACCCCCAGGTACGCCCCCCACGCCCCGCCGCCCAGCGTCCGCTCACAGCCTCTGTCTTTGGCAGGTGATGGTGGAGGCCTACCGGCGCGACGCCACCTCCAAAGACCAGCTCATCAGTGAGCTGAAAGCCACCAGGAAGAGGCTGGACTCGGAGCTGAAGGAGCTGCGGCAGGAGCTGATGCAAGTGCACGGGGAGAAGCGGACTGCCGAGGCGGAGCTCTCGCGCCTGCACAGAGAGGTGGCCCAGGTCCGTCAGCACATGGCGGACCTTGAAGGGCATCTCCAGTCGGCGCAGAAGGAGCGAGACGAGATGGAAACACACTTGCAGGTCTGTCCGTGTCGGGTTGACTCATTTGATGGGGAGGATTCGGCCAAAGTGCTTGTCGGGAGGGTGGGGCCTGTGTCTGGGGCGGGGCCTGTGTCTGGGGCGGGGTCTGTCTGGGTCGGGGCCTGTGTCTGGGGTGGGGCCAAGGTGGGAGAGGCTTTTGGAAGAACAGCTGGGAACAAGGCCCACCTGGAGCATAGGTCCCAGAGGGGCAGTCCGGTGAGGCCTGATAAGTCCAGGTGGTGATGGTGCATGAAGGGAGGGAGTGAGGAGGCCCCGTGAGGCACCCAGCTTCTCCCCATTGCCATGGGCTCCCGGGATCTAGCATGTGAGAGGACAGCGGCTGTCATGCAGAAAGCAAGGGTGAGTGTTTTGTGGAGACCCCACGTCAGGGCAGGGCGTCGGGGCCCGGGGACCCTGGGAGTCCCTCGTGGCTGAGTGCGGAGCTGGGACTGACCAGAGCTAGTCATGTTCCTGTGGAAGCTGAGCCTGGGCTGGCTTCTGCACACAGTGGGTGTCCGAGATGCTGGTGACAGTTTCTCGGCTGCAGGTAGCAGAGCAGGTGAGGGGTAGAGGCGGGGGACGGAGGCCGCAGTCCAGGATCCTGTCCAGACATCCAGGCTGAGGAACCGGGAGGTGAGACGAGAAATCAGGAGAGCAACAGTAAATTTGGGGAGAGTCGTCTGATGGCACGTTAGACCAAGTGCTACGTTTTGCTTATGAAGTTTCTGAAGTTGCCGGAGAGGACCGAGCCAAGGTCCCAGCAGGCAGATTGGTCAGCATGTCTGGCTCATTAGGAGCCAGGCTGAGGCCTGTGAGTAGGCGGTGTGGCCGGCACCATCATTGTTGGAAAGTGAGGGCTGATGGATTAGCGCTGGTGCCGGGGTGGGGAGGTGGGCCAAGGGGAGGGCCGGCTCTTTGGACTGTAGGAGGCTTGGAGGACTCAGCAGTGCGGGCAGAGCACGTTCGGACCCCACAGCTGCAGGCCTGGGCTGGTTGTGGGGACTCGCCTCGCACACAGGAGCTGGGGAAAGGCTGCGAGGGCAGGAGCAGGTCGGGGACGCGGCCCTCAGTGTTCACAGTTGATCCTGAGGAGGGCATCCGGGGGGGGTCCAGGGAAGGGTCCTGGGGTCTCAGGAAGGGTCCTGGGGTCTCGGGAAGGGGTCCCGGGGTCTCCGGGGAGGGGTCCCGGGGTCTCCGGGGAGGGGTCCCGGGGTCTCCGGGGAGGGGTCCCGTGGTCTCCGGGGAGGGGTCCCGTGGTCTCCGGGGAGGGGTCCCGGGGTCTCCGGGGAGGGGTCCCGGGGTCTCCGGGGAGGGGTCCCGGGGTCTCCGGGGAGGGGTCCCGGGGTCTCCGGGGAGGGGTCCCGGGGTCTCCGGGGAGGGGTCCCGTGGTCTCCGGGGAGGGGTCCCGGGGTCTCCGGGGAAGGGTCCCAGGGGTTCTGGGGAGGGGTCCCGGGGTCTCAGGAAGGGTCCTGGGGGCTCTGGGGGAGGGGTCTGGGGACTGTGGGGAGGGGATCCAGGGGCTTGTGGGGAGGGTTCCCGGGGGCTCTTGGGGAGGGGTCCTGGGGTTTCCTAGGAGGGGTCTGGATCCTTGAGGAGGGGTCCTAGGCCTTGGGGAGGGTTCCTGGGGCCCTGGGGAGGGGTCCTGGGTCCTGAGGGTTTGGAGGAGAGGTCCTGGGTCCACAGGCTTTCCTATGAACCAGTCATGTCCTGTTGTGCCTCTGATGCTCTGGACAGTGTTTGGAAACGCTTGTTGGTCTCAGTAATGAGTGGTTTGTGGCCGGGTGCAGTGGCTCACACCTGTAATCCCAGCACTTTGGGAGGCCGAGGCAGGTGGATCACGAGGTCAGGAGTTCAAGACTAGCCTGACCAATATGGTGAAACCCTGTCTCTACTAAAAATACAAAAATTAGCTGGGCATGGTGGCGGGCACCTGTAGTCCCAGCCACTCGGGAGGCTGAGGCAGGAGAATCACTTGAACCTGGGAGGCGGAGGTTGCAGTGAGCTGAGATCACGCCCCTGCACTCCAGCCTGGGTGACAGAGTGAGACTCCATCTCAATAAAAAAAAAAAAGAGTGGTTTGTAAGAAGGCAGACGTCTCTCTCAGGATTTTTCTCAAGGCCCAAGTCCTCCAGGGCGAGCCTGAGCAGTGCCTTTGGTGGGGGTGATGGGCTGGAGCCAGGAAGGGGAGACAGGCTGGGGGTGGCAGTGCCGCTCCTCACGCCCTCCTTCCCTTCCACAGTCGTTGCAGTTCGATAAGGAGCAGATGGTCGCGGTCACAGAGGCCAATGAGGCGCTGAAGAAACAAATCGAAGAGTTGCAGCAAGAGGCCCGGAAGTAAGTCTGCATGTGCCCGGGGGAGGTGCGGGGGCCAGGTGGGAGGTGCGGGGGCCGGGGGGGAGGCGAACCAGAATGCCAGACGGTCACATCGGGATAATTCAGCTTCCTCCTGTGTCTCCCTCATGACACCCCAGGGCCATCACGGAACAGAAGCAGAAGATGAGGCGGCTGGGCTCAGACTTGACCAGCGCCCAGAAGGAGATGAAGACCAAACATAAGGCCTACGAGAACGCCGTGGGCATCCTCAGCCGCCGCCTGCAGGAGGCCCTCGCGGCCAAGGAGGCTGCGGACGCGGAGCTGGGCCAGCTCCGAGCCCAGGGTGGCAGCAGTGACAGCAGCCTGGCTCTACATGTAGGTAACACCGTGCCATCCCCGGCCAGGGTCACCAGCCCCTCAGTGCAGGGAAGGGCTCTCCATCAGCAGTTGTCCCCTAAAGCCTAGCGGGGCCGAGCTCGCGTGGGAGGTGGCAACTCTCTAAACTCCCGCTCATCTTCCAGGTTACCAGGAACCCACAGTGACTGAGCATTGCCTCGCGTCTCCCTCATGAACCCCACATGGCCTGTGGCCTGTGGCGTTCACCTGATTTTCCTCAAGAAATCTCCTTGGCTCAGAGAAGTTCAGCTGCTCCCTTGGGGCAGAGGGAGGGCCTGCCCTGGTCCGCTCGCGTTCCAGCTGCCTCTGCGCCTCCTCGCATCTCAGGAGGAAAAGCAGCCTCCGCACTCACTGAGAAGCAGGAGTGAGGGCATGGGGTCAGCGATTGACAGGGTTCAGGGAGCGTTTAGAGGTAGCCATGCTGCGGTGGCCCAGAACAAGCGGGTGCCCTTTCTGGAGGGCTCTGAGCAGAGCCTTCCGTGGAGGCCGTGGCCCTCCGTGCTCTGTCACCTTTCGTGGTAGGCATAACATTCTACCTGAGTGAGTTCATCCGCATTTTATTTATTATTCTCCAATTCACGTCCTTGCACTGACAACTTAGTATTTCTTCTTATATGTGGTTTGTTTCTATCTCCTGTCCACTTAAGAATTTATGGGTAGGAAGAGACTGTATCATAACGTGGGGTTTTCTTGTCAAATAAACTCGGCCGGGCACGGTGGCTCACACCTATAATCCCAGCGCTTTGGGAGGCTGAGGCAGGAGGATCGCTTGAGCACAGGAGTTTGAGACCAGCCTGGGCAACATAATTAGACCCTGTATTTACAAATAATACAAAAATAAAACCCAGGCATGGTAGCACGTGCCTGTGGACACAGATGCTTGAGACACTGAGGTGGGAGGATCGCCTCAGCCTGGGAGGTGAGGCTGAAACTGCAGTGAGTCATGATTTTGCTGCTGCACTCCAGCCCGGGCGATAGAGACTCTGTGTCTGAAATTCAATAAATAAATCAAGTGCTTCCTCTCACCTGGTTGCTTTGTAAAATGTTGGGGAGATTGATTCAGTTGCCATTTTCTTTGGGCTCACTAAGGGCTGGGGTGGGGAGGTCGCAAAGGCCGGGCAGAGCTGGCCCCTCGCCACGCTGTTGCAGCTGAGGAATAGCACAGCTGCGAGCCGATGTCTTGTGTCCGTCCGGGCTTCACCCCTCGCAAGTGGTGACTTTTGGCAAATTTCTCACCTTTTTGATCCTCAGCAAAATGAGGCCAAATTGAGGTGAATGAGAACCTTCTCATGTAAGGGTTAAGTTAGGTGGTACTGGAACATGCTTGGCAAGGGCCTGGTACCATCGAGGCAGCAAGTGGGCGGGGTGTGAGAGCACACCTGTGCCTGCATGTATCCGTGCATGTGTGAGGTGTGAGCATGTGTGTGTGCAGCGTGTGGAGTGTTTGTGTGCATGGTGTGTGGGATGTGAGCATATGTGTGCATGCAGTGTGGGGTGTATGTGTGCATGCAGTGTGAGGTGTGAGCACATGTGCATGTGTGGTGTGGGGTGTGAACACGTGGGGTGTGAGCATGTGCGTGTGGGGTGTGAGCACGTGTGTGTGTGGTGTGTGGGATGTGAACATGTGCACGTGGTGTGTGTTACATGAGTGTGTGTATGTGATGTGTGGTGCGTGAGCATGTGTGTGGTATTTATTACAACTGGTGCTGCTTGCTTGCCACAGATGGTGATTTATAGCCATTATCTGCAGGTCAGATTTTCTTCTGTATTTTTGAAGCATTGAACTGAAGAGATGATTTTGTTTGTCCCAACTATCCCCGTGTGTCATCGTGTGCATGCTGTGGTCGGTTAATTCAACTTCTTTAACAAAAAGGAAGGTTGTGAGACTGTGTCAGACAGCTGGTGTCTGGTGTGTGCAGCCACACAGCCTCATGCCTGCCGGCACCACAGGAAGTGAGGGGGGTCAGGGCCTGTCCCATGACCAAGCGCCCGTTCCATCTTGGCCCTTAGGAAAGGATCCAGGCCCTGGAGGCGGAGCTGCAGGCTGTCAGTCATAGCAAGACGCTGCTGGAAAAGGAACTGCAGGAGGTCATAGCGCTGACCAGCCAGGAGCTGGAGGAGTCCCGGGAGAAGGTGCTGGAGCTGGAGGACGAGGTGAGGCCTGGCCATCTGCTGTGGCGGCAGCGTGGGGCAGGTCACGTGAGCCCTGGACATGCCGCCACGCGTGAGACCCGAAGAACAAAACTTCACCGTGTGCCCAGCGTTGCTACTTTTGGTGTTGCCACCTTCTGACCGTCGGCCTCTGGCTCTGTGGTGGGGCAGGCCCTGATTCCAGCCCTCTGGGGAGGATCACTGTACAGCCTCTTTGGTGGAATGGTTACAGAATTCATAGTGGAACCCTTCTCAGTTCAAATGCTTTGGTTGCAAATAAGAAACCCAACTTCGCCAGGCGAGTGGCTCATGCCTGTAATCCCAGCACTTTGGGAGGCTGAGGTGGGCGGATCATGAGGTTAGGAGCTCGAGACCAGCCTGGCCGACATGGTGAAACCCCATCTCTACTAAAAATACAAAAATTAGCCGGGTGTGGTGGCGGGTGCCTGTAGTCCCAGTTACTTGGGTGGCTGAGGCAGGTAAACCGCTTGAACCCAGGAGCGGAGGTTGCAGTGAGCCAAGATCGCGCCACTGCACTCCAGGCTGGGCGACAGAGTGAGACTCCGTCTCAAAAAAAGAAAAACGTCAGATATCTCAGGTTCAGAGACAGTTCTCGCTTCAGCGCTGCTGGTGGCAGCTCAGTGTCCCGGCGCCCCCCACTCCCCAGCCCCTCCCTGTGGAGCTCCGTCACAGTAGGGCCGCCTGTTCCACTCTCTGGCTGTGTCCTGCCCTGAAGTGGTTTTGCTCATGCCCACCCTGCTGAGTGGCCTAGCCAGGGCTCAGTGCCTGGACAGACTTCTCCAGAAGCCCATGGCCCCAGGAGAAGGCTGGGCTCTTGGCCATGGGGAGGAATGAGAGGGGCCTGGGGAAGCAACTGACCATGACCACGACAGCCTTCAGATCATGAAGCAAGCACGGTCCTGTGGTGTCCATCGCAGGGTTGTGTGGTGTCCATTGTTCTTTGTTTTTGTTGTCTTGAGACAGAGTCTCACTCTGTCATTCAGGCTGGAGTGCACAATCTTGGCTCACCACAGCCTCCACTTCCCAGGTTCAAGTGATTTTCCCGCCTCATTCTCCTGAGTAGCTGGAACTACAGGTGATCGCCACCACACCTGGATAATTTCTGTAGTTTTGGTAGAGACAGGGTTTCATCATGTTGGCTAGGCTGGTCTCAAACCCCTGACCTCCCAAAGTGCTGGGATTACAGGTGTGAGTCACTGCGTCCAGCCCATTGCTGTGTTTTAGTTTTCGATGTTTCTTTTCTTTTCTTTTTCTTTTTTTTTTTTTTTTTGAGACAGAGTCTCGCTGTGTTGCCCAGGCTGGAGTGCAGGGGCACAATCTCAGCTCACTGCAACCTCCACCTCCTGGGTTCAAGCGATCCTTCTGCCTCAGCCTCCTGAGTAGCTGGGACTAAAGGCATGTGCCACGATAGTGGCTAATTTTTGTATTTTCAGTAGGGACGGGGTTTCACCATGTTGGCCAGGCTGGTCTCAAACTCCTGACCTCAGGTGATCCCCCTGCCTCGGCCTCCCAATGTGCTGTGATTACAGGCGTGAGCCTCTGCGCCTGGCCTAAGTTTTCGCTGTTTCTTGTTGAAAACTCACCTGTTTCTGGGGTATGTGAACTCCACTCACCAGTGCAGGTAATTTTACAGTGACATTGGTATGTTTCAGCTTCAAGAATCCAGAGGCTTTAGGAAGAAGATAAAACGCCTTGAGGAGTCAAACAAGAAGTTGGCTCTTGAATTAGAGCACGAGAAAGGGAAGCTTACGGGCCTCGGTCAGTCCAACGCAGCTCTGCGGGAACACAACAGCATCCTAGAAACAGCTTTGGCCAAGAGGGAGGCAGACCTAGTCCAGTTGAACCTTCAGGTATTCAAACTCGTCAAACTCACGCCAGCAACGGTGTGAGAGTTGGTGGGGCTGTGCGCACTCCGAGAATCTCATCCAGATTCAGTCACCTGTGCTGACTCCTAGCCCACCCGGCCTGCAGCCGAGAGAACAGGCTCAGGAGTCCGGGTGACCCACGGCCCTGGGTCCCCAGCTGTTGGTGCAGGGCTGGGCTCTCCGAGGGGAGGAACAGGCTCAGGGGTCTGGGTGACCCACAGCCCTGAGTCCCCAGCTGTTGGTGCAGGGCTGGGCTCTCTGAGGTGAGGCTGGAGCCCCTGCGTGTGCTCAGTTCACCTGTTTAGTTGAGGGGCAGACCTGCTTAGTCGGGGGGCAGACCTGCTTAGTTGGGGGGCAGACCTGCTTAGTTGAGGGGTAGACCTTCCATGTGGGTGTGGCTGAGTTCCAGTCCCAGACGGTGACATTGTTTGTAGGGGGCACTTAACAAGAGGTTCACACAATTCAGAACTGGGACTTGAACCCTGACCTGGTTCTCACTCAGCTACTTAGTCTCCACAGCCTCTCTGAATTGAGGACTAGGCTGGGCATTTCAGGGAAATCCTGGGGGCCAAATCGAGCTGCTGGTGTTGACTATCCCATCTTAGTTCCATATTTTGCCCTAGTTCCCACCACTTCTGTTCTTTTTGTACCCGGCTGCAGCCCCTGATTTGTATGTAGTTTTTGAGTTCCCAGCCACCATGTTCCATTTTTTTGTTGTTGTTGTTGTTAGTAATACGGAGTCTCACTCTGTCTCTCAGGCTGGAGTGCAGTGGCACGATCGCGGCTCCCTGCCTCCCGGGTTCAAGCGATTCTCCTGCCTCAGCCTCTGGTATAGCTGGGACTACAGGCGTGCACCACCGCGCCCAGCTAATTTTTCATATTTTTAGTAGAGACAAGGTTTCACTGTGTTAGCCAGGATGGTCTCGATTTTCTGACTGTCATCCGCCTGCCTCGGCCTCCCAAAGTGCTGGGATTACAGGTGTGAGCCACCGCGCCCGGCCCATTCTTTTTTTTTTGAGACAGGGTCTGGCTCTTGCCCGGAGTGGAGGGCAGTGCGGTGGAGGGCACTGCGGTGGTACCATCATAGCTCACTGCATCCTCAACCTCCTGGGCTCCAGCGATCCTCCTGCCCTGGCCTCTGGAGCCGTGGGGCCCACAGGCGTGCCACGTTCTTGAGTGCGGCCCTGTGATCATGCTCCCGCAACCTAGGATTCTGTTTTTGTCACAGATTCTTCAGCAGTGAAGTTCCCTCTACCTCCCTGGCGTGTGCCTGTGATGTGGCGTGTGTCACGTTGCCTGCTGTAGCAGCCTTGTGTGTTTGTAATTCGACGTCCTTCCTTATCTGTCCTCCTGCAATCTGATCTAGGTGCAGGCAGTTTTGCAGCGCAAAGAAGAGGAGGATCGCCAGATGAAGCATCTTGTCCAGGCCCTGCAGGCCTCACTAGAGAAGGAGAAGGAGAAGGTGAACAGCCTCAAGGAGCAGGTGCGTGCCACCTTCCGTCTCACAGGGCGTTCCAGAGGACGCTCCAGTGCCTAGAAATCTATGCAGGGTCCTTCACACACCAGCCTCCTTCCAGCAGTTACACAGAGCAAAGGTGTGTTGCAGTTGTTGGTGACGGAGGCCGCAGAGCACCTGCTCTGGTCCGTAGAAGGTGGCGTTAGATTAAATGGCAGTGCAGCTGTGAGGGCCTGGGGCCAATGAGCTCCGCGTGCATGTGTATTTATATTGTGCTGGGAGTGGTGTCCTGTATGTCGTGTTGCATTGCAAAAGCAAACTTGAGAATAGCATATGATCCCATTTGTGTTCGGCAGATAAGAGGGGTGGTTCTGTGGACCCTTCTCTGTGTAGAGAGCTGTCTTTTCGTGGCTGGCCCCTGCCCTGCTTCAGGTGTTCACTGACACGTTGGTCACGTCGCCAGCAGAGGCCCATCCTGACCCCCAGGTGCCCTGTCTGGGCCCTGCTCCTCTGTTAGAACGCTGCTGCTTGCTGGCTACCTCCGCCATACCTGGCACAGAGCAGCTACTCCTAGTACGCTTGCCGTGTGTGTGCACATGGGGGGTGTGCGTGCACGTGTGCCTGGGGTGTGGTGTGTGTGCACGCGGGGGGCTGTGCATGCAAGTGTTGTGATGTCTGTACACACGTGTGCCTGGGGTGTGTGCACGCGGGGGGCTGTGCGTGCAAGTGTGATGTCTGCACACACGTGTGCCTGGGGTGTGTGTGTGTATGTGCGCGGGGGGGTGTCCGTGCAAGGGCTGTGGTGTGTGTGCGCACGTGTGTGCCTGGGGTGTGTGTGCACGCGGGCTGTGCGTGGAAGGGTTGTGATGTCTGTATACGCGTGTGTGCCTGGGTTGTGTGCATGCGGGGGGCTGTGCGTGCAAGAGTTGTGATGTCTGTACACACGTGTGTGCCTGAGGTGTGTGTATGTGCGCGGGGGGGTGTCCGTGCAAGGGCTGTGGTGTGTGTGCACACACGTGTGTGCCTGGGGTGTGTGTATGTGCACGGGGGGGGTGTCCATGCAAGGGCTGTGGTGTGTGTGCGCACGTGTGTGCCTGGGCTGTGGTGTGTGTGCATGCATTTGATGCTGATGTATATGTAGAAAATTTCTAGGAGGAACACAAGAAATAACTGGTTGTCTCTAGAGAAAGGCAGGAAAGAACACATCACTTTTCCTTTAAATCCCGTTTGAATTGAACTTGTAAAAAAGTAATTGCTTCACAATTCAAACTTTTCGGCCTAACAGTGAAGCTGCTTTCGTTCCTATGACCTGGCTTTGCCACAACCTTTAAGAACTTTTCTATGATAATGTAATTGAGATGAAAAGAAAAAGGTTCTTGATTTTTTTTAAGGGGTGAAACAACAAAGTTTCTTTATAAATAGAATTAATTTTAAGATGTGGCAGGTGGCTGGGCGCGGTGGCTCATGCCTGTAATCCCAGCACTTTGGGAGGCTGAGGCAGGCAGATCACCTGAGGTCGGGAGTTCAAGACCAGGCTGACCAACATGGAGAAACCCTGTCTCTACTATGAATACAAAATTAGCCTGGCGTGGTGGCACATGCCTGTAGTCCCAGCTACTCGGGAGGCTGAGGCAGGAGAATCGCTTGAACCAGGAGGCGGAGGTTGTGGTGAGCCAAGATCACACCATTGCACTCCAGCCTGGGCAACAAGTGGGAAACTCCGTCTCAAAAAAAAAATGTGGCTGGAATATTTTAACAGGAGCAGTTAACAGCTTTCTCTTGGCCCCACAGGCCTCATCCGCCCGGCCGTTTAACCCTGGCCTGGGGCCTGCTGCTGGGCCGTGGTTCAGGCTGGCTCACACGGTGCCCCAGCTCTCCAGCTTTCGCTCCGTGCTTAGGGTTCACTGAATTTTTTTCGGTTTTTTTTTTTTCAGACGGAGTCTCACTTTGTCACCAGGCTGGAGTGCAGTGGCTTAATCTTGGTTCACTGTAACCTCTGCCTCCCGGGTTCAAGTGATTCTCCTGCCTCAGCCTCCCCAGTAGCTGGAACTACAGGCGTGCACCACCATGCCTGGCTAATTTTTTGTATTTTAGTAGAGATGGGGTTTCACCATATTAGCCAGGATGGTCTCAATCTCCTGACCTGATGACCTGCCCGCCTTGGCCTTCCAATTAATTTTATTTTTATTTTTTAAATGTATTTATTTTATTTTATTATTTTTATTTATTTATTTGTTTATTTTTTTGAGATTTTGAGATGGAGTCTCGCTCTGTCGCCCAGGCCGGAGTGCAGTGGCGCGATCTCGGCTCACTGCAAGCTCCACCTCCCGGGTTCACGCCATTCTCCTGCCTCAGCCTCCTGAGTAGCTGGGACTACAGGTGCCCGCCACCACGCCTGGCTAATTTTTTGTATTTTTAGTAGAGACGGGGTTTCCCCGTGTTAGCCAGGATAGTCTCGATCTGACCTCGTGATCCACCCGCCTCGGCCTCCCACAGTGCTGGGATTACAGGCGTGAGCCGCCACGCCTGGCCTATTTATTTCATTTTTGGGACCGGGTCTCACTCTGTCACCCCAGCTGGAGTGCAGTGGCGCGATCACAGCTCCCCTGCAGCCTGGAACTCCTGAGCTCAAGTGATCCTTCCACCTCAGCCTCCTGAGTACCTGGGACCACCATGCCCTGCTAATTTTTTTATTTTTTGTGGAGACAGGGTCTTGCTATGTTGTCCAGGCTGTGAATACACTGGAAGAAGACTATAAAAACTATTTAGACCGAGAAATCTCGAATAAATGTGTTCATTCAACAGATAGCAGCAGCCACATAAGTGTGCACTTGCTGCGTGCCGAGCTCCGGGTCAGGTGGTTTCATCTTTACAAGGAACTTGACAGGCCTGTGGAGAAGCACACGCCGGCAGCCAGGACATGCACGGGGCCGGGAGTGCATTCACCCCCTGCGCCCGGCACGTCATAAAGCTGTGGGTGTCACGCAGGGCATGGACAACGTGGCTTCCTTCCTCCTAGGTGGCTGCTGCCAAGGTGGAAGCCGGGCATAACCGCCGCCACTTCAAGGCGGCCTCCTTGGAGCTGAGTGAGGTGAAGAAGGAGCTGCAGGCCAAGGAACACCTGGTGCAGAAGCTGCAGGCCGAGGCCGACGACCTTCAGTGAGTGCCTGGGCCCCGCCAGCCCTCAAACATGGCTGTCCTGGCAATGGGCGGGGTCTAATTCACACCTTCAGCACAGCGAGGGTCATCTATATTTTGCAAATTGCCGAGTACTTGAGTGAATCATAGGAGTAGAAGGCACCCAGCCTCCGTCTCCAGAATCCTGAGCCTCACTCACTGCCCCGTGTCCTCCCCCCAAGAGAGAAAGCGCCCCAGCAGGAGTACTTAGCTTCAGGTCAGAGGCGGGAAGGGGCGGCCCGGCGCGGGGCTGATGCTGTGGCTCTGTGGGTCCCATGCACTGTGGTCTCGGGGCCGGCACTCTCTGGGATCTGTGAGGGGTGCCGGCAAAGTGAGTCTCTGGGATCTGTGAGGGGTGCCAGTGAAGTGTGAGTCTCAGGTGCTTCGTGAGGACTGCCCGAGTGCACACTGTGGGCACCAAGCATGGCTGCAGCACGCAGTGCACAGCAGAGGGCCTGCCAGGACGAACGCCTTCCACAGGCAGCATTTCCCAGCGGGAGGGCACAGCACACTGGAGGAGCGTGGCGATTCCCTTCTTTCTTGTTTTTTTACGCTAGGATTCGGGAGGGGAAACATTCCCAGGAGATAGCACAGTTCCAAGCAGAGCTGGCCGAGGCCCGGGCACAGCTCCAGCTCCTGCAGAAGCAGCTGGACGAGCAGCTCAGCAAACAGCCCGTGGGAAACCAAGAGGTGACGGTTCACGGGGGCTGGACTTGCAGGGCTGGACTCACGGGTGCCCTGGGTGACTTCACTCCATCCTGCTTGGGGAGCAACAGTGATGGTTTTCTGAATATGGTATTAAAAGATAAACCAAAACACAGCTAGAGCCATTTTCCAGGGCAGTAAAGCCACTTTAATATTCTTTTGGCCATGTGACTTTCCCCTCTTTAGATGGAAAATCTCAAATGGGAGGTGGATCAGAAAGAAAGAGAAATCCAGTCCTTGAAGCAGCAGCTGGACTTGACGGAGCAGCAGGGCAGGAAGGAACTGGAAGGGCTACAGCAGCTGCTGCAGGTACCTGTGTGTGAGGCGCTGGGCACAGGCGGGAGCAGCAGGGAGGAAGGAGCTGGAGGGGCTACAGCAGCTGCTGCGGGTACCTGTGTGTGAGGCGCTGGGCACAGGCGGGAGCAGCAGGGAGGAAGGAACTGGAGGGGCTACAGCAGCTGCTGCGGGTACCTGTGTGTGAGGCGCTGGGTACAGGCGGGAGCAGCAGGGAGGAAGGAGCTGGAGGGGCTACAGCAGCTGCTGCGGGTACCTGTGTGAGGCTCTGGGTACAGGCGGGAGCAGCAGGGAGGAAGGAGCTGGAGGGGCTACAGCAGCTGCTGCAGGTACCTGTATCTGAGGCGCTGGGCACAGGCGGGAGCAGCAGGGCAGGAAGGAGCTGGAGGGGCTACAGCAGCTGCTGCAGGTACCTGTGTATGAGGTGCTGGACACAGGCGGGAGCAGCAGGGAGGAAGGAGCTGGAGGGGCTACAGCAGCTGCTGCAGGTACCTGTGTATGAGGTGCTGGACACAGGCGGGAGCACCACTTCTGGGGCAGCCCCTGGTTCCTGTGCCATGCGGCCTGCGGCCAGGCAGTGCTCCCGGGGAGCTGGCGCCCTCGTCCAGTGGGGCGCTCGCAAAGCCACCTGGTCCACGTCATGCGGCAGGACAGAGGCAGGGGCGAAGCCTGGGCCGGCTCCGATCCCTTGGCCGCGCTGTGTGTCACGGACCAAGAACGTGATTTCATGGACTACAGCAAATGGGAGGGTGCGTGGGAAAAGTTTGCCAATTTGCGATAAACTTCTCAACAAAGAACTCAGGGTTCGGTCTTGACTGCTCGGGAAAGGAGTGTAATTGCTAAGTTCCCCTTGTAAATGAGGGGCTTGAGTTACAGTGAGAATTTATTTATAGACACAGGCCGACAAGCGTCCATCATCCAGAAATCCAAAACCTGGCCAGGCCTGGTGGCTCACACCTGTAGTCCCAGCACTTAGGCAGTGAGCTGTGGTTGGACCACTGCACTCCAGCCTGGATGACAGAGTGAGACCCTGTGTCTAAAAAAAACAAGAACAAAAATCCAAAATCTGAAACTTTCTGAGCATCAACATGATAAAGGAAATGATCATTGGAACATTTCAAATTTTTGGATTGTGGATACTCAGCTGGTAGTTGTAACGCAAATATTCAAAATTCCAAAATTTGACACACTTCTGGTCCTGAGCATTTTGGACCTGGACTGGCATCATCTAGATGGCGCCGAGGAGGACATGTGTGTGCTTAACCTATGAAAATACAAACTCGGATCTTGGCAGGATGTTTAAGATCTGTTAGCTTTTAAAAATCTGACTTCATTTTCCACAGAACGTCAAGTCTGAGTTGGAGATGGCCCAGGAAGACCTGTCCATGACCCAGAAGGATAAATTTATGCTCCAGGCAAAAGTGTCGGAGCTGAAGAACAACATGAAGACCCTGCTCCAGCAGAACCAGCAGCTCAAGCTGGACCTACGCCGCGGCGCGGCCAAGACGGTACTCAGGCCCGCGTCCCTCCCGGGGTAGCCGACGTGCGCTGTAGATGCTCTCGGACAGGAGGCTGGCAGACGTGTTAGTCATTCAGACATAAACGGATTTGTTGAGCCCACACTGAGCAGCTGCTGTGTAGTCAGTGGTAATGGGGTGACAGATGAAATCATTTCATTCTGGTTTCATTCATCCAACAGTGTTTTCCTCGTTCTGTGAATTCAAATACCACTTTGTTGTAATGTGCTTTGTAAAGCAGATGAGCGGTGGTCTGTGACTCGGCAGTCCCTGCTGTGTGTGAAGGGCTGGGGCCCGGGAGCTGTGCCCAGGCGCCCGGCGGTTTTCTGTGCTCGGTCCACATCCATGTTTTCCAGGAGGCAGGTGGGAGGGCAGCGCTCGGATTGAGAGGCCGTTTAGCGTCGTGTGCTTATCTGTGGAAAAAGTTTGAAGTCCCAGAAAAGGGAGCCTAAGCTGGAAAACTTACTTAATTTCTTACGGAAATTCCACATCAAGGTCTTGAGTATCTGATGGGAGAAGCGTCTGGGAGAGCTGTAGTCTGTGGCTCGGCCCCGTCCTGCCGCAGACCCAGGACTTAGGTTGTCTCTGCTTTGCTCTGGTTTTGTGCCTTAGGAATAAAGGTGTTTCCTCAGCCAGCTATTCTGGAGCTCCGGGGACTGTCGTGCTGGGCTGCCACGGCGGCCAGGACGGTCCCCTTCCCAGAGGCCCCACGTCCACCAGTTGGGGAGGCCCGTTTGCCACAAGCTGTGCTAGTGAGACTGACCCGAGGGAGGGGACGGTGGGAAAGCTGATCATGTGCTTTTAAAAACAGAGAAAGGAGCCGAAAGGCGAGGCCAGCTCTTCCAACCCTGCCACGCCCATCAAGATCCCGGACTGCCCAGTTCCCGCCTCGCTGCTGGAGGAGCTGCTGAGACCACCGCCCGCCGTGAGCAAGGAGCCCCTCAAGAACCTGAACAGCTGCCTCCAGCAGCTCAAGTACGACCGTATTCCGTGCTGCACTTCAGCTAGTCTTAAAGATTAATGCCCTCTTACCTGGGAGGGCACTCCTGGTGCCAGTACTGAGTGCCCAGCAGAGTTTCAGCAGGTTTATATAAGGGTGGGGGACTCGCATACATAGCCTCTGAGGTTTATATAAGGGAGGGACTTGCACACACAGCCTTTGAGGTTTATATAAAGGGGGAAGGACTCAGCCTCTGAGGTTTATATAAAGGGGGAGGGGGACTCGCACAGCCTCTGTGGTTTATATAAAGGGGGAGGGACTCACAGCCTCTGCGGTTTATATAAAGGGGGAGGGGGACTCGCACAGCCTCTGAGGTTTATATAAAGGGGGAGGGGGACTCACACAGCCTCTGCGGTTTATATAAAGTGGGAGGGGGACTCGCACAGCCTCTGAGGTTTATATAAAGGTGGGGGAACTCGCACACACAGCCTGTGAACTCATAGGTGGAAACTGCCTGGAGTTAAACTACCCTGATAGGCCCTGAGAAGCTGGAAGGCCACACATGGTGCACCTGGCAGCCTGAGGCTGAGCGAAGTGTGTAGGGCGGAGCCAGGCGGCGCCCCGAGGGCAGGTAACGGAGTGGAAGTCGTGTGTGCCAGGCCTCAGTGACAGCTTCCACCCTGCCGCCTGGTCAGGACTGGTCCTTGAGCCTGTGTCCTCTGCACAGTGTAGAGAACGGTGCTGAGAACAGCTGAGCTTCTGTGGTCTCAGTTGGTTTGCGGATCCCCGAAGGCGCCCCGGTCCACTCAGGTGCTAGCGAGTGACGCTGTCCACAGGTGGCGCGTTCTGCCTGGCACTTGTGTGATCTGGGCCTTCTTCCTCCTTCTTCTGTCCCAGGCAGGAGATGGACAGCCTGCAGCGCCAGATGGAGGAGCACGCCCTGACGGTGCACGAGTCTCTGTCCTCGTGGACGCCGCTGGAGCCAGCCACTGCCAGCCCTGTGCCCCCGGGGGGTCACGCCGGCCCACGCGGCGACCCACAGAGACACAGTCAGAGCAGGGCTTCCAAAGAAGGGCCGGGAGAGTGACTGCTGTGGACTCGCCTCCGTGCGCCGCTGCCCCAGAAGGCTCTTATCAATGTTATTTATTTGATTGTGTGGTCGATGTTTTTCTAAGACATGAAATTTAAGTTTTGTTTTGCCTTTAACAAGAAGTAAAATATATAGCAGAATGAGAGCCAAGGACTAGAAAAACATTCGAAGATCACAATTAGCTTTTCACATGGAATGACCAACTCTTAAAAGCCTGATAGGCTCTCGGCGAGGAGCTTTGAACGTGTCTGAAGGGTTACTTGTAGGTCGTGGCTTCTGAGCGGCCACCGATGCTGCTCTCTGCGGGTGACAGGGAGAGGCTGCGTAACTGGGAGCAGCTGTGTGACAGGGTCTGCGGCACCGCGCCTGGCCAGGCCGGCTGCAGTTTCTCACTTCCCTGTTCCATTCAGTAAGAGCTTTACTTTTCCGCAGAAATGAAATTTTATCTGTACCTTTGGCTTTTTACTTGTTTTTTTGGATAGCCATCCCACCATAGGATGTGTACATAGATACTGAATATCATAATCCAATCTTTGTTTTTTTTTTTTTTTTTTTTTTGAGACAGAGTCTCGCTTTGTTGCCCAGGCTGGAGTGCAGTGGCACACTCTCCGCTCACTGCAAGCTCCGCCTCCCAGGTTCATGCGATTCTCCTGCCTCAGCCTCTCGAGTAGCTGGGATTACAGGCGTGCGCCACTATGCCAGGCTAATGTTTGTATTTTTAGTAGCAATGGGGTTTCACCATGTTGGCCAGGATGGTCTCGATCTCCTGACCTCAAGTGATCTGCCCATCTCAGCCTCCCAAAGTGCTGGGATTACAGGCGTGAGCCCCTGCGCCCGGCCTGTCACCCAGTCTTTAAGAAGCATATGCTCATGTTATTGAAGAAGAACCTACTTATTATTGATTGCCTTTTGAAAATTTGTTGGGAATAATTTACCTGCAGGATTTAGGGATAGTCAGAAAATTCTAAGAAATATAATTATTTTATTTACCTTCTAAAGCCAAATATTCTTACACAGAAAGGTCCTCTGTTGTTCTGGTTTTACTTTGTTGCTGAGGATCTTTCCTTCCTGCTGGTCTCTTCCTCTCAGGCCACTGGCCCTGTGTGATTCCACCGTGGCTGGCCACTGGGAAGGGGCAGCTTGGACCCTTGGTCAGGCCTGACGGCCATCAGGAGGCACAAGGACACTGAGGCCCCATATCTGATCTGACCTTTGGGGGGGCACAGGGAGAGGCCGGTGGAGGAGGAGGAGGAGAGCAGACCAGGGGCTCCCTGCAGCGACTCCCGCGGTTTCCCCTGGAGTCAGCCAGGTGTAGGTCGCAGGCGGTAACAAACCTCACACTCCTGTTCCCCAAGTGAAAATCTTTACCATTGTCTGTGGGAGCGCCTGTACTCGTGTGTAGGAGCACCTGTACTTCTGCAGTCATCGAGAAGTCCTGGATCTTTTGTGGTTACACCAGCATCATGTGGCAAGCAGAGGCGACTTCCGGAAGAGACAGGCAGGCACCGTGAGGAAGGTGGCTGTGCTCTCCCAGGTGTCTCAGAGACAGATGCCTTATTTAAAATCAGCACGACATGTGTGAGATCTTCTGTTTCCTACCCCAAATCCTGAAACCCTGCAGACACTGGCTGACTGGGAGAGGTGGGGTCTGTAAGTTGTCCCCTAGTTTGCTAAGAAAATCTAAAATAATATTTATTATATGAGTTAGGAGAGAGAGAATGGGTCCGCGTGGCCTCCTCTGCAGATGTACTGGTCTGAAATGAGGTTCTGAGTCACTGGCCAGGCCAGATGTGCTCATGTCGGTGTCTGGTGTCTGTTTTGTGGAGAAAACAGTATGGTGTGTTTTAAGCTATTTGTGTTCTGTTGTAATATACTTTTAGAAGGTTAATTGGTAAGGTTAAGGTAGCATTAACCACAAAGATGTTTGGTATTTAAAAAATATTCTCTAGCAAATATTGGAATTTCCAAAATATATCATTTGTACAGGGTTAATTTTGAAATAATACTTGAAAATTTCATTATAAATATATCCTACTTTTTATCTTAAGTTGAAGATGTTATTTACTAAATTGTTCTTGTACCATTAGAAAAAAAAATACGGCAATTTACGTTCTTATTTATTTTGGCTGTACTACCCCTTTGTTTTAATTTTAAAATCAAGAAATCGGGCCGGGCGCGGTGGCTCATGCCTGTAATCCCAGCACTTTGGGAGGCCGAGGCGGGTGGATCACCTGAGGTCAAGAGGTCCAGACCATCCTGGCCAACATGGCAAAACCCCGTCTTTACTAAACATACAAAAATTAGCCGGGTGTCGTAGTGCGCACCTATAATCCCAGCTACTTGGGAGGCTGAGGCAGGAGAATCACTTGAACCCAGGAGGCGGAGCTTGCAGTGAGCCGAGATCGCGCCACTGCCCTCCAGCCTGGGCAACAGAGCGAGACTCCGTCTCAAAAATAAATAAATGATTTTAAAAAATCTAAAATCGAGAAATCACACATTCAGTGGGGAGCGACTTCTCCTTGCTTATGGGAAGTCCTCAAGTGAGTGATGTTCACCATGTATTTTTTTTTCTCTTAGGACAGACTAATTCTGAAAATACCGAAGGAAAAGTAGCTCTATGTTCTCACCCCGGTTTTCCTGCGTGTGTGCCCTTGGGTGCGATGCCTCCCCCAGCGCTCTGTGGTCGCCGGTGCCAGGGCCCCCTCTGGTTTGGCAGGGCCTGGCTGCCTTTGCTCCCTGCAGTGAGTCTTTTGGTGTTTTCATGCACGGCTTGTGCTTCTGGATCTGAGGCCTCTCGTGTTCACGCGGACACTTCCTTCCTTAAGAAGACGCCTAAAAGAGGAAGTTGGAATTTTTTTTTTTTTTTTTTGAGACAGAGTCTCGCTCTGTCGCCCAGGCTGGAGTGCAGTGGCGTGATCTCTGCTCACTGCAAGCTCCGCCATCTGGGTTCAAGCGATTCTCCTGCCTCATTCTCCCCAGTAGCTGGGATTACAGGTGCCCGCCACCACACCAGCCTAATTTTTGTATTTTTAGAGGGGTGGAGTTCCACCATGTTGGCCAGGCTGGTCTTGAACTCTTGACCTCAGGTGATCCTGAGCCTCAGCCTCCCAAAGTGCTGGAATTATAGGCGTGAACCACCGCCCCCGGCTGCAGTTGGATTTTTAAATTGCTTTTTTTTATTGTTGAGGTTTTTTTATCTCCAAGGGACTCTCCCGGCACTTCTACCTTCCAGAGTTACTTCAGTGCATAAAGTTTGAATTATTTTGTTCTTGTGGGCAGAAGTGGGAATGATGGAATATCCTCACGGAAAAGGCAGTGAAGTTGGGAGTACTGCTTACAAAACAGGGTCACCAGTGCATTATGTGGCGTGTTCATCCCCACGCCGTGTGTCACGGGCTAGGGCGGCGTGTTCATCCCCACACCGTGTGTCACAACAGGCTAGGGCACTTCACGATGTCACTACTTGTTTTTCTGATGTTCCAAAAACAACGTAACTTGGTTTTCATGTGTTTTTCCGTGGTATATGTGAGATTGATGCTACGGGTCTTACGGACTCACACCCGTTCCCACTCTCTGCAATATGGATCAGGCAGTGTTTCTGATAGGATGTGAAATGGACTCTCCTCGGGTGGGTCCAGCAGGGGCCCTGCCCACCAGAACACAGTCCGTGCTGTGCTGCGCTAAGGAGCTGGCCCTCAACTCTCCTTGGTGCAGGGTTCCCACAACCGAGTTCTAGTTCCCTGAGGTCTTTAAAAACAAAAACAGAATGTTGTACGTGAAGATTCTAGGAGGGGAGGGACCAGCAAATCTGAGAGAACCGTCCTGGGGCCTCCCTTCGAGGAGCCCTCTGATGTGAGGAGGGACTTGAGTTGAGTGACGCTGTGGTGTGAGGTGTTCTGAGCTCACTGACCGGAAGGTCCAGGTGAATCTCGTCATAAGTGATCTCAGGCTCTCACAGGATCCGGAGGGAAATGTGTTAGAGGGTCTGGAAAATTCAGTGCTTTTGAGTTACTTGTTTTTATTAAAAATTTCCTCACAAAAGAGAGTCCTCAAGTTGTGGCTGTTCTTGGGAAAGGGGTCACCGTGTCTGACAAAGTGTAACTTTAAAAAGCACGTTGATTTTTTACAAATGTAAGTGTGCTTGGGAATTCCTTAAATTTTGTGCAATAAACTATTTTTTGGTAAAGATTTTCATATTCATTGGAAGCTTCATTTTAATAGTTATATTTTGTCGTTTGGCAGTAACTTTTTAATCTCATGTTATTACACACTCTGTTCAACACGTGCTTTAAAAGAGAATTCTACTGTCCTGCCGGTTTCTGGCAGGAGTGAAGCAAACTTCTGTGGCTTGTGACCACGGCAGACGCGCGGCACCGCCTCCTCCGTCCTTGGCCCACGCTTCGCTTTGCCCGTTGTCATTTGCCAGGAATACAGAAGGAGGGGGAGCAAGCTTCCCGGTGAACCGGGGAAGGATGGTGACCGCTCTGTGCTGCGCCTCCTGAACTGGGTCTCATCATCCAGGTGCTGCCCTCTGCTGGGCCTCCCCGGTGACAGTGGAGTCATGACTCTCAGACCTCAGCAATGTGACTTCCCAGATTCTCGTCTTTTTCATCCATACTTTGATTTTGGTCATTAAGAGTTAACCAGGCGTAAGCTGGGTGTGGTGGCTCACGCCTGTAATCCCAGCACTTTGGGAGGCTGGGAGGGGGTGGTCACCTGAGGTCAGGGGTTCAAGACCAGCCCGGCCAACATGGTGAAACTCCACCTCTACTAAACAAAAAATTAGCCAGGGCGTGGTGGCGGGCGCCTGTAATCCCCACTTGTCAGGAGGCTGAGGCAGAAGAATCGCTTGATCGGGCAGAGGTTGCAGTGAGCCGAGATCACACCACTGCACTCCAGCCTGGGTGACAGAGCATGACTCCGTCTAAAAAAAAAAAGAGTTAACCAGGTACAGAGTTTTCAGTTAGACGTTATTAGAGGCCACCATGGTTTAAAAAGTACAGAAAAGGGGCAGGAAGTGGTGGTCGCTGGGCTTGGCCCTGTGGGATTAATGCACTTCTTCCTGTGAGCGTTACCAGCTTCTGTACCCAGAGAATTGCTACACAGAGTAAAAATTCCCTGACCACCTTCTGTGGCCTTAACTTTCTGAAATATTAAGGATATAATTTTTTTTGGTCTATAGAACCCTTAAGGGGACATGTATGTATCTGAACTTTTTCCTTTTCTCCATGGAGTTGCTACGTGTTTGCAGGCACTGCACTGACAGGTATATTTTAAGCTGTGTCTGTCTCAGCAGCTCGAAGCTCCACGCTGCGTCCTGCTACAGAGCTCAGCAGTGGGTGTCAGGAGTGGTTTTGGCAGAGATGAATGGGTCACTTCTTCCTGGCTTAGAGTGGCGGCAGGTACTGTCAGGAATTTGGGTTGAGTGTAGGACAGAGGACGTATCGCTGATGGGAGGCTCAGGATTTTTTTTTTTTTTTTTTTTTGGAGACGGAGTCTCACTCTGTGGCCCAGGCTGGTGTGCGGCGGCGCGATCTCGGCTCACTGCAAGCTACGCCTCCCAGGTTCACGCCATTCTCCTGCCTCAGCCTCCTGAGTAGCTGGGACTACAGGCTCCCGCCACCACGCCCGGCTAATTTCTTTTTGTATTTTAGTAGAGACGGGGTTTCACCGTGTCGGCCCGGATGGTCTCGATCTCCTGACCTCATGATCCGCCCGCCTCGGCCTCCCAAAGTGCTGGGATTACAGGCATGAAGGAGACTCAGGATTTAAAAATTACCAGGTCACTCAGAAATCTGAGACCTCGGGTAGTATTAGGAAGCAGGCCAGGCACAGTGGCTCATGCCTGTAATCCCAGCGCTTTGGGAGGCTGAGGCGGGTGAATCACTCAAGATCAGGAATTTGAAACCCGCCTGGCTAACATGGTGAAACCCCATCTCTACTAAAAATACAAAAATTAGCCGGGCGTGGTGATGGGCGCCTGTAATCCCAGCTACTCAGGAAGCTGAGGCAGGAGAATTGTTGAAGCCGGGAGGTGGAGGCTGCAGTGAGTGGAGTTCGTGCCGTTGCACTCCAGCCTGGGCAACAAAGTTGAGACTCGAGATAAAAAAAAAAAGCAGGAAGCAGATAATGGGGGAAACTAAGACGACTGCACTTCCGCCGTCTAGCTTGATGGATAAACATGACAGTTGCTGGCAGCGTCCCCAAGCCTTTCCCAGATGACGAGAGCAAGTCCCAGCACTTGGTGGCGTCTACAGTCGGGAGCATTTGTTGGAACTTGGCGGCCTCTACACAAGCTTCCGTCTGAGGGGGAATGTTGCAGGTTGCGATAAAGAGCATACTTGGGCAGTGGCCTTTCTCCTGGACACAGGGCAATGTTAAACTGCTGCTGGGCCGCCTCTGCCCATGTTTGCAACGCCCTCTGCTCGCCTGTGTGTGGGGGCGTCCTACAGCCCTCCTCCTGGCAGTGCCCTCTTCACCTCTGTGTGGGGGTGTCCTACAGCCCTCCCCCTGGCAGTGCCCTCTTCACCTGTGTGTGGGGGCGTCCTACACCCTTCCCCCGGCTCCACCACTGGCTGCCGGTGACCTTCACAGTGTCCACATCTCTAAGTTCTGACTCCATCTGAAGTGAGGGCTGAAGGTGGCGGAACCTCTGGGAGGCGTGAAAGCCGACTGTGGGCGCCCAAGGCAGCTGAGGGCTGGCGATGCCCTCGTTACTGATGAGGTGGGAACCTCTAGCCCCAAAGGCAGCATGTCCTGGTGGCACCTGGGGAGGCAGCTCTGGGAGCACCACCAGGACACCCATCTCCGCGGCCATCGGCTCAGGGATTTGCGGGAGATTGCTGGGCTTTTCTACACATCGTCGGGGTTGGATTTCACCTTCACATGAAATAGATATATTTTGAGACGGAGTTTCACTCTTGTTGCCCAGGCTGGAGTGCAGTGTCTCGATCTCAGCTCACTGCAACCTCTGCCTGCCAGGTTCAAGTGACTCTCCTGCCTCAGCCTCCAGAGTAGCTGGGCTTACAGGCTCCCGCCACCACGCCCGGCTAATTTTTGTATTTTCAGTAGAGATGGGGTTTCACCATTTTGTTCAGGCTGGTCTTGAACCCCTGACCTCAGGTGATTCACCTGCCTCTGCCTCCCAAAGTGCTAGGATTACAGGCATGAGCCACCGCGCCCGGCCCACAGTGAAATATTTTTGAGTGTCATGTCTAAATGCCCTGAAACCCAGAGAAGGACAATCTTGTCTCTGCTCGCGGAGCCTCCCACAGCACTTCAATTGTTGCAAGATTTCCTTCTGAGCGTTAAACGTGCATTTCTGGAGACTGGATAGATACGTCAAGTGTATCTTCCCAATGCTTTCAAAAATGCCCCCATCTTCACCCAGAAAACAGACCCCCCCCCCCCGCCACCTGCCTGTCCCTGCAGCTGGGCGTCTGATGGTCACGGCCGTAGCTCCCCTGAAACCCCTCATTCCCCTGCATCAGCCCAGGTCCCACCAGGTTCTGGAGCCTGTACGTTTCCACTCAGGGCCGTTATCTCCACCTGAGGGCCTCTGGCGTCCTGCGGTTGCCGTCCCTGCCCCTGCATTTCCTCTGCTGAACCACTTGGCCTGGGCTGTTTTCCTGACTAGACCCTACTGTATGTAACATACGGCTGGGTTTCTACAAGTGCTAAATAGCCATTGATAACAAACTTAATAGACACACGGCCTTTAAGGAAATCCAATTAATATTGAAAAAGAAGGGGAAGAAAAGAAATTAGCTACTCCCTGCTCATCTAGGGCTTTTCCCAGCACGTTGGGAGTAAATCCTCGAGCTGTGAGACTTCAGCTTCCGCTCAGTCCCTGGGGCTCACATGGCCCCTTTGTGATCTCGGATCAGAAATGAAGTAGAAGTTAAATTACAACTAGGAATAAAATCAGGGCTGGGCGCAGTGGCTCACGACTGTAATCCCAGCACTTTGGGAGGCCGAGGTGGGCGGATCATGAGGTCAGGAGATCAAGACCATCCTGGCTAACGCGGTGAAACCCCGTCTCTACTAAAAATACAAAAAATTAGCCGGGCGTGGTGGCGGGCGCCTGTAGTCCCAGCTACTGGGGAGGCTGAGGCAGGAGAATGGCGTGAACCCGGAAGGCGGAGCTTGCAGTGAGCCGAGATCGCGCCACTGCACTCCAGCCTGGGCGACATAGCAAGACTCCGTCTCAAAAAAAAAAAAATTCAGAACGGCTCTCAGAAGAGGCCATTGATTCTAATAAGCTTCATTTTGTTCATTCACCGGAAATCTACTTCTACCTGCAGGAGTTTACGTCTCAAAGTTTTTCATTTCTACCTAAACAGTAGCTAATATAGGGTTGGCTTCTGAACAGTGGAGTTGTTCTCCATGTTTTCCTGTGATTGTTCCTTTCTCATTTAACTGGGAGTGGATGCATTACATGGGGGTGAGGGCATGGCCCTATCAGGACCCTGGCTGCTTACCTGGATTCCACAGAAGTCCTGGTGTCAAGGCTGGTGGAGCTGCTGCACCAGAGACCCTCAAGCATGAAAACAGGATTGACCAGGACAGCCTCACGGTGCCGAGAACGAAAGTGCCTTCCCTCTCCGCTAATCCACAGCGTCCACCTGCCCGAGAACAGCTCTCCCAGTCCCACCTTCCGTCCCGCTCTGAGGTGAGCGGGGAGAGAAAAGACAGGAATGCGCATTGTGGGCGCTTGGGCTCCGTGGCCGCGTCCATCACCGTCCGTCCACTCTCCGCTGCCTTTGCTTAGTCATGTGGTCGCTGGATGTGTTCAGGAGACGGCAGCGTCTCCACAGCCCACTGAGAGCTTCTGTAACTAAGAAAAAGCTCTTAATAACTTAATGGAGAGTGGACGCTGGGTGTCAACAGCTGACTACAGCTGACCATTTAACAAATCGGCTCTAAAGCCCTTCATGTATGGAGGCTCCGTAACGAGGACTTACATAATTACCTTTTTATGTATGTATGTACGTACTTGTTTATTTATTTATTTTTGAGACAGGGTCTCTCTCTCCCAGGCTGGAGGGCAATGGCGCAATCTTCGCTCACTGCAGCCTTGACCTCCCAGGCTCAAGTAATCCTCCCTCCTCAAGGCGTGTGCCACCACGTTCAGCTAATTTTTTAAATTTTTAGCACAGACAGCGTCTCGCCATATTGCTCAGGCTGGTCTCCACCTCCTGGGCTCAAGCGATCCTCCTGTCTCGACCTCCCAAAGTGCTGGGATTACAGGTGTGAGCCACCGTGCCCAGCCTTCTTGGGCCTCTTCTAAGGGAAGTATATAAGGCTCTGTCCCATGACCTATCACCTCCCACAAGCCCCACATCCTAATACCATCACCTTGGGGGTTAGGGTTTCTTTTTTTTTTTGAGACAGAGTCTCGCTCTGTCACCCAGGCTGGAGTGCAGTGGCGCGATCTTGGCTCACTGCAAGCTCCGCCTCCCGGGTTCACACCATTCTCTTGCCTCAGCCTCCCGAGTAGCTGGGACTACAGGTGCCTTCCAGCATGCCCGGCTAATTTTTTGTATTTTTTAGTAGAGACTGGGTTTCACCGTGTTAGCCAGGATGGTCTCGATCTCCTGACCTCGTGATCTGCCCGCCTCGGCCTCCCAAAGTGCTGGGATTACAGGCGTGAGCCACCACGCCCGGCCAAGGGGGGTTAGGGTTTCAACATACGAACGCTGGGGACAGACACTCAGAATACAGCAGAGGTGTACGTTTAACTTTGAAAGAAACTGCCTCACTATTTTCCAAGGTGGTTAACTCAGTGTTTGCTCTTGCCAGCAAAATTTGATATTGCCAATTTTTAAATTTTAGCCATTCTGGTGGATTTCAAGCAGCATCTCATCGTGGTTTGAATTTCCATTTCATCCATCTTCAAAATTACTGACCCTTTCTTCTGTAGTGCCCAACCAACCATTAGTACCATCCAATGATATTTTTTAAGAGATGGGGTCTTGCTATGTTGGTCAGGCTGGCGTGCAGTGGCTATTCACAGGCGAGATCACGCTCATGGCAGCCTCGAACTCCCGGACTGAAACTACCATCACCCCTCACGCTCCAGAGTTGCTGAGACTACAGACCTGAGCCACCTCGCTCAGATCAATTATGTTTTTAACCAAGGATATCAATTATATTTTTCAGGTCTTTCATTTTCATTTAATAATATCTAAATTAGGCGGGGCGCGGTGGCTCACGCCTGTAATCCCAGCACTTTGGGAGGCCGAGGCTGGTGGATCACTTGACATCAAGAATTCGAGACCAGTCTGGCCAACATGAGGAAACCCCGTCTCTACTAAACATGCAAAAATTAGCCAGGCGTGGTGGTGGGCACCTGTAATCCCAGCTACTTGGGAGGCTGAGGCAGGAGAATCGCTTGAGCCCAGGAGGCGGAGGCTGCAGTGAGCCGAGATCGCGCCACTGCACTTCAGCCTGGGCGACAGAGCAAGACACCGCATCAAAAAATAAATAAAACATCTAAATTACATACAGTAAAATCCTCCTTCCCTTTTTCGAGACAGGGTCTCACTATTAGGTTGGTGCAAAAGTAATTGCGGCTTTTACCATGACTTTCAAAATATTTGCCCGGGCTGGTCTCGAGCTCCCGGGCCGTGGGGATCCTCCCGCCTCGCCTCCCAAGGCGCTGGGACTCCGGACGCAGCCGCCGCGCCCGGCAAAATCCGCGCTTTCAACTGCGCGTCAGGGCCCCTTGGTGAAGGAGCGGGAAGCTCCGCCGGTCTCCATAGCGCCGGCGGCCTGTTCTGCGGGTTCGCGGGGGAGTGAGAGGCGCTTCCTCACTCCTGCTCCAGGACGGGACGACGGCCGCAAACAGTACTCGGGCTCGGAGCACACGAACCCGGAGGCCGCTTCGTTCTCGGAGACGCACAGCGCCCCACGGACGCCAGGCCGGGGCCGGGAGGCGCGAAGAAGCGCCGCCCCGCGCCCGGCCCCGCCCTGGTGGCCTCCCCGGGCCCCAGCCCCGGCCCCCGCCAGCACATTGCGCTCCCCGCGCCTCGCCGGTCCCAGGACCCCGCGTCGGGCTGCCCGCGCCCCGCCTGCCGCGCCCGCCCGTCCGCTCGCCCGTTCCCGCCCGCTTGGGTCCCAGGGCCGGGGCCGCGCCCTCGCCGGGCCTCCGCGAGCGGGGCCGCCGTCCGTGTCCCCCGCGCCGCCCCGGCCGCCTCGAGCGCGGCGCCGTCAGGCAGGGCGCGGGCAGCCCGGCGCGGGGTCCTGGGACGGGCGCGGCGCGGGGCGCGGGCTTCTCGGCGGCTGCGGCCCGGGCGGCGGCGATGCTGTGGCCGCGGCTGGCGGCGGCCGAGTGGGCGGCGCTGGCCTGGGAGCTGCTGGGCGCCTCGGTGCTGCTGATCGCTGTGCGGTGGCTGGTGCGGCGGCTGGGCCCGCGGCCGGGAGGTCTGGGCCGCAGCGGGACCCCAGTTCCTCCGCCAAGCGCGGCCGCCGCCCCCGCCTCAGGTAAGGCCCAGGCGGTCGCTGGGTCCCCGCACCCTGGCCCCTTCCCCGCCCCGACGCCCTCCTCGGGCCTGGGGTCCCGGCCGCGCCCCTGGAGCCGGCAGCAGTTGGGCGAGGCGGCCGGGGAAACCAGGGCCGGTCGGGAAAGGCCATTCCGGCCGCGGAAAGGGCAGTTGCGGGGACTTGGCTTCCCGGGCCGGGGGCGGAGGGGCCACGCCGGGTTCGGGGGTGAGAGCTTTCCCGGGCCCTGGAGCAGCCTCCGGGGAAGGCGGCGGGGGCCCGGCGAGGCGTTAGCGGAGACTCTTGCTGCGGTCTCTCGAGACCTGGGGAGGGATGGCCCAAAGGAGGGCGGCGCGGGGAGGAAACCCCTGGGTCCCGGATGTGTTTGGAACGTGAAGCCATTGCGGTTACTGGTCATGGAACATAAGGCAGAGACGGAAAAGGCAAATGTAACTCAGGGGTTTGGGGCCAGAGGAAGAGGGAGAAGGTGGCCATTTATTGCTTTGCGGTAGACTGTCGGGTCTGGGTGATGTGGAGATCAGAGGTGGGTTTTGGTCGTTTTAAGTTTGAGGTAACTGATACAGTGAACTGTGTATTTCAGCTCCATCCCCTTTTCCTGGCATACAACTCTTGAAATCCCGGGAACCTCCAAAGTGATGTCTTTTGTAGGCTGAGTGGACTGGTGGCCGGCAGCCCCTAGGGAGCTTCTGGATGGGGCTGGTCGCAGGAAAGACCAAGGCAGGGTTAGAGGTTCTGGGGACTTTCAGCCCCACCCCCAACCTCTGGGGAGGAGAGAGGGGTGAAGGTTGCGTTGATCACCAGTGGCTGATGAATCACGCCTGTGAAATGAAGTTCCTGTAAAAACCCAAAAGGGCTGGGTTCAGGGAGCTTCCAGATAGTACGTGGGGGTTCCTGGAGGCGGTGCCCAGAGAGGCCCTGAATTTCCAAGCGCTTCCCCCCGGTTTTACGTCACGCATCTCTTCACCTGTATTCTTTGTAATCCTTTATACTCTGCTGGTAAGTGTAAGTAAAACATGTCTGTGAGTTCGGGAGCCACTCTAGCAAATTACCGCAACCTGAGGAGGTCACCGGGTTACGCCCCGTCGGTCCCAAGCGCAGGTCAAACAACCTGGGCACTGGAAGTGGGGGGCAGTCTTGCGGGGCTGAGCCGTTAACCTGTGGGGGTCTGCTGGTATCTCCAGGAAGACGCTGTCAGAATAGATGACTGAATTAGGATGACAGACGACACCCAGCCTGTGTCCACTGCAGAACTGACGACCTGCGTGATTTGTGGGGAGAAAATCCCCACATACCTGGTGTCCGAAGCATGTTGCAAGACTAGTGGGAGAAACTGAGTTTGTTTTTACTCTAAATTGTCAGACTGTTAGTCACTGCGGAGAGGTGCTTTCTGATGATTGAGTGGGGATTCCTGTCCAATTGTGTGAGTTTGTGTCTCGGCCCTACCACTTTTTTTTTTTTTTTTTTTTGAAATGTAGTCTCGCCCTGTGGCCCAGGCTGGAGTGCAGTGGCGCGATCTCGGCTCACTGCAAGCTCCGCCTCCCGGGTTCAAGCGATTCTCCTGCATCAGCCTCCCGAGTAGCTGGGATTACAGGCGCCTGCCACCACGCCCGGCTAATTTTTGTATTTTTAATAGAGACGGGGTTTCACCATGTTGGCCAGGATGGTCTCGAATTCCTGACCTCAGGTGATCCACCTGCCTCAGCTTCCCAAAATGCTGGGATTACAGGTGTGAGCCATCGCACCGGGCCCTACCACTTATTGCTGTGGGCTTAACCTGTTTTCAGCCTGCTCTTTTAGGAATGGGGATGATAGTGATACCTGGTTAGGCTTTTTTGGGAGTTGGGTAAGTGCAGCACTTGGTATGTGTTAAGCACCTCTGAGTGCTGTTACTGTCACCAGCGGCATCATCCAGGCAGAGCTGCGGACAAGGTGGCGGCGGGTGAGGGTGGTGTTTTGAGAATGGCTGAAATAAAAAAATACTGATTTATTTTATATAAAAATATGTTTTTATATATGATGTATAATATACGTATATCATGGCATATGATACGTGTATATCATATAGCACATATAGTATACATATATATAGTCAGCAGAGATTTAGAGAAACTGGGCCTCGTGCATTGCAGGTGGGGACGGTAAGTGGTGCAGCTACTCTGGGAATCAGCCTGGCAGGTTTTTAGGAAGTTAAACCTGCCCTGCATTCCTGAGCTTTTATTAGACAAATGAAAACTATTTTCACACAAAAACCCATATTTAATGTTCATAGCAACTTTATTTGTAATTACCAGAAACTGAAATAACTCAAATGGTTAAACTTGCACACTGATACCCCGGGGTGCCACTCCGCAGCGATCCTCTCTGCCACGTGGGTGCCCCGGGGTGCCACTCTGCATGATCCACTCTGCCACGTGGGTGCCCCGGGGTGCCACTCCGCAGCGATCCTCTCTGCCACGTGGGTGCCCCGGGGTGCCACTCTGCGTGATCCACTCTGCCACGTGGGTGCCCCGGGGTGCCACTCCGCAGCGATCCTCTCTGCCACGTGGGTGCCCCGGGGTGCCACTCCGCAGCGATCCACTCTGCCACGTGGGTGCCCCGGGGTGCCACTCCGCAGCGATCCTCTCTGCCACGTGGGTGCCCCGGGGTGCCACACTGCGTGATCCACTCTGCCACGTGGGTGCCCCGGGGTGCCACTCCGCAGCGATCCACTCTGCCACGTGGGTGGATCTCAAGGGCATTATGCTGAATAGGAAAAGCCAGTCTCAAAAGTTGTGTACTTGGCCGGTTGCGGTGGCTCATGCCTGTAATCCCAGCACTTTGGGAGGCCGAGGCAGGTGGATCACAAGGTCAGGAGTTCAAGATCAGCCTGGCCAACATGGTGAGGCAGTCTCCACTAAAAATACAAAAAAATAGCGGGGCGTGGTGGCAGGTACCTGTAATCCCAGCTACTCGGGAGGCTGAGGCAGCAGAATTGCTTGAACCCAGGAGGTGGAGGTTGCGGTGAGCAGAGATCGTGCCACTGCACTCCAGCCTGGGCGACAGAGCAAGACTCCATCTCAAAAAAAAAAAAATTGTTAATGGAACATTATAACCCAGTGTTCAGACCTAGCTGTTTCTCACATCTTTACCCATCGATCTGTCAAAGACCTTGTGATCATACTGATACTTCCAATTTCAATGCGACGTCCGCGGGTTTATTCTTTTTTTTTTAGGTGGAGTCTCACTCTGTTGTCCAGGCTGGAGACTCACTGCAACCTCTGCCTGCCCAGTTCAAGCGATTCTCCCACCTAGCCTGCTGAGTAGCTGGGATGACAGGTGCATGCCACCATGCCTGGCTAATTTTTGTGTTTTTAGTAGACACCTGGTTTCATCATGTTGGCCAGGCTGGTCTCAAACACCTGACCTCAAATGATCCATGCACCTTGGCCTCCCAAAGTGCTGGGATTACCAGCATGAGCCACCGTGTCCGGCTCCCTGGCTTTATTCTAATGCAAGAGTCAGTAAACTGTGGTCCAAACTGGCCCCCACCTATTTTCCTTAGTAAAGTTTTATTGGAATACAACCATACCCTTTTGTTTATGTATATCTGTGGCTGTTCTTTTTTTTTTTTTTTTTGGAGACGGGGTCTTGCTCTGTTGCCCAGGTTGGAGTGCAGTGGCACAAACAGGGCTCACTGCATCCTCAAACTCTTAGGCTTAATTTATCCTCCTTCCTCAGCCCCCCAAGTAGTTGGAACCACAGGTGCACGTCACCACACTCAGCTAATTTTTTTTTTTTGAGACGGAGTCTCGCTCTGTCGCCCAGGCTGGAGTGCAGTGCCGCCATCTCTGCTCACTGCAAGTTCTGCCCCCTGGGTTCACACCATTCTCCTGCCTCAGCCTCCTGAGTAGCTGGGACTACAGGCGCCCGCCACCATGGCCGGCTAATTTTTTAGTATTTTTAGTAGAGACAGGGTTTCACCGTGTTTGCCAGGATAGTCTCAATCTCCTGACCTCATGATCCACCTGCCTCGGCCTCCCAAAGTGCTGGGATTACAGGCATGAGTCACCGCGCCCAGCCATCAGATAATTTTTAAAGTTTTTGTAGAAAGGGTGTCGCTGTGTTACCCAGGCTGGTCTTGAACTCCTGGGCTCAAGTGATCTTCCCGCCTCGGCCTCCCCAAGCGCTGGGGTGACAGGTGTGAGCCGCCACACGCGGCCTGTGGCTGTTCTGAGCACTCACGTGGCCTTTGGCTCATAGAGTCTGAGATGCTTACTCTCTCGCCCTTTACAGGAATCGTTTGCTGAAACCCTGTTCTCACTCCCACTTTCCTTTCTGTCATTGAGAGTCCTGGCTCTCATCAGCCACCGTGTATTCCAATTATTTGCTTTGCCCTAGAGTCCACAGAAAATAGCTTTAGGTGTGTTAACCTATACCATTGTGAAAACATCTACTGCCTAGAGCCTGTTCACACGGTAATGGTGCACAGTCCTTTTTGTCTTTCTCCTTAGAGCACCTAGTCACTCACTGTTTTCCAAAGTTACGTAGGTTAGCTTCCCCTGTGTTACTCACTTGTAATACAGTTAGGTGCATTTCTTCTGGCTAGTATTCCATGTGGGTGTCTCCCCCATCTTTTTGTTTATTTACTTATTTCTTTTTTTTTTGTTTTTTTTGTTGTTGTTGTTTTATTGAGGTGGAGTCTCGCTCTGTTGCCCAGGCTGGAGTGTAGTGGTGCGATCTCGGCTCACTGTGACCTCTGCCTCCTGGGTTCCAGCGAGTCTCCTGCCTCAGGTTCCCGAGTAGCTGGGATTACAGGTGCCCGCCACTGCGCCTGTCTAATTTTTGTATTTTTTTTTTAGTAGAGATGGGGTTTCACCATCTTGGCCAGGCTGGTCTCGAACTGCTGACCTCGTGATCCACCCACCTCGGTCTCCCAAAGTGCTGCGATTACAGGCGTGAGCCACCGCACCCGGCTTTACTTATTTGAGTATGTAAATCACGAACATGTTTTTAAAAGTCAGAACCCTGTAGAAACTTAAATTCAGATGTATTACTCCCCCCCGCCATCTTTTTTTTTGTTGTTGTTGTTGAGACAGGGTCTGATTCTGTCACCCAGGCTGGAGTGCAGGGTTGCCATCTCAGCTCGTGGTGGCATCCACCTCCCAGGCTCAAGTGATCCTCCTGCCTCAGCCCCCTGAGTAGCTGGGGCTGTAGGTGTGCACTACTATGCTCGGGTAATTTTTTTTTTTTGAAACAAGGTCTTGCTCTTGTCCCCTAGGCTGGAGTGCAGTGGCGTGATTTCGGCTCACTGCAACCTCCACCTACTGGGTTCAAGCAATTCTCTTGCCTCAGCCTCCCGAGTAGCTGGGGTTACAGGCATGTACCACCACGCCCGGCTAATTTTTGTATTTTTAGTAGAGACAGGGTTTCACCATGTTGGCCAGGCTGGTCTCGAACTCCCGACCTCAGGTGATCTGCCTGCCTCCCAAAGAATACAACGGGCTGGGCATGGTGGCTTATGCCTGTAATCCCAGCACTTTGGGAGGTTGGGAGTTCAAGACCAGCCTGACCAACATGGAGAAACCCCGTCTCTACTAAAAGTACAAAATTAGCTGGGCGTGGTGGTGCACGCCTGTAATCCCAGCTACTCGGGAGGCTTGAGGCAGGAGAACCGCTTGAACCCAGGAGGCAGAGGTTGCAGTGAGCTGAGATCGCACCACTGCACTCCAGCCTGCCTGGTGACAGAGCGAGACTCCGTCTCAAAAAGAAAAAAGGCTCACGCCTGTAATCCAAACACTTTGGGAGGCCAAGGCAGGTGGATCACCTGAGGTCGGGAGTGCAAGACCAACCTGGCCAACATGGTGAAACCCCGTCTCTCCTAAAAATACAAAAATTAGCTAGGTGTGATTCCAGGCGCCTGTAGTCCCAGCTACTTGGGAGGCTGAGGCTGGAGAATCACTTGAACTCAGGAGGTAGAGGTTGCAGTGAGCTGCGATAGCACCACTGCACTCCAGCCTGTGCGACAGAGGGAGACACCATCTCGAAAAAAAAAAGAAAAATTCTTTTTTTTTTTTTGAGCTGGAGTTTCGCTCTTGTTGTCTAAGCTGGAGTGCAGGGGTGTGATCTCGGCTAATTGCAGCCTCCGCCTCCTGGGTTCAAGCGATTCTCCAGCCTCAGCCTCCCAAGTAGCTGGGATTACAGGCATCCGCCACCACACCCGGCTAATTTTTTGTATTTTCAGTAGAGACGTGGTTTCACCATGTTGGCCGGGCTGGTCTCGAACTCCTGACCTCAGATGATCCGCCCGCCTCAGCCTCCCAAAATGCTGGGATTACAGGCGTGAGCCACCGCGTCCAGCCAAGAAAAAAAGTTTTTAATGAAAGAAACAGAAACTGATGCCATTATATAATGAACCCTAGTACCCATCACCCAGCTTCAGCAGGTGTTAGTATTTTGTGACTCTTTGATTTTTTTGTCTTGGGCCTAGGTGAAATGACAATGGATGCTCTGTTGGCTCGATTGAAACTTCTGAATCCAGATGACCTTAGAGAAGAAATCGTCAAAGCCGGATTGAAATGTGGACCCATTACATCAACTACAAGGTTCATTTTTGAGAAAAAATTGGCTCAGGCTTTACTGGAGCAAGGAGGAAGGCTGTCTTCTTTCTACCACCATGAGGCAGGTGTCACAGCTCTCAGCCAGGACCCACAAAGGATTTTGAAGCCAGCTGAAGGGAACCCAACTGATCAGGCTGGTTTTTCTGAAGACAGAGATTTTGGTTACAGTGTGGGCCTGAATCCTCCAGAGGAGGAAGCTGTGACATCCAAGACCTGCTCGGTGCCCCCTAGTGACACCGACACCTACAGAGCTGGAGCGACTGCGTCTAAGGAGCCGCCCCTGTACTATGGGGTGTGTCCAGTGTATGAGGACGTCCCAGCGAGAAATGGTAATGGGACCGTGTGTAGGATTTCCTCACACAGATAGCACATACGCGGAGGGGCGGGATGACGTCTGAAAATGGAAAACTACAGATTAAGAAGGAAAAAATCCAATCCCCTCCATCTCATCACCCCAGTTAACCATTGTTAACATTTTTATGTAGAACTTTTCTGAAATATTTGTGAATTTAACATGAGAACTGTTAAAATTTGTGAGGTAAATTGGATTCTATGAGATATGCTGGACTGAGATATTAATATTAACTGGCTGCTGCTGTTGGTTAGGAACTTTGTTGATTAGTCATCTCCGCCTTTTTAAAATGCAGTGTAACCTGCACATCTTTTATGTTAATGAATGCAAATGGCCAATGAGTGTATAAATACTTTTCAGCATCAAAGATTTGTGGTTTTATTTTGTTTTTATTTATTTATTTATTTTTTGAGACAAAGTCTCACTCTGTTGCCCAGGCCAGAGTGCAGTGGCGTGATCTCAGCTCACTGCAACCTCTCCCCTCCCAGTTTAAGCGATTCTCCTGCCTCAGCCTCCTGAGTAGCTGGGATTACAGGCGCCTGCCACCGCGCCTGGCTAATTTTTTGTATTTTTAGTAGAGACGGGGTTTCACCATCTTGGCCAGGCTGGTCTTGAACTCCTGACCTCATGATCCACCTGCCTTGGCCTCCCAAAGTGCTGAGATTACAGGCTTGAGCCACCGCGCCTGGCCATTTTATTTTTTTAATTTATTCATTCATCTGAAACAGGGTGTTACTCTGCCACCTAGGCTGCATTGCAGTGGTGCAGTCACAGCTCACTGCAGCCTCAACCTTTCTGGCTCAGGTGATCCTCCCACCTCAGCCGCTTGAGTAGCTGGGACCACAGGCATACGCCACCACGCACAGCTAATTTTTATGGTTTTTTTTTGTTTTGTTTTGTTTTGTTTTTTTGAGACAGAGTCTCGCACTGTCACCTGGGCTGGAGTGCAGTGGTGCGATCTCAGCTCACTGTAACCTCAGCCTCCTGAGTAGCTGGGAACTACAGGCGCCCGCCACCATACCCAGCTAATTTTTTATTTTTTGTATTTTTAGTAGAGACAAGGTTTCGCGATTTTGGCCAAGCTGGTCTCGAACCCCTGACGTCGTGATCTGCCCACCTCGGCCTCCCAAAGTTCTGGGATTACAGGTGTGAGCCATCACGCCCAGCCAATTTTTGTATTTTTTATAGAGGCGGGGTTTCGCCACGTTGCCCACGCTTCTCTCGAACTGCCCTCAAGCGATCCACCCACCTTGGTCTCCCAAAGTGCTAAGATTACAGGCACACACCAGCACGCCTAGCTAATTGGTTGTTTTTGGTGGTTTTTTTTTTTGAGACTGGGGTCTCTCTCTCACCCAGGTTGGGGTGTAGTGATGCAATCTCAACAACTCACTGCAATGTCTGCCTACCAGGCTCAAGGAGTCCTCCCACCTCAGCCTCCGGAGTAGCTTGGGATCGCTGGGATCACGGGCACGTGCCAGTACGCGCCAGTTTTTTTGTATTCTTGGTAGAGACAATGTTTCCCCATGTTGCCCAGGCTGGTCTCCCAACTCCTGGGCTCAAGTGATCTGCCAGGCTCAGCCTCCCGAAGTGCTGGGATTACAGGCGTGAGCCACCTCGCCTGGCCACACCTAGGTAATTAAATTTTTTTTTTTTTTTTTAAGAGACTGGGTCTCGCTTTATTGCTTAGTCTGGTCTTGAACTCCTGGCTTCAAGCAGTCCTCCCACCTGAGCCTCCCAAAGTGCTGAGATTACAGGTGTGAGCCACTGTGCCCAGCCCAAGAATTGTAATTTTAAAGAAGATTTAGCATTGGAAAAAAGAAATGAGAACTCAGTATTAATTGGGATGCCAGAAATTGCACACTGTTATGAGTATTGTTATTACTGTGATACCATTTGTGGTGACGCCTATGAGTACATAATTGGTTAAACACTATGAATAGAATGGAATATTGTTCTGTAAGATCTTTTTAAAGAATACGTAGGGGCCGGGCGCGGTGGCTCACGCCTGTAATCCCAGCACTTTGGGAGGCCGAGGCAGGCAGATCACGAGGTCAGGAGATCGAGACCATCCTGGCTAACACGGTGAAGCCCCGTCTTTACTAAAAATACAGAAAATTAGCGGGGTGTGGTGGTGGGCACCTGTAGTCCCAGCTACTTAGGAGGCTGAGGTTGCAGTGAGCTGAGATTGTGCCACTGCATTCCAGCCTGAGCGACAGAGCTAGATTCCATCTCAAAAAAAAGAAAGTAACACTGGGAAATGATCATGGTGCAGTTTTTATTTTTATTATTTATTTATTTATTTACTTATTATTTGAGACAGAGTCCCGGTCTGTCGCCAGGCCGGAGTGCAGTGGTGCGATCTTGGCTCACTCCAACCTCTGCCTTTTGGGTTCCAGTGATTTTCCTGCTGCAGCCTCCCGAGTAGCTAGTACTACAGGGGTGTGCCACCACGCCCGGCTAATTTTATATTTTTAGTAGAGACAGGGTTTCTCCACGTTGGTCAGGCTGGTCTCAAACTCTCAACGTCAGGTGATCCACCTGCCTCAGCCTCCCAAAGTGCTGGGATTACAGGCGTGAGCCACCGTGCCCGAACTATGGCTATTTTTATCCAGTAGTGGACAGTAACCATTCGTCTGTTACATTGTTCATAAATTTTTGTCTCCTGGCCAGTAGTGTATATCTTATGTATTTACGATAGTCTCATACAAAACTTAATTGTGATAGTTCCACTACAGAGCTTTAATATTTTTATATAATCAGGATTATCTTGTTTTGAATGGTTTCTTGGCATGTTTAAAAAGGCATTCCCAGCCGGGTACAGTGGCTCATGCCTGTAATCCCAGCACTTTGGGAGGCTGAGGTGGGCAGGTCACCTAAGGTCAGGAGTTCAAGACTAGCCTGGCCAACATGGTGAAACCCCGTCTCTACTAAAAATACAACAATTAGCCAGGCATGGTGGCCGGTGCCTATAATCCCAGCTACACGGGAGGCTGAGACGGGAGAATCGCTTGGACCTGGGAGATGATGGTCGCAGTGAGCCAAGATCACACCACTGCACTCCAGCCTCGGCAGCTGAGTGAGACTCCATGTCAAAAAAAAACAGCCATTCCCGGCTGGGCGCCGTGGCTGACACCTGTAATCCCAGCACTCTGGGAGGCCGAGGCGGACAGATCACCTGAGGTCAGGAGTTTGAGACCAGCCTGGCCAACATGATGAAACCCCGTCTCTACTAAAAATACAAAAAATTAGGCATGGTGGCGGATGCCCATAATCCCAGCTACTCGGGAGGCTGAGGCGGGAGAATCGCTTGAACCTGGGAGGCAGAGGTTGCAAGAGCCAAGATCGTGCCACTGCACTTGAGCTTGAGCGACAGAGCGAGACTCCGTCTCCAAAAAAAAAAATAAAGTAAAAAATAAAAAGGCGTTCCCTGTTCAAAATTGTGTTTAAAATTCTCTTATGTTCTTGGCTGACATAATTATAGTTTTTTTTTTTAATTTGCCTTTTAATAATTTTTATTTAGATCTTTATATGAAATTTAGTTTTTAGGATAGAATCTTGGCATATAGAATTACATATATGAACATAATATATATCATGTTACATGCATATATGCACACTGTCGAGCTTGTTAATTGTTCTATTTTGGCTAGCTTAGGCCCTTTTTCTTCAGGATTAAAGATCTGAACTAAGCCAGGCGACTGGGTAGCAGATGTGGAAGCTGATGGTTAGGCCCAGGGCATGGCCAGGTGACAGCTCTCCAGTCACTCTTCTCTGATTTTCATTTGTTACTTTTCTTACCCAGAAAGGATCTATGTTTATGAAAATAAAAAGGAAGCATTGCAAGCTGTCAAGATGATCAAAGGGTCCCGATTTAAAGCTTTTTCTACCAGAGAAGACGCTGAGAAATTTGCTAGAGGAATTTGTGATTATTTCCCTTCTCCAAGCAAAACGTCCTTACCACTGTCTCCTGTGAAAACAGCTCCACTCTTTAGCAATGACAGGTTGAAAGGTAAATCATGCAGCCGTTCACATCTTGATGTTCCTGTCACATTGATCCCACCCTGTTTTGTGCCTTCTTTCCTCTGATGTGGTAACTTGTTTTCTCCATGAGGGTAGAGTCGATGGGGTCTCAGTGGACCAGGAGGCCATGCTGGCTCTGATGCTCGTGTAATTAGCATCTTGACTCTGGAGAAGCTGAAAAGAACGCTGTGGCCGCTTCCATCTGTCCCCGTGTCTGTTGGATTTTTTTCTTTTTTTTTTGTAAAGAGACAGGGTCTTGTTCTTTTGCCAGCCTGGAGTGCAGTCTGGTGCTATCATGGCCCACTGCAGCCTCAAACTCCTGGGCTTAAGCAATCCACCTGCTTTAGCCTCCCAAGTAGCTGAGAAATAGGCGTGCACCACCACACCCAGCTAATTTAAACTTTTTCTTTTTTTTTTTTTTTTTTTTGAGATGGAGTCTTGCTCTGTCGCCCAGGCTGGAGTGCAGTGGTGCGATCTTGGCTCACTGCAAGCTCCACCTCCCGGGTTCAAGCGATTCTCCTGCCTCAGCCTCCCGAGTAGCTGGGATTACAGGTGCACACTGCCACACCCGGCTAATGTTTGTATTTTTAGCCACCATGTTGGCCAGGCTAGAATTTAAACTTTTTTTATGGAGACAGGGTCTTGCCATGTTGCCAAGGCTGGTTGAATTGCTGGCATCAAGTGATCCTCCCATCTCAGCCTCCCAAAGTGCTGGGATGACAGGCGTGAGCCCCTGCGCCTTTTTGGATCCTGAAACCAGTCTACTTCCCCACCTGAAGCTATACCTACTTCAAGGACTAGGGCATCTGGAGAAGGCGGGCTTATCTGTAGGAGCGGTCCAGCCCGAAGTCTGACCCATGCCCACCTCCCAGCTCAGAACTAGGGTTTTGTGTGAAGAGGCTCTTCACGGTCAGTGTGGGGTAGAACCTCCGCCTTTACCTTTCATCTGGCCTCAGTTCCTGCTCCCTCTCGCAGCTCACAGTTGTCTGGGCTTCCCTGGCGGGCTGGTACTCCAGAGGAATGTTGCCCTCTCCTTCCAGTCATCCGCCTGCCCTCAGTCAGCCTTATACAGGTGCTTCCTGGATGGAAACCAGAGTGGCTTCTAACAGGTACGGATTTCCTTCTTTGCAATTTGTGAGGATTCCTCAGAAGGAAATCACCTTAAGACAGAAATCAGGCCGGGCGAGGTGGCTCACGCCTGTGATCCCAGCACTTTGGGAGGCTGAGGCGGGTGGATCATCTCAGGTCAGGAGTTTGAGACCAGCCTGGCCTACATGGTGAAACCCCGTCTCTATTAAAAATACGAAAATTAGCTGGCCGTGGTGGCAGGTGCCTGTAATCCCAGCTACTTGGGAGGCTGAGGCAGGAGAATTGCTTGAAACTGGAAGGCGGAGGTTGCAGTGAGCTGAGATCGCGCCACTGCACTCCAGCCTGGGCGAAAGAGCAAAACTGCGTCCCCCCCAAAAAAATCAGCTGGGCGTGGTGGCAGGCTCCTTAATCCTGTAATCCTTTGCAGCCACACTGTGCACATCGAAGGTCTTGCGTGATTTCTGGGAGTGTTCCCTTGCCCGCTGCTGCCGTTATTCCTCCTCCACCTACTGACCGAGCTTTCAGAGTTCACTGGCCGGGTGTGGTGACTCGTCCCTGTAATTACAACACTTTTGGGGGCTGAGGCAGAAGGATCCCTTGAAGCCAGGAGTTTGAGACCAGCCTGGGCAACATAGACCTCATCTCTAAAAATACGTGTGTATATATATATATATATATATATGTATATAAGCCAGGCGTGTTGGCATACAACTGTAGTCCCAGCTACTTGAGGGCCTGAGATCACTTGAGCCCAGGAGGTCGAGGCTGCAGTGAGCTATATTCGTGCCACCACACTCCAGCCTGGGTAACAGAGCCAGACCCTGTCTCTGAAAAAACACAAAGTTCACCAAACTTGGCCTCATTCACAGAGCCTTTCCCAGCAAGATTGTGGCAGGGTCTGGCTGCTCTTCCACTTGCTGTGCTCATGGGGGCGCGCTGGCTGCCGTTGTAGGCTGGGGCCCCCAGTGAGATTGTGGCCGGGTCTGGCTGCTCTCCCTCACTTGCTCTGCTGACGGGCACGCTGGCTGCCATTGATTGCGTTGCATGCTGGGGCCGGTGGCCGTGGGCCCTTCTCGTCTTTTCTCACCTGTGCCTCCCAGTTGGCCCAGAAGCCTCTGTGGAAAGCTGCTTATCCCTCATCAGAGGGTGCATGGGTGATGAGTGACTTTTGGTGAAACTGATTGTTCTTAAATTCTGTCTCTTACTGACAGATGGTTTGTGCTTGTCGGAATCAGAAACAGTCAACAAAGAGCGAGCGAACAGTTACAAAAATCCCCGCACGCAGGACCTCACCGCCAAGCTTCGGAAAGCTGTGGAGAAGGGAGAGGAGGACACCTTTTCTGACCTTATCTGGAGCAACCCCCGGTATCTGATAGGCTCAGGAGACAACCCCACTATCGTGCAGGTAGGTCTCGGCGGTTCCCTCGGGCAGGTGTGCGGTCCCGGCCGTTCCATCGCAGCACTCGCACAGGGCGTGTCCACACATCAGATAGGAAGCTCAGAGCATGCGGTTCTCTTTCAGGAAGGGTGCAGGTACAACGTGATGCATGTTGCTGCCAAAGAGAACCAGGCTTCCATCTGCCAGCTGACTCTGGACGTCCTGGAGAACCCTGACTTCATGAGGCTGATGTACCCTGATGACGACGAGGCCATGCTGCAGAAGCGTATCCGTTACGTGGTGGACCTGTACCTCAACACCCCCGACAAGATGGTGCGTGCACACCCTCCACTCACGCTTTCTTTATTTAATTGGTTAAAAGTCTTTCCCCAAAAGAATGCTTTATCGACAAGTTACTCATTAGTATAATAACTTTGGGGAAAAGATACATCAATTACACCCCTGCAACCTGCCTTCTTACCACATCCCACTGGACAAAGGGCACCGAGCGCTGGGGTTCCCTGGCCCCTGCATTGTCGTCGTGTGTGCGATGCTGTCCCCGAGGGTGTCTGAACTGTCTGGGGACACGGTTGTCAGAGGACATTTCCTCTGCCGAACAGGACACCTTGAGCTGAGCAGCACTTCCCCTCCCGGGAGTGGCAGAGCTGTGCACACCACAGGCAGGCCCTCAGTGTCCTACCAAGAGCCACTGAGGCACAGAGCTGCCCCTGCAAACCATGCTGCCTGACACGCAGGGCTGTGGAGAGAGAGAGAGGCTGCCTGACACGCAGGGCTGTGGAGAGAGAGAGAGGCTGCCTGACACGCAGGGCTGTGGAGAGAGAGAGAGGCTGCCTGACACGCAGGGCTGTGGAGAGAGAGAGATGCTGCCTGACACGCAGGGCTGTGGTGTGAGAGAGAGGCTGCCTGACACGCAGGGCTGTGGAGAGAGAGAGGCTGCTGGGGTGCGACTGCTTAGAAACAGGAACGATCTTGGTAGCTCCGGAGAAAAGGTGACAGCAATCCTGGCCGATGCCCATGCCCCACCCTCCACCTGACCTGTGGGGTCATTTCATCTGAAGTGCAGCCAGCAGGCGGGTTGGAGTCACTGATGAGTGCCCCCCGGGCCAGGCCCATGCAAGGCAGCACTGGGAAGCGGGCACAGCTCTTCTAAAGGGTGCTAAAGACAGGCTTTTCCTTCTCTTAGCCCCTCCCACCCCTGGGAGCCCAAAAGTCCTTCAGGGCAGAGTAGGGAGCCAGGGGAGCTGCCCTGCTTGAGAAGAGAAGCAAGTTTTATACACTGGGATGGAGCGTGTTAGTGAAACCAACACCCCAACTGGAACAGGCAGTCACACAGGCCAGGTGTAAAATCCCACACAGTACTCACAGCCATTGAGCAACCCTCATTTATATGTTTATGATAAATAAAGCATGAGGTAATGTGAGGCTTGAATTTCAGCTTGAGTCCAAAGAAATAATATTCTCTCACTAGGAGGCTAAAGCTGCTTTGCCTAATTTCGATTTTTGAAAAGTCCACTGCATTAAAAAAAAATAATGAATTTGCTTTTCATTAAAGCTAGATTAGTACAACAATTGGGCAGTTGTTGATATTCAGTTTACTTTCTGTGGGCAGGAAATGGACACTTCTTGTTTAGCATTTCAAGATAAAAACTCATGGAACAGGTAGGGCTTTCTGGGTGATTGCATTCCTTCTGTGAGTTAGGGAAGGAGGAGGTCAAAAATGCCACTTATGCGTAGGACTCTTCAATGCTTCAACATTCTGATGGGCTAACCTGATTCTTTTTTTTTTTTTTTTTTTGAGACAGAGTCTTGCTCTGTCTCCCAGGTGGGAGTGCAGTGGCACAATCTCGGCTCACTGCAAGCTCCTCCTCCTGGGTTCAACTGATTCTCCTGCCTCAGCCTCCCGAGTAGCTGGGACTACAGGCACCCGCCACCATGCCTGGCTAATTTTTTTGTATTTTTAGTAGAGATGGGGTTTCACCGTGTTAGCCAGGATGGTCTCCATCTCCTGACCTCGTGATCGGCCCGCCTTGGCCTCCCAGAGTGCTGGGATTACGGGCGTGAGCCACCGTGCCTGGCCACTAACGTGATTCTTAAAGGGAGCCTGGGCTTTGGCTCAGTATTTCAAATCCTCCGCCCTGTCCACTTCCTGTACCCCTAGGAAGGACAGCACAGTTATCTGTTTCACCTACAAACTTTAGTATATAACTATGTACACAACTGTTGAAATTCATGTGGATGCGGTAGCCACGTCTCCTTGTGGATGGGCAGGACTATTCTCAAAGCCGGCTCTGCGTGTGCGTCCTGGCTGGCCGCTTTGTTGCTCAGAGCTCCGGCTGTGATGCTGAGGGTGTGTGTGTGTGCTCTGCAGCTGAGCGTAAGCGACCACAGGCTTAGAGAGGTGCGGGATCCGACGGGCTCGTCGCCCCTCCCTGCTGAGGAAGGGAGATTGTCCTTGCTGTTCTCTGTCACCCACGACCTTAGACTTCATGGGCCCAACTTGGTCTTCAAACGACTTGAAAGTTGCAAATTTCCTTACGTCTCCGAGCTTCCTACTGATGGCAGAGCCCACCATGGACAGGGCCGCTGAGGTCTCTGTCTTGGTTGAGGTCTTCTGTCTTGCTGTGGGAGCATTTCCTGAGTCTTGCAGAGATCCGGGTGGGCCACTTTCTCATTCCACTTCCACATTTCTCAGAAGTCTTCACATAGGCGTTAGAGAGGGTTCCGTTTCAGCCTCCAAGGCAGAGAGGCCCAGCCTCCTCTCAAGCTCTCCACAGTCCCCCTCCTTGGCTGCCAGCACTGGTGTAGAGTGACAGTTTCCTCATCCGTCTTGGTAGCTGGGCCCTGAGCTCTTCCTCCTCAGCCTCTGTCAGACCCTCAACAGCAGTAGCCTGGGCAGCCCCACCTGTGTCAACAGGGACATTGGTCATGGAGTTGGACGGCAGGCCTTTGTGAGGAGAATTCGGGTTGACATCTTGGCTGGCGGCGTCTGTGTTCAGGCAGTCATGGGCCGCGGTGCGGGCGCTGTGGGAGCCGAGTGATGGGCTGTGGGAGCCGAGCAGGCAGCAGCAGGGTTGCTCACTGCACGCACGCTGCCCGGGAGCTGCCTCTGCTGGCTGTTTTAATAGGAATGGTAGCCAGTATTGTAGTTTAAGAAAGATTTGTGAGGCCGGGTGCAGTGGCTCACGCCTGTAAACCCAGCACTTTGGGAGGCCGAGGCAGGCGGATCACGAGGTCAGGAGATCGAGACCATCCTGGCTAACACGGTGAAACCCCGTCTCTACTAAAAATACAAAAAATTAGCTGGGCGTGGTGGCGGGCACCTGTAGTCCCAGCTGCTGGGGAGGCTGAGGCAGGAGAATGGCGTGAACCCGGGAGGCGGAGCTTGCAGTAAGCCCATATCACGCCACTGCACTCCAGCCTGGGCGACAGAGTGAGACTCTGTCTCAAAAAAAAAGTCTATAGTGCTTACTATCTGGTCCTTGTCCAAGAAAGCTTGCCAGCCCCTGGACAGAAGGATGGAGTACAGGTAGCGTGGTGGTATATGCAAACATCCAGACCTTTTTGGGGTCGTGTGAGAGAGTTGTAAGGGATACCTCTAGTGGGTGATGGCGGGAGGGAGCTGTAGGAGGACATTTGCGGGTGACCTAGGCTGTGTTGCCAGGGAGTGGAGGCGGGGGTGTCAGTGCAGGCCGCAGGGTCCATGATGAGTTTTTCTTCCCTGTGCAGAAGCTTAGGGATGGCTGCCATGGCATACGATGCCACCGGACACTTCACAGCCAGAATCTTGGTAATCAGAGGTGACGAGAGAAGGTGTTTCTGGCTGTGCTAGGTGTAAATGAATTCTGTTTTCTACACGGTGCAGTGGAGCTGCCTGTGGGATGTCCAAGTGAGGTGACTGGGAGGGAGTTGGCCCTTCAGGTCTTGGGCTCAGGGGCACTGTTGACCATGAGGCCCGCTGGTCTGTAGGCCACAGTTGAAGGTGACATTGAGACTGCCCAGAGCATAAGGAAGGATAGAGGTGCAGCTGTGGGAGCTCCAGGCAGATGGTGTGGAGACCTGTGACACCATCCGGGGAAGGAGGGCGTGACGCAGCGTCATGGACGGAGACCTGGGTTCCCAGCCAGGGCGCGATGCAGCATCGTCAGCAGTGAAAAAAATTTCGTTTACTGTGGTGTCACAGGCCGCAGAGACTTCTTTGAGTACAGACCAAATTCGTGCGCTTTGCTTTATTCTGGTTGTGGTCCTCATCTGTGTATTTCACTTCCTGGGCATGTTTTACATGACATTGTACTGGGCCCTGAATGGTTAAAGCTGCTGTTCACTGTTTATGGAGAATTTAAGCTCCTCCAGGGTCTGGGCACCCAGGTCAGTATGCTAAGCTCAAGCCTTGGCACGAAGTGGGTATGTGCTAGAATGCCAATTATTTTTCCATTATAAAAGCAGAGTCTTTTATGGCCTTTTTGTTTGTGAGTCTTTTTTTTTTTAAAAAAGTATAAGCCAGGCTCGGTGACTCACACCTGTAATCCCAGCACTTTGGGAGGCAAAGGCAGGTGGATCACCTGAGGTCAGGAGTTCGAGACCAGTCTCACCAATATGGTGAAACCCCATCTCTACTAAATATTAAAAAAAAAAAAAAAATAGCTGGGTGTGGTGGCGGGTGCCTGTAGTCCCAGGTACTGGGGAGCCTGAGGCAGGAGAATCGGTTAAACCCGGGAGGCAGAGGTTGCAGTGAGCCAAGATCACGCCAGTGAGACTCCGTCTCAAAATAAATAAATGAATGAATGAATGAATGAATATGTATTTTCACCTTAGAGCAACCTCATGAGACAAGTGTGAATAATTGTACTTCCTCTGCACCTTTTTTCAGGGCTATGACACACCGTTGCATTTTGCTTGTAAGTTTGGAAATGCAGATGTAGTCAACGTGCTTTCGTCACACCATTTGATTGTAAAAAACTCAAGGAATAAATATGATAAAACACCTGAAGATGTAAGTACTTATTACAATGCAGTTGCTATCTAGAGTTAGAAATGGAAATATATAAATTTACAGTCTGTGATCACAGGCACAGGGAAGCCACAAGGAGCTCTGTATGAGTTGTGTTTGCTTTATGGGCACATGTTAGAACCTTGGCTGTTGAGTAAGATGCACTTTGTGAAGAAGATGCATCTGTAGAACCAGGAGGGAAGGAACTGACGCAGTTTGCTGATTTTATTTTCCTAAAACTGGCAGTCAGTTGCTTTGAACAGCTCACAGTCTTTTATCAAGTTCCCTCTCTGAACACATCAGTTGACCAGAGTCAGAGAGAACAGAGGTGGTGATGGTGGTGGTGATGATGATGGTGATGGTGATGATGGTGGTAGTGAGGATGATGGTGGTGAGGATGGAGATAGCAATGATCATGGTGGTGTTGGCAGTGGTGGTGATGATGGTGACGATGGTGGTAAGGATGATGATGCTGAAAGCAGCTAAATTGTATTCAGCTCAGTGTGCACCAGGTGCTGTGCTAAGCTTCTCACACATACATACTCATCGGACCCAGACAAGCCTTCAGTCAGGCCTCGTCATGATCCTGAGCAGTTGAGCAAAGTGCACCTTGCAGAGGGCAGAAGTATATTCTGTGCCCACAAAGTGCAAGAAGTATCTGGACCTTCTGAGAACTGAAAGATGAGTTTGATTTTTCTGTGTATTACAGCTGTGAGCTGTCCCTTGTCTAGCAGCCCTTTAGAAATAAAAGCTATAAGGATCTTCTGGTGGCAGTGGCCTCTCCCACACCCCTTCTGTAATTGCTGTTATTACATAAGCTATACATCCACTTGCCATAGAAAACTTAAAATACTGCTTGATCAAAAAGAATAAAATTCACCAGAAAATTCTACAACTGAGAAATTGCTATTATTTTGCATACATGTGATTCTTTTTGTGTGTGTGTGTGTGTGTGTGTGTGTGTGTGTGTGTATCTGTACTTCAACATAAGAATGGCATTTGGTAACCAACTTAAAACTCCTGGCATTTTAAAAAGCATTTGACTTTTTAAAGCTCACAATCAGGTACAGACTCAAAAATGTAGTTGCATTCATAGTTTTAATTAGTTTCTCTCATAGGCTGGTTCCTTTCTTTCCTTTTATTTGAAGGTTGTTGGTTTTTCTATAGTTTCTAGCAAAAGTTCGTATTGCTGCAATTCTTCAAGGGCTGAGAAAGTTGATTTCTTTAGTGGCAAAAATAGAACTTTGATGTTCCGTGTTACTTAGGAGCTCCACCTTGACCCAGCCTCACAACAAAAAGTTTGTGTATGACCAGGCTTCCTGTAAGTGGAACTCAACCAACCAAGAAGGTTAGAAACATGTTCACGTGCTTCTGCTTTTACTCGATGCGCTGGTACCTTTTCCTCTCCTTGCAGACAGTTAGAAAATGTCGAGTAGCGCAAACAAGAAGTAAATTTACCCATAATCCCAGAGTGTGTTCTCCTAGCTGTCTCCTTAGACTTTTAGAAAGACCACACTCTTCACACGTTTTCTGAGTGTGAGCTTTATTAAATCTTTAGCATTAAGATACTATTCTACTTTACTGAGTTTAAAACTATTTTTCTGAAATCATTGTAATGATAAGGAAATGTTGCGATCAAATAAGATTTAGACACACTTTTTTTTCCAATAGGTAATTTGTGAAAGAAGCAAAAATAAATCTGTGGAACTGAAGGAGCGGATCAGAGAGTATTTAAAGGGTAAGATGGGGAGTTGGTGCCTGGATCGTGGGGTCCACGCCGGGAAGGGCCTTGGAGCGTTGGGGGACACAGCAGAGCTTTGCTTTCCTGAGCTCCCCGGGCGTGTGCCGGCTCCCCTCGGAAGCCTCTCCTCGGGATCATCCTTTCTTCTCCTGAGCTCTCCTAGCTCATTTGCCACCTTTTTTCTGTTATCCCTTCTCTGAAGTCTTGTATCTGTTCCTTGAGCTTTCTGTGAGAGAACTTTTTTGAGGTTGTGTGTCGCTGCCTGTTGCTGGTGGCCTCATCCCTGGATCCATCGGTCTCTCTCGCAGTAGCTTCATTGTGATGGCTTCTCTTCAGGTGGAGCCTGCAGTTGGCAAAGAACAGCTCAGGGAGAGGCAGGGTCCAGAGCTCCTTGGCTGGGTGGCTGGCCTGGCTTTTGTGTGTCTCTTTGCCTGTGTTGGGGTGGGGGTCGCTCCCTGTCACTCCTTCGATTCTGAAGCTGCCTCCTTCCTCCTCCTGTACTCCTGGTGCACGCCCAGGCTCCTGTCTTGGCTCCGGGACACTCCCTCCCCACTCGCCTCCGGGACGTTCCCTCCCCACTCGCCTCTGGGAGAGAGGCCTTTGCTTTCTGGGCCGCCCTCTTCTAGTCAGCAGCTTCTAGTTGTTGGCCCCTGTGCCTTGCGGTTTGTAGGTGCCAGGCATGTGAAAACGGCTGGTTTCAGGGATGGCTTTTCCCTGCCATCTTCCTCTGTTTTCAGTGAATTTTGGAAGATGACACTTCTAGAAGCGCCTCTTCTTTGCCATCTTAGCTCGAAGTCTGGAGCTTCTGCTTGCTGGTGAGATTGAAGCAGACGCTGAGGTCCTTTCACCCACCTGCCTGCTTTCCTCTCTCTCGGATTCCATTCCTATCCAAAACTCTGTCTCTATTTAAAGCAGGGTCCGCAAATGACTGCTTTTAAAAATAAAATTTTATCAGCATAAAGCTGTCACCACCATTTGCACACTGTCCGGGTTCTTTCCCAGCACACAGTGACTTGTGGCCTACTGAGCCTAATTATTTACTGTCTGACATTTTATAGAAGTTTACCAAGCGTGATCTAAGGTGTGAAGAGCCTCTGCTTGTCCCCTGATCTGTTCCCGTCCTAGGTATAATTTATTAATTACACTTCTTCAGTGTGTGTAGCTGTGCACAGGAAATGAATCCTGCATGCTGTTAGCGGCGAGAGTTCCTCCTCAGGGCCGTTGAGGCGTCGCTGCAGAGGCCCAGCCGGAACCTTCAGAGGCCCTGGGAACACACAGCTATGTTGCCAGAACATCCCTGAAGAGCCGAGAGTCTGCTCCGGATTTTCAAACCACACTGTCAGAAATGCTTTGCAACGCTGACATTAAGCATTGCTTTGTGATGGTATTTAGGAAGCAATTCTGTCTGAGAGATCCTTGCCTATGTGTGACAGTAAAACACTGTCGCCTCTAAGATCTGCCCCAGCAGCTGTTTGCTGAGGAGAAGGCAGCTCTGTGAGATCCATGTTCCTGTGGGCTGAGCTACACGGCACCTCCAGAGCTCCTACACCTCCTTCCTGGTCCTTCTGAGGCTCATGCGAAGCCCAGGCATGGTCAGCATCTGTGGTCACGCTGGGGCCTCGGTCACGTTGTAGCTTCACATGCCACAGAGCCTGCTACAGGGCTGGCTGCATCCTGCATCCCACCCTTCCCGTCACTCAGAGAGAGACCCACGCTTGTGTGAAGATGAGGAAGGACTCTAAAGTGTTATGAGAGACAAATAGGATCAGAAAGCCAGGCACAAAACTGTCCAGAGACCGTGAGTCCCATCTGTAGACAGAAATTGTTAAAAGGGACTCAAATCAATATGCCAAAAAAGTAAACATTAGTATTTTATGAGTAAAGTGTAGGTAAATTGTACCGTATACCTACCATGCACCCTATACTGTACATACTGTATGTCTTCTTTTCCTGTGCCACTGAAAGAGGGAAAAAACTGCCAATTAACCTGTAAAATGCCAACATACATAGGATGCATCCAAATATAAGATAGTAATATGTAAGACAGAGTATTTGAATTGCCCTAATTTTCAGTATGGAAAATTAGTACTCTTGAATGGAAATTCTTCAGTACCTTCAGTACTCTTGAATGGAAATTGTCGTACTTTTTCTTAACTTTCATTTTAGGTTCAGGGGTAAGTGTGCAGGTTTGTTATATAGGTAACCTGCATGTCACCGGGGTTTGGGGTACGGATTATTTCACCTGGTGATCAGTATAGTACCCAGGAGGTAGTTTTTCCATCCTCTCCCTCCTCCTCACTCCCTCCACCCTCAACCAGGCCCTGCTGACTTCTTGTTCCTTCTTTGTGTCCATGTGTGCTCAGCGTTTGGCTCCCACTCATAAGTGAGAGCCATGTTTGGTTTTCTTGCCTGTGTCAGTTCCCTTAGGGTCATGGCCTCCAGCTCCAGCCATGTTACTTCAGAGGACATGATCTTGTTCTTAATATCCTGTGGTATATATGTACCACATTTTCTTTATCCAGTTGACCGTTGATGGGCATACAGCACTTTTACAATTAGAAAAAAATTAAAAGCATAAAAACTATGATAAGCAGCCGGGTGCGGTGGCTCATGCCTGTAATCCCAGCACTGTGGGAGGCCGAGGCAGGCGGATCACAAGGTCAGGAGATCGAGACCATCCTGGCTAACACGGTGAAACCCCGTCTCTACTAAAAATACAAAAAATTAGCCAGGTGTGGTGGTGGGCACCTGTAGTCCCAGCTACTTGGGAGGCCGAGGCAGGAGAATGGTGTGAACCCGGGAGGTGGAGCTTGCAGTGAGCCGAGATCACACCACCGCACTCCAGCCTGGGTGACAGAGCGAGACTCTGTTTCCAAAAAAAAAAAAAACTATGAAACTATGATAAGCCTTTAACATAAGAAATTCCCAGGCATTCCAGAGTAGCATGATTGACTGTAAAGGAAGCCTCTTGACTCTGGGTCTCCAGGAGCTGGGTTTGAAAGCAGGACGAGGTGGTGTGTGGCCTCCGTGCAACCTACAGAACCTCACGACACTATCCTATATGGCTTGACTGCGCTGTCCCGTGGGACCTGAAGACACTACTCTTCCTTGTGCTTTTTCCATACTCACATCCAAGTGCCGTGTGATTCCAGATCTGTTGAGAGATGCGTATTCAGTGATGCAAATTGTAAAGTACAAGAGAAGCAGGACTGAGAAGCGAGGAGGCCGGGCACAGCGGCCCACACCTGTGATAAACTACAAGAGAAGCAGGATTGAGAAGCAGGATTGAGAAGCGAGGAGGCCGGGCACAGCAGCCCACACCTGTGATAAACTACAAGAGAAGCAGGACTGAGAAGCGAGGAGGCTGGGCACAGCGGCCCACACCTGTAATCCCAGAACTTTTGGAGGTGGAGGTGGAATGATCACTTGCATCCAGCAGTTCGAGACCAGCCTGGGCAACAGAGCAAGACCCCATCTCTACAAAAAGTAAAAATTAGCCGGGTGTGGTGGCGCATGCCTGTGGTCCCAGCTACTCAAGAGGCTGAGGTGGGAGGATCCCTTGAGCCTGGGAGTTCGAGGCTGCAGTGAGCCATGATTGCACCACAGCACTCCAGCCTGGGTGACAGAATGAGACTCTGTCTGAAACTAAGAGGAGAAAAAAAGGAGAGAAGGAATAAAATATTACTTTTTTTTGTTTTTTTGAGACAGATTCTCACTCTGTCGCTCAGGCTGGAGTGCAGTGGCGTGATCTCGGCTCACTGCAACCTCCACCTCCCAGGTTCAAGTGATTCTCCTGCCTCAGCCTCATGAGTAGCTGGGGTTACAGGCACCCACCACCACACCCGGCTAATTTTTGTATTTTTAGTAGAGATGGGGTTTCATCATGTTGGCCAGGCTGGTCTTGAACTTCTGACCTCAGGTGATCCACACACCTCAGCCTTCCAAAGTGGTAGGATTACAGGCGTGAGCCACCGCACCCGGCTGGAATGAAATATAACATTTTTAAAATGTATTAAGCTCCTACTGTGTGCTACTCTTATTCACTCAGGTCCGACCCCTTAGTCCTTTAACTACCTGGGGCTTCCTTTTCTTTTCTTTCTTTTCTTGTAGCAGTGGAGGAAAATGAGGCTGGTTAAGTGAAGTGAGCTCTGAGACCTTGTGTGACTTTGTTTCCATTGTATCCATTTGCATTAAGTGCAGTGAGCTCTGGCGGAAACCACCCTCTGCCCCGTCTGTTGGATCCATTTGCAGAGGCCTTGGCAAGGGCTCGCGTGATCCCCGTCCTGCTCACCCAGGCCTGACCTGCGGAGGGGGCGGAAGCCTGCAGCCAGTGCCTGTCTCCTCCCTCAGGCCACTACTACGTGCCCCTCCTGAGAGCGGAAGAGACTTCTTCTCCAGTCATCGGGGAGCTGTGGTCCCCAGACCAGACGGCTGAGGCCTCTCACGTCAGCCGCTATGGAGGCAGCCCCAGAGACCCGGTACTGACCCTGAGAGCCTTCGCAGGGCCCCTGAGTCCAGCCAAGGTGAGCTGCTGTAGAAGCTTCTGGAAGTGGTGCCTGGCTGTCCCTATACTGTGCTGCTGGGTGTTCCAGCCTGTTGCCTTGTGCGTGGTCTCAGGGACCATGTCCTGTGGAGCCCCAAGGTTGTCCTCATCTCAAACCATCCACCAGTGATTGGTGATGAGAACGTTTGTCAGAGAAATGTGTGTTCTTGGCTCTGTGGCTTGCTTACCAGGGCCGATGTGCTGGGAGCCACTGTCTCAACAAAGCAGACATTCCCTGGGCCAGCCCCGTCCTGTGCGCGTGTCGCCCTGTTCTTGCTGTGTTGATGGCCCGTCCTAGGCACCTTGCTGGTGTAGCGAGGCTGCCCGTTGTGACTAGGAAAGCTCCATCTGCACGTCCACCTCCTGACCACGTTTCCCTGTGGCTGCAGCCCCCGCTGGCTTCCTCTCAGACAAGTCCCTCTCCTGGAAGCCTCAGCCCCAGGTTCTACTCATCCCCAGTGTTCAGAGAAATCCTTAATGGTGGTGTTGCTGGGTCAAAGGTTGTACACTTTTTTATTTACAGTTGACAATTCTTTCTCCTGTTGGAATACTTCACACACTGACCTGCACGCACCATCCTGTGCTAGAAACTTTCTAAATCAGTTGCGATGAAAACGGCTCCAGGCCGGGCGCCGGGACGCATGCCTGAAATCCCAGCACTTTGGGAGGCCGAGGCGGGTGGATCACGAGGTCAGGAGATCGAGACCATCCTGGCTAACACGGTGAAACCCGTCTCTACTAAAAATACAAAAAATTAGCCGGGCGTGGTGGTGGGCGCCTATAGTCCCAGCTACTCGGGAGGCTGAGGCAGGAGAATGGCCTGAACCCCGGAGGTGGAGCTTGCAGTGAGCCGAGATCGTACCACTGCACTCCAGCCTGGGCGACAGAGCGAGACTCCGTCTCCAAAACAAAAAAGAAAATGGCCCCAAAATTAGGTGGTATCAGGTAAGGTTAGGTGAGATGCATAAAGCATAAAGCTCTAGGGAGAGTGACTGAGAAAGATCTGGTTTCTTCTCCTGCGATGGGAGCAGTGTCACATGTGCGTCGGGGTGGCAGCTCCGAGCCGTCCACTGTCCTCAGGGTGAGGCCTCGTGCTCGGGCCCTCCTGGTTCTGAACCTCACAGCCCAGACGGGGCTGCAAGAAAGGAGACCGCCTCCCCTCCCCCAGGTCAGAGTGCAGCCGTGCGGCCACTCAGCCATGCCACAGGTGGGCACGTGGCCCAGGGATCTGCTAGTGAAGGGGAGAGAAGGAAGGGTGTGCGGAGACAGGCAGCTACTGCGATGACGACGGCTCTTCAGGTTTCCGCAGCTGAGGGGCGCAGTGCCTGACACGGCTCAATACATTTTTTTTTCTTCATAGGCAGAAGATTTTCGCAAGCTCTGGAAAACTCCACCTCGAGAGAAAGCAGGCTTCCTTCACCACGTCAAGAAGTCGGACCCGGAAAGAGGCTTTGAGAGAGTGGGAAGGTACTGAAAGGCTGAGCCGCAGCAGCGTGGGGCACACAGTTGGTTGCATTTTGATTAATGACAGAAGGTCAAATCACAGCTTCAAAGTACCAATTTCCAGAAGGCTTTTCTGGGAGACTTGGTCCTTTTCGTGAAGGTCTAATTCCTTGTGGATGTTGTGGAATTCTAGCTTAAGCCAGTCCCGTCCCAGACCTGGGGGATGTCTGCAGTGCCTTCCTTTCCTTTTCTAATTGGAATTCCTTGTTGGTTCTGGGACATGTTTCTAAGGAACCTTAATATTTTATAGAAGGTACCATATAATGCTATGGATTCCTTGGGAAAAAATAGGCCATAGCCACAAAGCTAAATTATGCTGTAATCAAATAAAGCTTCGTGGAATTGTTTAGAATATTTTCTCAAAATATGTGCCCAGTGTCAGGTGTACAACTGGAACCCAGAAAGGACCTCCAGGCTTTCGTGTGCCTGGCCATGACTAGAACCACGGGCAAGTTCACAGGGCTGTTCCGTGATCATGAACACGTCCGTCTGTGGGAGTTGAACTGTGTGACCTGGGTTGCTGGCGTGAGGGTCTGTCGGGCTGAGGCCTCCTTCCTGCCTGCAGCCGGTTCACGGCTCCTGAGAGCTGTGCCGGGTCCTGCTTACCTGTGAGGAGGCGTGCTGTTTCAGAAAATGCACCGTATGATTTCAGCTGCCAGTTAAGGATAAAGGAAAATTATAACCATGATTGCAGACATTGCTTTGGTACTTGAAGCTTTAGTGGCTTTTTTCTGTGTAGTTCTGAGTATTTTTTCTGGTTTCACAGCTGGTTAATTGTGTTTTGTTTCTTACAGGGAGCTAGCTCATGAGCTGGGGTATCCCTGGGTTGAATACTGGGAATTTCTGGGCTGTTTTGTTGATCTGTCTTCCCAGGAAGGCCTGCAAAGACTAGAAGAATATCTCACACAGCAGGAAATAGGCAAAAAGGCTCAACAAGAAACAGGAGAACGGGAAGCCTCCTGCCGAGATAAAGCCACCACGTCTGGTAAGCATGTGCAGGCGTGGCTGTGGCAGCTGGGAGGGGCCCCCCATGGCCGGGGTCTGACGGGATGCGCACATCTGTTTCTCGTCTCTTGGTGTTTTTAACGTAAAGGTCTGGTACTTTCCCTTAGGTTAGTATTTTTTGAGACGGAACCTCTCTTTGTTACCCAAGCTGGAGTGCAGTGGCGCAATCTTGGCTCACTGCAACCTCCACCTCCTGGGTTCAAGCGATTCTTCTGCCTCAGCCTCCTGAGTAGCTGGGACTACAGGCGCCCGCCACCACGCCTGGCTAATTTTCGTATTTTTTTTTTTTTTAGTGGAGATGCGGTTTCACCGTATTGACCAGGCTGGTCTCGAACTCCTGACCTCGTGATCCACTAGAGTGCTGGGAAGGTTAATGTTAAATGGGTTGTGTGTCGGGGAGGGTACATGAAAAATAATGGCATCGCTTTGAGCAGTATTGCTGTTTCTGCTTGTGTTTGCATTATCCAAAATCTAATATAGTTTCATTCTGTGCCGTTTTCTCAAAACTCATAATAGCTGAACTCCATTGGCTGAGCCTGATATTTTAGATTTGGTATATTTTCAGGAAAAAGACGAGTGCACATCAGAATACTGGTGTATATCAGACACCAGGGCACGAAGCGCCTTGCACGGTGCGTATCAGACACCAGGACGCAGAGCGCTTCACACAGTGCATATCAGACACCAGGACGCAGAGCGCTTCACACAGTGTATTTCAGACACCAGGACGCAGAGAGCTTCACACGGTGCATTTCAGACACCAGGATGCAGAGTGCTTCACACGGTGCATTTCAGACACCAGGATGCAGAGCGCTTCACACGGTGCATATCAGGCACCAGCACGCAGAGAGCTTCACACGGTGCATATCAGACACCAGGACGCGCAGTGCTTCACACGGGGTATATCAGACACCAGCACGCAGAGAGCTTCACACGGTGCATATCAGACACCAGGACGCAGAGAGCTTCACACGGTGCCTGTCAGACACCAGGACGCAGAGCGCTTCACACGGTGCATATCAGACACCAGGACGCAGAGAGCTTCACACGGTGCACGTCAGACACCAGGACGCAGAGAGCTTCACACGGTGCATATCAGACACCAGGACGCGCAGTGCTTCACACGGTGCATATCAGACACCAGGACGCAGAGAGCTTCACACGGTGCATATCAGACACCAGCACGCAGAGAGCTTCACACGGTGCATATCAGACACCAGGACGCGCAGTGCTTCACACGGTGCATATCAGACACCAGGACGCAGAGAGCTTCACACGGTGCGTATCAGACACCAGCATGCAGAGCGCTTCACGGTGCATATCAGACACCAGGACGCAGAGCGCTTCACACAGTGCATATCAGACACCAGGACGCAGAGCGCTTCACACAGTGTATTTCAGACACCAGGACGCAGAGAGCTTCACACGGTGCATATCAGACACCAGGATGCAGAGCGCTTCACACGGTGCATTTCAGACACCAGGATGCAGAGCGCTTCACACGGTGCATATCAGACACCAGCACGCAGAGGGCTTCACATGGTGCACGTCAGACACCAGGACGCAGAGAGCTTCACACGGTGCATATCAGACACCAGGACGCGCAGTGCTTCACATGGTGCATATCAGACACCAGGACGCAGAGAGCTTCACACGGTGCATATCAGACACCAGGACGCAGAGAGCTTCACACGGTGCGTATCAGACACCAGCACGCAGAGCGCTTCACGGTGCGTATCAGACACCAGGACGCAGAGAGCTTCACACGGTGCGTATCAGACGCCAGGACGCGCAGTGCTTCACACGGTGCATATCAGACACCAGCATGCAGAGAGCTTCACACGGTGCGTATCAGACACCAGCACTCAGAGAGCTTCACACGGTGCATGTCAGACACCAGCACGCAGAGAGCTTCACACGGTGCATATCAGACACCAGGACGCAGAGAGCTTCACACGGTGCGTATCAGACACCAGCACGCAGAGCGCTTCACAGTGCGTATCAGACACCAGGACGCAGAGAGCTTCACACGGTGCGTATCAGACACCAGGACGCAGAGAGCTTCACACGGTGCGTATCAGACACCAGGATGCAGAGCGCTTCACACGGTGCGTATCAGACACCAGGATGCAGAGCACTTCACACGGTGCGTATCAGACACCAGGACGCAGAGCGCTTCACACGGTGCGTATCAGACACCAGGATGCAGAGCGCTTCACACGGTGTATATCAGACACCAGGACGCAGAGCGCTTCACATGGTGTATATCAGACACCAGGACGCAAACGCAAAGCGCTTCACACGGTGCACATCAGACACCAGCATGCAGAGAGCTTCACACGGTGCATATCAGACACCAGGACGCAGAGCGCTTCACACGGTGCATATGAGACACCAGGACGCAGAGCGCTTCACACGGTGTATATCAGACACCAGGACGCACACGCAAAGCACTTCACACGGTGCATATCAGACACCACGATGCAAAGTGCTTCCAAAGCACAGATGCACTGAATGGAAAGAGCATGATGGAAGAGGTTAATCTACAAAATCTAAAAGTGATTCATAAAAACATCAACGATGGCCGGGCACGGGAGCTCAGGCCTGCAATCCCAGCGGCCGGGCGTGGCGGCTCACACTATAATCCCAGCACTTAGGGAGGCCAACGTGGGTGGATTGCTGAAACCCAGGAGTTCGAAGGCAGCTTGAGCAACATAGTGAGACTCTGTCTCTATTTATTTTTTTAAAAAAACAGAAATTTGCTAATAACTAGAGATTCGAATCTGCTAAAATACAAATTAAAGCAGATATACAGTTTAAACTGTGTGTGTGTGTGTGTGAGTGTGTGTCTGTGTGAGTTTGTGTGTGTAAGGTCATAATAGAACCATTAGCCCGCAAGACACTTCATTTATAAAACAAACTCCCTGGAATGATAGAAAATGAAAATGATTGACATACATTAAACTAAGAAGCAGTGAATCTTCAACAGTCACGACCTGTGACTCTGAACCACAGAACTAGAGCGACGTCAGTGCCGTCGTTATACAGGAATCATTGAAGTCTGACCTTGCTGTGTTGTAGCTGATGGTGGCACAGAACTCACTTCTGTAAAGCGGCCTCATTTACAGTGTTGTCTTGTGACTATGTACATTTTAATTAGTAAATATTAAATAAAGTTGAGGCATTTCCTAAGTAGCAGGAGCCACAGCTCAAGTGTTCTGGATCCTCCTGTGGCCGCGGCCACCATCGTGAACACCAAACGGGACATTTCTGTTGCCTGTCGCACAGTGCTGCGCCCGGGAGCTCTTCTGTGTTATCTTCACACCTAAAGCGCAGCAGGGTTACTTCATGGAGTTGTTCTGGACGATCTTCGGGATCCTCTGGGGCACTGTGACACTCGGAGCCCCTGGGGTCGCAGCAGATCGGAGCTGGAGGGTGGCTGGGGGTGCAGGGCAGTCATCTCGCCCATCACCTGGGCTGCCCTTGGCGTTTTCATGTCCCTGCCTTTGAAAGAAAAGTCAGCCTGGCAGCTTTATTTCCCTCCTCGTCTGAAATAGGGTCTCACTCTGTGGCACAGGATGGAAAGCAATGGTGCAGTCACAGCCCACTGCAGCCTCCCCCTCCTGGGCTCAAGCGATCCTCCCACTTGAGCCTCCCAAATAGCTGAGACTACAGGTGCGTGCCACCATGTCAGCTAATTTTTCTATAGAGAACGGGGTTTCGCTATGTTGCCCAGGCAGTCTTGAACTCCTGGGGTCCAGCGACCCCCCTGCCATGGCCTCCCAGAGTGCTGGGATTGCAGGCGTGAGCTTCTGTGCCTGGCCCCAGCAGCCTGATTGTGTCTGGAGGGTCCTGTTTGCCCTTTTCCAGGGAGTCGTGTGGGTGGTTTTCCATCCTGAAATCTGATGAGGAGGTTTTGGATGCAAGAGTTGCTGTTGCTGGGGTCACGGCAGTTGGTCGCGGATGGAGTGGGGAGGTTTTGGGTATAAGAGTTGCTGTTGCTGGGGTCACGGCAGTTGGTCATGGATGGGGCGGAGCAGCTCCGTGGCTTCCTGTCGTTCCCATCACTGAAGTGCTCCTTGTTGTCCTCACAGGCAGCAATTCCATTTCCGTGAGGGCGTTTCTAGATGAAGATGACATGAGCTTGGAAGAAATAAAAAATCGGCAAAATGCAGCTCGAAATAACAGCCCGCCCACAGTCGGTGCTTTTGGACATACGAGGTGCAGCGCCTTCCCCTTGGAGCAGGAGGCAGACCTCATAGAAGCCGCCGAGCCGGGAGGTCCACACAGCAGCAGAAATGGGCTCTGCCATCCTCTGAATCACAGCAGGACCCTGGCGGGCAAGAGACCAAAGGCCCCCCGTGGGGAGGAAGCCCATCTGCCACCTGTCTCGGATTTGACTGTTGAGTTTGATAAACTGAATTTGCAAAATATAGGACGTAGCGTTTCCAAGACACCAGATGAAAGTACAAAAACTAAAGATCAGATCCTGACTTCAAGAATCAATGCAGTAGAAAGAGACTTGTTAGAGCCTTCTCCCGCAGACCAACTCGGGAATGGCCACAGGAGGACAGAAAGTGAAATGTCAGCCAGGATCGCTAAAATGTCCTTGAGTCCCAGCAGCCCCAGGCACGAGGATCAGCTCGAGGTCACCAGGGAACCGGCCAGGCGGCTCTTCCTTTTTGGGTAGGAGTGTGTTGCCCTCTGCACTCACTTTCCTTCCCCACCTTCCCTCCCCCCTCCCCCTCCCCTCACCTCCCCCTCCCCTTCCCCTCCCACCCATCCACTCCCCTCATCTCCCCCTTCCCTCACCTCCCCCTCCCCCTTCCCTCACCTCCCCCTCCCCTTGCCTCCCCTCCCCCTCCTCTCACCTTCCCCTCCCCTCCCCCTCCCCTCCCACCCTCCCATTCCCCTCATCTCCCCCTCCCCTACCCCTCCCCTCATCTCCCCCTCACCTCCCCCTCCCCTATCCCCCCACCCCATCCCCTCGACTCTCCTCTCCTCTCCTTTCTTTCAGATGGAGTCTTGCTCTGTCGCCTAGGCTGGAGTGCAGTGGTGCGATCACAGCTCACTGTAACCTCCACCTCCCAGGTTCAACCAATTCTCCTGCCTCAGCCTCCTGAGTAGCTGGGATTACAGGCGCCTGCCACCACGTCTAGCTGATTTTTGTATTTTTAGTAGAGATGGGGTTTCGCCATATTGGCCAGGCTGGTGTCGAACTCCTGACCTCGTGATCCACCTGCCTCGGCCTCCCAAAGTGTTGGGATCACAGGCGTGAGCCACCGCACCCGGCCTCCACACAAGCTTTTGTGTGGACTTGCCGTGTGCGTTCAGTTCCTGTCTCTGAGTCCAGCTTCTAGATGCTCTTTCTGGGTCTTCCTCTGGTTGGACCGTGGGTGATCCTAGTGTTGGCTGTTATTTGCTAGGGATGTGCCTGCCAGTGGTGTGAATGATCTCTTCTAAATCCTTCTAGGAAGAAAAGCCATCTTGGGGTCAATCTCAATCTAACAGGGGATAAATGTCCCTAACCTTCTGGTACTGAGCACCCTCTGGGGGTGCAAGTATGCAAAACTGCATTTTAACAGCGGGTGGATCCTGCTACCATAGAGAATGCAGGCGTGCACCCAGAGGCGACTCCTCCCTGGCCCCTGCTCTTCTCATCACAGAACAGCGAGTCTGCATCCGCCTCCCTGGCCTTGGGAGATGCCTCCCTCTGCAGAGCTAATGCCCTGACATGCTGCTGCTGGTTCCCTGGTTCCATCTGCTCAGGCCAGATCGATCCTTGCACACTGTTGTTTTGTGTGCTGGGTTCTTGAGTTTAAAATGTAGTGATATTTGTCTGGGTGTGGTGGCTCACGCCTGTAATTCCAGCACTTTGGGAGGCCGAGGTGGGTGGATCACAAGGTCAGGAGTTCAAGACCAGCCTGACCAAGATGGTGAAATCCTATCTCTAATAAAAATACAAAAAATTAGCCGGGCGTGGTGGCAGGCACCTGTAGTCCCAGCTACTCGGGAGGCTGAGGCAGAGAATTGCTTGAACCCGGGAGGCGGAGCTTGCGATGAGCCGAGATCACGCCACTGCATTCCAGCCTGGGCGACAGAGCAAGACTCCGTCTCAAAATAAAAAAAAAAGTAGTGGTATTTTAGAAGTCTTTATGTTTTTACCAAAGATGTTTTTGCTTCTTTTATTGTGCTTTCTAGAGAGGAGCCATCAAAACTCGATCAGGATGTTTTGGCCGCTCTTGAATGTGCAGACGTCGACCCCCATCAGTTCCCGGCCGTGCACAGATGGAAGAGTGCTGTCCTGTGCTACTCACCCTCGGACAGACAGAGGTATGTGGGGCCCGGACAGCCTGTCACCCGCAGGGCAGCTTTTGGAAACTTCTGCAGGGTCCAGTTCCACTTCATGCGAACCTATCAGTGGCTTTTCCCAACGCTGGCAGGCCCGTCAGCCAGGCTGTGGATTTGGGTGTTGTGGCTCTCTGCACACAGGACAGAGCTCTGGTTGGGTGGAAAAGCTGAACGGGTCAGCTCCTGACAAGCTGAGGGCTAGAAGGGTGGAAGCAGCAGGGTTTCTACTCAGATCACACAGGATTCTCCGGGAAACCCCCATGAGCTTGACTCTCCCAGTGCCCGCGGTGCCAGGGTTCAGCAGTGCCTCTCCTCCACCCAGACGCATGTGCCCACGGTGCCAGGGTTCAGCAGTGTGTCTCCTCCGCCCGGGCGCGTGTGCCCGCGGTGCCAGGGTTCAGCAGTGCGTCTCTTCCACCCGGGCGTGTGTGCCCGCGGTGCCAGGGTTCACCAGTGCCTCTCCTCCGCCCGGGCGCATGTGCCTGAGTCTGGGGCCATTATTCTCCGACTTTTGCTGTTCATCTCCGGGCCTGTGCCCGTCTGCTAACAGTTCTTTCTTGCTTTCCGCAGTTGGCCCAGTCCCGCGGTGAAAGGAAGGTTCAAGTCTCAGCTGCCAGATCTCAGTGGCCCTCACAGCTACAGTCCGGGGAGAAACAGCGTGGCTGGAAGCAACCCCGCAAAGCCAGGCCTGGGCAGTCCTGGGCGCTACAGCCCCGTGCACGGGAGCCAGCTCCGCAGGATGGCGCGCCTGGCTGAGCTTGCCGCCCTGTAGGCTTGGCGCTGGGCTCTCGGTTTGTTCTTCATTTTTAAAGAAGGAAGGGTCATATGTTTATTGCTAAACTGTCAAAAAGGAATATATTCTGATTAAATTATTACTCCTCACTTTGAGGGTGTGAGAATTTTAGAAGATTTAAATGTTCTATATAACACTTAGATTTCTGATATTTTGGAAGAAGTTAGAAGTTAATGAAAGCAAACTCAGTTACCAATTTTCTGGAAAATATCCATGTGGTAATGGTAGACTTTTTAGGTGGCAATTTCTAGGTCTGAAATATAGCAGAGGAAAGGGCGCTGAGGCAGTTGCAGGCAGGCAGCCCTGTACTTACCCTGTACTCACCTCATCCGACAGACGCTGTGGATGAGGAGGGGCTTGGCGGAGGCGTGAGCACCGATGTCCCTTTGATAACCTGCACTCACCAAGATGAACTATTTGCCGCCCTGTCTTTTCCTGGGTTGGGGGGTGGCATCTGATGGTGGCAGAGTGCCTGTTGGTTCGCCCGTGGGTCTCATGGTTCAGACAGAGGGAGGTGGACGGCAGGGATCAGGGAGCCAGGAGCGCGCCTCAGACTTGCAGCAACCATTGTGATTTGGGTTGTTCGGAATATTTAAATTACTGATCAGAAGATGAAAGTAGCTTTTCTCTTGGGAAGTCTTGCAGCCCGTGGGAGTGATACCAGGAGCAACACAGAGCTCAGCAGCGGCGCCAAGGTGTTCCCTGTTTCCTCAGCACGTGAGCCTTCACCGCCTGCTTCATTCAGGAGCCAGTGCAGCAGTAATACAGTCTATACATTGTTCTGTTTTCAAATTTATCCTGAGGCTTTGTTGAGCATAAATGATTATACGATAAAGGTATCCGTTATTTTGGAACTCATTTCAGTTGGGATCTCCTGTATGCAGAGTGTTGCATTTAGAGGTTTGAGTCCCATCTTGGTTTCTTGCCGTGCTGACTGTAGCCTTCACCTTGACTTGAATGAAGGTCTGTGGTTGGAATGTGTGAGGAGCCGCTGAGGTGTTCAGGAGGTGCTGCCTGGAGGTCGGTTTCTTCCTGGGTGTTACGGGCAACTGCTCACACAGTTGTTTCTCTGTGAACATTTCCAGTGTTTAATCCAAAATGAAAACCCACCAATGCTTTTGCTAACTTCAGTGCCTTTTATAAATCATTTTTAAATTTCCTGAACTTGCTTTTTGAGGATATACAGGGATATTAAGTAGACGCAGGATTGTTTTTGTTTGTAAAAATTCTGAATTGAAACTTTGTTTTAAAAAAAGGCTTCTTTCTTTCATATGACAAGAGATAGGTCAGGAATATTGGAATCAAGATTTAAATGTTAAAATTCGATTTTGTTACACAGGGTGTGTTCATTTGTTTTGTAGCAGACAAGATCTAGATCCCAGACAGAAACAACACATGCTATTCTAAAAAGCCGCATTTTAAAAGGCACCTTGGTTCTCAAAAGAAATCAGAATATGGATATTCGTAGTGATGATCTGTTTTCTCTAAAATCTTACCATATTGTCTGTATATGGTTGTAAATTCAAATGGAAAGTAAAACGTTTTGGCCCTGATTTTGTATGTGGACCACTGCTCCTGATTTCCCAGGTCTTAGGCCACCTTTGACTGTTTCTCCGTTTGTTTGTGGGCAGCGATTCCAGTCCCAACGGAGGCATTCTCGTGTGTCCCGGGGGGTTATGTCCTTCACAAAACACTTAATGAAATGAATTACTTCAAAACCGCGTGGTAATAATTGCAAGCTTTCGGAAGGATCCCTCACTTGTGCCCAGGCGCACGGCACTGTTTTGGTTGGACGGCCATCAACCTGGGTGCCCTCAGATTCGCTCGCTGTTTTTAAGCCCCTTTCTTGACTCAGTTGTGAAAGATTTTCTGGCATCCGTTAAAAGAGCACAGATTTTACCGTTGCTCTTGGCAGTGGGAAACCTTGGTGACATTAACAGTTGCTGTGGTGGCTTTGGTTGGAAAGTGCCCTTCTCCAGCGTGGTGGCAGCTGTGAGGGAGGCGCCCGGTGAGTCTGCTGCTCGTTTCTGGGTAAAAGCAGCCATGGTGCTGCGTACCAGCCGTGGGAGTGCCAGCGGCGCCATGGCAGGGACCACAGCCAGGTCCTCCAGAGCCGTGTGGATGTTTCCAGAAGCCTGCAGAGTTTTCCCAGGGAAGGGCTGATGGAAACCCTCATTGGGGCCCGGCTGTGCGTGCGGGGTGCAGGCGTGTTTGTCGTGGTTGGAAACCCTGTGACTGCTCCAGCTGCAGATTCCCGCCCGTGCTCCCTCCTTAGAAAAGGCTTTGGGATAAACGTCGGCATGGCGACCCCTGGCAGCTGGCCGCCATCTGGTGGCATTGCCTTTCCCACCAGTCTCATTGAGGCTTCTGGTGTGCAGTTTTCACTTTGGCCAGACAGAGGCTATCGTTACTAACATGTGAGAAGTCTTCAGTCTGTCCCAAACCAGGGGACGGTTTCCATCGTTGACGTCGCTGGGCCCCTGTAACTCACCCAGTCCAGACACCCTCAGCCTTCCCCTCATGCGGCTCCCTCCACGCAGGCGTTCACAACATGCACACTGAAGATCCCTGGGGGCTGCCCTGGTATGGGTCAGCTCCCCACTCCCCAGTCTCCTGCCTGCCCCTCCCTGCCTTCTCCCCCGCCATACCTGCCCTGAGTCCAGCATTCAGAAATTAGACCCCCACCAGCTACCAGCCAAACCGGGAGCCATCCTCACTTTGCTAATCTACGTCCGTCCCACATGCAGAAGACTGGAAAAGGCCATTTAAGGAAGAACCACTTTGAACAGCAGGTATTTTAGAAGGGAAGTCTACCAGGCACAGTGGCTCATGTGCTTTGGGATGCCGAGGTGGGCGGATCACTTGAGGCCAGGAGCTCGAGACCAGTCTAGCCAGCATAGTGAAACCCATCTCTACCACAAATGCAAAAATGAGCCAGGTGCAGTGACGCACACCTGTAGAACGAGCCACTTGGGAGGCTGAGACATGAGAATCGCTTGAGCCTGGAAAGCGGAGGTTGTAGTGAGCCGAGACTGTGGCACCGCACTCCAACCCAGGTGACAGAGCCAGAGTATGTCTCAAAAAAAAAGTTTGCTGGGAATTTACTCTAGAAAAAGAAACTAAAAATTATTTAAAGTTTCATATTCAAGAAACTTAGGTAATCATCTATGGGCATACTACCCCGAGCACACCCAGTCTCTCTGATCTTGGCAGATAAGCAGGGCCTGGTTAGGACTTGGAGTGGAGGCTGCCTGGGAATACCAAGGGCTGTAGACTTGGTTATCATTGCTGTACGCTCTTAAAGAATTAGTCACACACTGAGTTTGTGGCTTAACTTTTCAAAATCCTTGACTTCAGATTTGACTTAAGCAGCATAATCAGGTTTTCTTTCCTTTTGGGTTTTGTTTGTTTTTTTGCAGAAGGATTTGAAGACTCTGGGTCACTGGTTTCTTGTGATCCATTGAAAACTGCTCGTGGTCTCCCATCCACTTCCCCCTTTAGACCAGGTAGTCTGTCCAGATCTTCACATGAGTGCGACTCACGTCTATGACGTGAGCGATGGGAGTGGCCGTGGGCTGCGCAGGGCATTGGGGCCAGCTGATGTGTGGTCATTCCACTTTGTGATGAGCTTTGCTGCCCAGCAAACCTGCGCCTGCTCTGAGCATTGCCTCAGTGCCAGGCGTGCTGGCGCTGCTCCCACCTCCAAGCTTTCCCACTTTACAGAGGAGCCGGGGCCCTAAGCAGAACAAAGGCTTAGCCCTGCAGCGCTGCCCCATCCCTGGAGGCCCAGCGTTGGGGCTGTGGCGTGGGCGCCCTGTGTAGCTGACTTAGAGCATCCCGGACTGCTTCCTCGCCAGCCTTGCTCCCGTCTGAGGTCAAACGTGAGCGTGCCTGGTATTTGTTTTTGAAGTTGGCGCGTCCCTGGCTTATCAAACTATTTCTAGACAGTGGTGTATGGTTGCTGTGGCTGTTGTCTCCACAACCATTGGTCAGCCTTGCCGTCCTGGTCAGGGATTTGGAAAGGGCCCAGGCCACTGGCGGAAGTCCTCTGAGCAGGCAGCCGGTGCGATGCGGGCAGAGGCGTCAGCCACGGGGAGACAGGACACTGTGCAAAGGGTTCTGGTGACACCATCGTTTCTCACACTGCACAAGTTTCCTTTTTTTTTTTTCTTATTAGATGGTGTCTTGCTCTGTGGCCCAGGCTGGAGTGCAGTGGAGCGATCTCGGCTCACTGCAAGCTCCGCCTTCCGGGTTCAAGCGATTCTCCTGCCTCAGCCTCCTGAGTAGCTGGGATTACAGGCGCCTGCCACACCTGGCTAATTTTTGTATTTTTAGTAGAGACGAGGTTTCAGCATGTTGGTCAGGCTGGTCTTGAACTCCCGACCTCATGATCCACCTGCCTGGGCCTCCTGAAGTGCTGGGATTACAGGCGTGGCCACCGCGCCCGGCCGAAGTTCCACGCTTTTAACACACTCACAACTAGTCCTTTTAAAAAAACAGTAAAATTTTATTTATTATGCAATCATTTCCAAAGTAGACAGAGAAATAGATCAGATATCCCAACTGTATTGACTACAGAAAATAGTCACAACCACTTCATAGAAATTGTACTGTTTTTCCTAAATTAACAGCATATCTGGGTACACACAACATGTTTGAATATTTTAATCCCTGGCCAGGCATGCTAGCTCACGCCTGTAATCCCAGCACTTGGGGAGGCCGAGGTGGGTAGATCACGAGGTCAGGAGTTCGAGACCAGCCTGGCCAACACGGTGAAACCCCATCTCTACTAAAAATAAAAAATTAGCCAGGCATGGTGGTGGGCGCCTATAATCCCAGCTACTTGGGAGGCTGAGGCAGGAGAATCGTTTGAACCCAGGAGGCAGAGGTTGCAGTGAGCCGAGATCGCGCCACTGCACTCCAGCCTGGGTGACAGAGCGAGACTCCGTCTCCAAAAAAAAAAAAACAAAAAAAAAACCACACATTTAATCCCTAAGCATAAAAGATTAACTGGAGGCAAACTAAGATTGAGCTGTCAATCTGAAGTATTTTACTCAATAAGGGTAACCCCCTATTGGGCTGTCACTAGCGTGTCACCTCAGCCGAGACCAGCATGAAGGTCAAAGGCGAAGCCACCTCTGTAGACCCACCTCACCTGCCCCTCCCCCATCCAGTCACCTGTGCAGCTGGCTAGTCCCTCGGCCCCTAAAGACCTAATCAAGTTGGTGAGTTCAGACCCAACATCATCAGGAAATCTGTAAATTTGGAGAAACTTGTTTTCAAAGCAAAAACCCAGATGAAGAAAAAAAAATTTTTTAGGCCAGGCACGATGGCTCACACCTTTAATCCCAGCACTTTGGGAGGCCAAGGTGGGTGAATCACCTGAGGTTGGGAGTTCGAGACCAGCCTGAACAATTCTATATTGGTTTCTCCATGAAACCCTGTCTTTACTAAAAATACAAAAAATTAGCCAGGTATGGTGGTGGGCGACTGTAATCCCAGCTACTCGGGAGCTGAGGCAGGAGAATCACTTGAACCCAGGAGGCAGAGGTTGCGGTGAGCCGAGATCGCACCACTGCACTCCAGCCTGGGCAACAAGAGTGAAACTCCGTTTCAAAAGAAAAAATTGCTTTAAGTCTCCCTCGCTTGCCCAGGCTGGAGTGCAGTGACACAATCACAGCTCACTGCAGCCTCCAGCTCCCGGGCCCAAGTGATCCACCCACCTCAGCCTCCCAAGTAGCTGGGACTCTAGATGCCCACGACACACCCAGCTAAGTTCTGTATTTTTAGTAGAGACAGGGTCTCGCTATGTTGCCTTGTCCAGGCTGGTCTTGAACTCCTGAGCTCAAGTGATCCTCCCACCCTGGCCTCCTGAGTAGCTGGGAATACAGGTGTGAGCCACTGTGCCCAGCCAGAAAATCTTTAATTGACAAATATTTAAGGGACAAGAGGGTTTTAAGAAATTAAAAGGATGTATGAAGTGAAGTGAGTTGTGAACAGAACCTGGGTGCCCTCCTCATCCACGTGCCTCAGTCGCCCTCGTGCCTGACCGGCTTTGCCAATGGAGCCTGGACCCTCAGCACGGGTCAGCTGTGGGTGCGAACATGGTGGTCTGGGTCAGGCCTCTTTCAAGTCCCCACAACAGGCCTGACTTGTGCGTGAGACGCTTTCACCTTAAACCCCACGCCATCCTGGGGGTTCATGGTCAGGTATAAAACCCTGCAGAGAAGTCAGGCTGTCTGATCCCAACTCTCCCCTTCTCAGCCTGGTCACAAGTCAGTTCCCAGATGCAGCATTGCAGGTTTCTACTTTCCGCCGGTCTCCTTGGGAACAAAACGTTAAGTGTGTGCGGCCTGTGCAGGGAGGACAGAGGGAAGGAGAGGCCGGAGCCCTCAGGATCGAGTGATCTTGTCGGGAGGCATGAACCCCGTGTCCCCGAGGGTCCTGAGCGCAACTCGGCCGTTGGGTCGGATCACCAGGTGGGTGATGCTGCCATTATTGAGGGAGAGCCGGAGCCAGCCTTCAGGAGGAAACTGCAGTGCTCTGGGGAGAGAGAGAGAGAGAGAAAGAGCACGTTAGAGCCAGGGGGCTCTGTCCTTAAAACGGGCTGAGCTAGGCCGGGCATGGTGGCTCACACCTGTAATCCCAGCACTTTGGGAGGCCAGGCGGGTGGATCACAAGGTCAGGAGATCGAGACCATCCCAGCTAACACGGTGAAACCCCATCTCTACTAAAAATACAAAAAATTAGCTGGGCGTGATAGCAGGCACCTGTAGTCCCAGCTACTTGGGAGGCTGAGGCAGAAGAATGGCGTGAACCCGGGAGGCGGAGCTTGCAGTGAGCTGAGATCGCGCCACTGCACTCCAGCCTGGGTGACAGAGCGAGATTCTGTCTAAAAAAAAAAAAACGGGCTGGGCTAGAGCCAGGGGACTCTGTCCTTAAAAGAGGCTGGGCCAGGCTGTGCCAGGGGGCTCTGTTCTACAAACAGAGGCTGAGCCCCTCAGAAGTCTCAGAGCAGCCTCAGGGCCGGGGTACACATCAGCCGAGCCGCTCCTGTCTTCAGTCGGGGCTTCTCGGGGAAGATCTGGCTGGGATCGACGTGAATCGATGACTGGGATCGACATGAATGGAGCCATCACACTTGGGGACCTGCCCTCTTTAGGACAGGGGCCCAACCCCAACTCAAGATTTGCACAGATCAGAACAACGCTGACTTCTTACGAGGAAACACAGTTTAATTTCTGCTTTTCCCATATAAAAGCAGGGAGCAGCCAGTTAGTGCAACAGGTCCCTTTCTGGGAAAGCAAAGAACGGAGATGGGATCTACCCGCCGTGGCATCTTCATGCACTTCTTAGGCACAATTCGCATTTGCGGAAAAGCTCGGAGTTGCCTTCATCGCCTCTGAGCCACCCACCGCCCTGTCTCAGTGGGCCGCATGGCCACCCTCACGCTGCTTCCCGAGCCTCCTCAGGGCTGCCTGGCGGCACCGGCCGGAACAGCACAGCCATATTCTCGTGTCCAGGTGCACGTGCCTGGCCCTCACCACTGTGTGGACTCAGGTCGGCTCCACTCTCCCGCCCCGGTTATTTCTGTGCATTTTTAGCATTTGTGTCACCTCGGGGTGACTGTGTCATGGACACACAAGGTGGTGGTGGCAGCATAGAAGCCACCCATATGGCTCATTCACAAGCACAGACAGGAGGCAACGAACGACTCACAGCAAACAGGTACTCACTTAGCCTGAGGCCACACCACCCGGAGGCTCCAACCCCCAGAAAAGCTCTATCTGGTCTGGAGCCAAGCTTGAGAATCTCGGCCCGTACATCCTCGACTTTCTGGGAGCTGCTGCTCTTGACCATGGTGCTCCCAGCAGCCCCAGCCCTGGTGACAGGCCCAGGTGACAGACGGGCAGAGACCAGGGCCCAGCCTCACACGGCATCACTGACCAGTGCCGTCCTGTCCTCCCACCACAGGACTCGTCACACTCAAGAGGGCCCCCTCAGCTGCGGAGCCCACACACACATTTCCTAATGGATCCAGAGAAGAGGCAAATTTGTTTCAAATTTGCATTTAGTGAGATTTGGCCAACCCTTCTGACTGTTTCAGGCATGTAACCGTAGAGCTGGCCCTGCCCCCCAAGGGGCCCTCTAACGTGGCTGCAGCCCTGGAGCTCCTTAAAGAAGTGGCTGATTGCAGGGTGGTGGCAGGGAAAACGCAACCTGAACCCGGATCATTCTGTGGTGCTGAGAGTGGGGCACCAGAGCAGGTTGAGGGACAAGGGCCCCCCGAGGGAGCAGCCCGAGCAGCAACGTGACTCAGCTGTGGCCTCGACCCAGAGGGGAGCGGACACCCCGAGCCGTCACGCTGGCACACGGGTGGGAGCGCCCACAGATCAGCAAGTGAAAGAGGTCAGGACCCCAGAAGCACAAAATCCCCAGCGGACAACAGCGGCGGGATGCTGCCAGTGGGATCCAGCCGGAGGCAGAAGGTGGTTGGTCGAGTTTGAGGGGAAACAGGACGTTCAATTACAAAGGGAAAACAACCAGGGCAGTGCGGACGCCCAGCATGCACCGTACCCAGGACCCCCCACCCAGCACGCACCCCACCCAGGACACCCCCACCCAGCACGCACCCCACCCAGGACCCCCCACCCAGCACGCACCCCACCCAGGACACCCCCACCCAGCACGCACCCCACCCAGGACACCCCCACCCAGCACGCACCCCACCCAGGACACCCCCACCCAGCACGCACCCCACCCAGGACCCCCCACCCAGCACACACCCCACCCAGGACACCCCCACCCAGCACGCACCCCACTCAGGACCCCCCACCCAGCACGCACCCCACCCAGGACACCACAGGGGTCCCTCCCTGTCTGCACCACCCTTGCCCAAAACAGCCTTATGAGAAGCTCCAAGTAACACGCCACCTACCGCGTAACTGACTAGGACTCGCGGGAAGTGGACGCCCGGGGGCTGGTGAGGCCTGACTAGGGTGGCATCGGCAGTGGAGGAGGGTCTCGCTCGGCTTCTTCCTCATGCTTTTCTCTAAGTCTGAAATTATTTTAGACCACGCCCAGCCCAGCAGCTGCCTACCTGCACACGATGTAGCGGATGACGTTGGCGTGACAGATGAAGATCTCGTAACTGTCCTCCTCCTGCCTGGCATCTGCGCGGTGGATGTAGTTCCGGAAGGCGGCCTCGATCCGGGCTCCGTCTTCGTAATACTGCTGGGGGCAGAGTGAGGAGCCGTCAGTGCGGAAGTGCTCGGGCAGGGCGGGTGTCAGGAGGACAGACCCCATCGCCGCCCGGGGAAGCCCGTGGGACGGCCGGGCACGTGGTGGATGGTGAGCCCAGCAGGGCCGCTTTGCCCAGGGAAGGCGAGGGTGACACAGCTGCCCCCCGGGGAGGTTTTTACCACAGCTTCCGGCTTCCAATGAGACACGGGCGGGTCTGGCTCGATGGGGGCGCCTTCCCGCAGCAGATCTGTGCTGACTTTGCAGACGCCTGCAGAGAAGCACAGCGAAGCGCTGGGTGAGGCGGCCCCGCCGGCGGAGATGCTGTGACCTCCCGGTGGCCAGGAGCTCAGGCCGGGGCCCTGCCACGAGCCGCCCACTGCTGCAAGCATGGAGGCCCCGCGCGCAGCACTCACCTGGCAGGTGCCGGCTGATGATATCGGTGGTCTCTATGGCGCGCGTCATAGACGAATGGACGATTTTATTAAACTTCAACCCCAAGCTTGCCAGGCGGAGCCCAGTGAGTTCAGCCTGCTCCCGACCTGGAAGGTGAAAGGCACCTGAGTGCCGCACCTGCACCCCCTCCTCCACCCTCAAACACCCCCTCCTCCGCCCGCAAACACGCCCTCCTCCACCCTCAAACACCCCCTCCTCCGCCCGCAAACACCCCCTCCTCCGCCCGCAAACACGACCCCTGATCAGGCAGCAAGCTCAGCAAGCTCAGCCGATGGCTCCTGCCCGCCCGAGGCTTGGGCCAGAGGGGCCGGCACTCAACTGTCTTCACCCCCATACAGGAAAAAACATGCATCTGATTCCACCAATGGAGCAGCAAGCAAACCGGATGGTGGCTGGCGCTTGGTGGGGCCCAGGGGTGGTTTCTGGGTCCCCCCTTGTCACCCTCACTCAACTGTGTCCAAAACCTGAGCCTCACAGGCCCCCAACCACGCGCCATGGCGGAGGCCAACACAGCGGGACCTAAACACCCCAAGCTGCTATGTGGGGGCCGGACACCAGTGCAGATGCCTTTTCTCTTGTGAGCTTTTGCATCCAGGTGAAAACGCCTCAGGAAGGCCGAAGCCACTGGATGCAGCCACACCTGCATCTGTCACTCCACTTTCTTTGTGCACAAGCAGCCAGGACAGCTCTGGGGACTGGGGGGCGGCGTCTGTGGAGGACAGCCCTGCACATTTTTACTATCTGAACTTTTAGTATGTGCATGAACAGGCACTATCCCATTCGAAGAACTTTTCAAAATGTAAACTCTACCTTAGCCCACCCTGCATTTCCTTCTCTAGGCAGGCATTTCTTCTACAGATCCACCTGCACAGGGACACAAGGACAAGGTGGAAGGACCCTCCTGGACGCTGTCTATGCAGCATCTGCCAGTGGGGACAGGCGGGATCCTGTTGCTCAGTCCCGCCTGTTCAACAGGGCATTAAGAGGCAGAGGCCAGGCCGGGCGCGGTGGCTCACACCTGTCACCCTAGCACTTTGGGAGGCCAAGGCGGGCGGATTACGAGGTCAGGAGTTTGAGACCAGCCTGGCCAATATGGTGAAACCCCATCTCTACTAAAAATACAAAAAAAAAAAAAAATTAGGCTGGGTGTGGTGGCTCACGCCTGTAATCCCAGTACTTTGGGAGGCCGAGGCGGGTGGATCACAAGGTCAGGAGATAGAGACCATCCTGGCTAACACGGTGAAACCCCGTCTCTACTAAAAATACAAAAAAATAGCTGGGAGTGGCAGCGTGTGCCTGTAGTCCCAGCTACTTGGGAGCCTGAGGCAGGAGAATTGCTTGAACCCAGGAGGCAAAGGTTGCAGCGGGCCAAGATCACGTCACTGCACTCCAGCCTGGGTAACAGAGCAGGACTATGTCTCAAAACAAACAAACAAGCAGACGCCAGGCATCAGGCCTGTGAGTGCCACAGGCCGCAGAGAAGCGTCTTTGGCAGCAGGTCCAGGTGAGCAGCCGAGGGCACAAGCCACGCCGCTTTCCAAGGCATCAAGCAGGTATAAAATCACTGCTGGGATATGCACTGCATTTGGTCTCATGCAAACAAGATCTGTCCAACATTTGCTAAAAGTTAAGGGCTTTTTTTTTTTGAGACGGAGTCTCACTCTGTTACCTAGGCTAGAGTGCAGTGGTGCAATCTTGGCTCACTGCAACCTCCACCTCCCAGGGTCAAGCAATTCTCCTGTCTCAGCCTCCTTAGTAGCTGGGATTACAGGTGCCTGCCACTGCACCCGGCTAATTTTTGTACTTTTAGTAGTGACGAGGTTTCGCCCTGTTGGCCAGGCTGGTCTCGAACTCCTGACCTCAGGTGATCCACCTGCCTCGGCCTCCCAAAGTGTTGGGATTACAGGCGTGAGCCACCGTGCCTGGCCAAGGTAAGGACATTTTTTTTTTTTTTGAGACGGAGTCTCGCTCTGTCGCCCAGGCTGGAGTGCAGTGGTGCGATCTCAGCTCACTGCAAGCTCCGCCTCCAGGGTTCACACCATTCTCCTGCCTCAGCTTCCCGAGTAGCTGGGACTACAGGCGCCCACCACTGCACCTGGCTAATTTTTGTACTTTTAGTAGAGACAGGGTTTTGCCGGGTTGGCCAGGCTGGTCTCGAATTCCTGACCTCAGGTAATCCACCTGCCTCGGCCTCCCAAAGTGCTGGGATTACAGGCGTGAGCCACCGCGCCCGGCCAAGGTAAGGACATTTTGAAAAGCTTGTCTTCTGTCCAAGTTCAGCTGACAGTTACTGGTAATAATGTGTGATTCAGGGGTGATGGTCTCGGACATGGGCCCCAGGAGGCCCAGTGCCCCAAGCACTTTCAAGAAAGCTGACCAAGGGGGTCGGCGGAGGACCTGCACCCAGTCACATAACCAAGGCGCCAGCAGATATGCACCTGGCCACATAACCACGAGGGTCCACAGAGGATCTGAACCCACCACATACCCAGCGGGGTCAGAGTGCGGTCCTTCTCCAGGGAGCCATCCACGTGGTACTGGGAATGCCTGATGAGGAAGATGTGCCGCGTGGCCTTGGCTTTGTAGTGGTCCAGCTTGGACGCCAGCTCTTCTTCCCCAGATTCCACGTTCCTCTTCCGCACGTTGATCAGAGACAGTGGTTCTCGCCTGATGTTGAAATACAAGATATGTCCTTGAGACCTCTGTTCCCAAGTTTGAGTTTTTCTGACAAGATGTTATTTCCAAATTGTCAGACTATTTGGGAAGAGCATGGAGAGAAGACAAGGCCCTTGGCACAGCCCTGGGGAGGCCTCTCTGAGCATACCGCCACTCTCCCTCCCACAAAGCTAGTGCCAGGTCTGTTCTGAGTGATGCGCTGGAGAGCAAAACAGACAAGCAAAGCCCTGTGCATCTTCTTCTCTAATGAGAGGCAGACAGTGAACAGCAGGAGACAGACTACCCCAAACGCAACTGTGGTTACGGAGAACGCCAGGCTAGGAAAGAGGACAGCGGCTATCGGGGCGCAGGCGGAAAGTGTCCACGGGGCCAAGATGGGCCTCCCTGACCATGATGCTTCAGCAGAGCCTAGAACTGCAATGCCCAACAGCAGCCACTAGCTATGAGGATGTTTCAATTCAAAATTTAAGCAAAATTAAATAAAATTAAAACATCATGTCCTCAGTCATACTAAGCACATTTTAGACCCTCAGGCCGGGTGCAGTGGCTCACACGTGTAATCCCAGCATTTGGGAGGCTGAGGTGGCCAGATCAACTGAGGTCAAGAGTTCGACACTAGCCTGGCCAACATGGTGAAATTGCACCTCTACTCAAAATACAAAAATTAGCCGGGCTTGGTGGCACACGCCTGTGATCCCAGCTACTTGGGAGGCTGAGGCAGGAGAATCGCTTGAACCTGGGAGGCGGAGGTTGCAGAGAGCCGAGATCGTGCCACTGCACTCCAGTCTGGGCGACAGAGTGAGACTCCGCCTCAGAAAATAAATAAATAAACAAACACTCAGTGAGGAAGAAAACATTCCCATTATGAAGGTCTGTTCCAGAGCTGCTGGAATCTGAAAAAGAGTGGATCCCAGCACTTTGGGAGGCCGAGGTGGGCAGATCACTGGAGCCCAGGAGTCCAAGACTAGCCTGGGCAACACAGGGGGACCCCGTCTCTACAAAAACATTAAAAAATTAGCCGGGCAAGGTGGTCCACAGCTGTAGTCCCGGCTACTCAGGAGGCTGAGGTGGGAGAATTGCTTGAGCCTAGGAGGGAGCCATGATCTTGCCACTGCACTGCACTGCACTCCAGCCTGGGCAACAGAGCGAGACCCTGTCTCAACAGCAACAAAAAAAGTTCAACGCGGCAGAGCTGGGAATAGCAAAAGTCGAACCTGCTGGTATTTACTCGCTGAGACAGTGGCGGAAAAGGAAGCTGTGGAAGGGCACGGTGGTGACTCAAGGGCTCCGTTTGGGCCACGCCGACCTGGGGGCCTGTCATAAACCAGGCCAAGACTCAAATTGGCAGGTATGGGGGAGTCAGGCTGAGCCAGAGAAAATATTTGGGAGCTATAGGCACAGAGACAGGAAGCCGTAAACTGCATGAGACCTCCAGGAAGAAGCTGGAGATTTCACCAGATGAGGCTCTGGAACTTTCAAGTGTGGACAGGTGAGACTCAAGAAGAAACATGCTGTCTTCTAGCACCTTCCTGTAGTTGCTCATGCCTTCTGTCTGTATAAGTCTTTCCCAACCCACAAGGCCCAATTCACTTCTCCCCAGACATGACAAGCAAATACAGAACACCTGCTTAAAAGAGAAAGGCTGGGCTCAGCTCCCGGTTCTACTTCAAGTTCTTTTTTTTCTTTTTTGAGACAGAGTTTCACTCTATCACCCAGGCTGGAGTGCAGTGGCACGATCTGGGCTCACTGCAGCCTCCACCTCCTGGGCTCAAGTGATTGTCCTGCCTCAGCCTCCCAAGTAGCTAGGACTACAGGTGCATGCCACCATGCCTGGCTAATTTTTTTGTATTTTTAGTAAATACAGAGTGTCACCGTGTTGGTCAGGCTGGTCTCGAACTCCTGACCTCAAGTGATCCGCCCACCTCAGCCTCTCAAAATGCTGGGATTACAGGTGTGAGCCACCGCACCCAGCCTACTTCAAGTTCTTTAACGGCAGAGTAAATCTGTTTCCTTAAAAAGACCTAAGAAATTCAGAATATTGATTCAGAATTTCTGATTTTTCAGAATTCTGATTTTTAAAAAAGAATATAACAGGCTGGGCATGGTGGCTCATGCCTGTAATCCCAGCACTTTGGGAGGCCGAGGTGGGAGGATCACCTAAGGTTGGGAGTTCAAGACCAGCCTGACCGACATGGAGAAACCCCGTCTCTACTAAAAATACAAAATTAGCTGGGCATAATGGCGCGTGCCTGTAATCCCAGCTACTCGGGAGGCTGAGGCAGGAGAATTGCTTGAACCCGGGAGGCGGAGGTTGCAGTGAGCCGAGATTGCACCATTGCACTCCAGCCTGGGCAACAAGAGCGAAACTCCGTCTCAAGGAAAAAGAAAAAAGAAAAGAAGGAAAAAGAATGTAACTCCAGTCTAATCATGAGAAAACCTTCAGAGAAGTCTCAATTGAGGGACCTTCTACCAAACCCCTGACCAGGACGCCTCAAACACTCATGATCATCAAAACAAGTCTGAGAAATTGTCACAGCCAAAACATGCCTACGGAGGCATGAAGACTACTTGTCATGTGGGACCCTAGAACAGAACAGCAGGTAAAAGCTGAGGAAATCTCAATGAAACATGAACCTTAGTTAACAGTAATGTATTATAAACTAATATAATAACTATAATTAATCTATATTATTTTGGCTCATTAATTTTGATATATACACCATGCTTAGTGTATGATGCTAATAATAGAGGAAATAAGGTTAACAAAAGATAAAAATCTAATATAAAGTACCTAACGCAACCACAGTAGTATAATTCTGTGCCCCCTTTCTCAAAGTACTGAGTATAATGAGGAGTTAGGACTGGGAAAACCATCCTTGCCGCTAGAGCAGTCCTGGCCGACAGAAACAGAATGCCAGCAACATGTGAAATTATACATTTTCTAATAGCAACATTAAAAAGAAACAGGTGAATTTCGATCATACTTTTAATTCAATATGCTAAAAATACTATTTCAACACATAACTAATGTTAAAAACCTGCACTACTTTTTTTTTTTTTCCTTTGAGACAGGCTCTGTTGCTCAGGCTGGAGTGAAGTGGCGGGATCTCGGCTCACACTGTGCAGCCTGGGACCCCTGGACTCAAGGGATCCTCCTACCTCAGCCTCCCGAGTAGCTGGGACCACAGGCGCGCGCCACCTCGCTCGGCCAATTTTTTTTGTATTTTTTGTAGAGATGGGGGTCTCACTATGTTGCCCAGGCTGGTTTCAAATTTCTCAAGCGATCCTCCGGCCTCAGCCTCCCAAACGCTGGGATTACAGGCCTGAGCTACCGCACCCGGCCCTGCTTGCGTTAAGTTTAAATTGACGTAAACTAAGCATTCCCTTCAGGAATCACACGAGCCATATTTCAAACGCTCAATAACCGCACGCAGCTCGCGGGCGCGCTCCTGCAAACGCCCCTGAAGGAGGCCCGGCTTCCACCTCAGCCTCGCCCCGGCCCGCGCTCCGGCGATGGCACCCAGGGCGGACTCGCAGGGGCGGGGAGAAGGGCGAGGACGCGACGGAGCTCGGCCACAGAAGCCGGCGGGAAGGGTCAGCCGCCCCCGGAACCCTCCGCGCAGAGCGGCCCCGGAAAGCGGCTCCTCCGCTGGGGAAAGCAGACGGCGACCCCAGATCCCGACCCGATCGCAACCTTAAACCTGGTCCCGATCTCGATCCCAACGGTAACACCTGCCCTGACCCCCATCCCGACCCCGGCCCCAAACAGCCCCGCGCGCACCTGTCCCAGTTGGGGTCCCAGACACCGGGGCCCGGCCGCGCGCCCCCCGCCCAGGCCGGCGGCTCAGCCGGGCGTGGCTCCGCGTCCCCGCCTGCGCGCGGCTTCCCTACCGCCACGGCCGAGAAGAGCACGGCGGCCGAGCCCCCGGCCAGCCCGCAGGCCGCCAGCTGCAGCGCCTGCCGGAACGCCATGCCGCTTGCTCCCGCGCCGGCCCGCGCAGGCGCCCACGGCCCCGACGGCGCTCCGCGAGGAACACGCTTCCCCCGGCTGCCGCTTCCGGGCGGCGGGGGCGGAAGTCCCGCCTCCTGGGGCGCGGCAGGACGCGGGGCAGCCTTGCGCGAAGGGGCGTTTTCGTGGAGCCACCTGCCGCGCCACGCTCCAGTCCCGTCACTTGTGCTCGCGAGCGCCGGTGCGCGCAGGTGCGGGCGGGGTTGTGGGGACGCCGGGAGGGCGGCGCGGTACTTTCCAGAAGGTTCCGCACCGGAAGCGCCTGCCGAGGCCGGAGGCTGGGTGCAGGGGCGGAGACGCGGAGAACTTGGGATCCTGGTTTAAGGGAGCTGGGAAGCTGCCGCAGGTTTGTTTAAACGATATTTTTTTGGTGGCGGAACACGAAGTAAAGTTTTCCGTCGGCGCAGTTCCTGCGTGTGCTGTTCAAGCGGCCTGAAGTGCGTTCAGGTTCGGCCGGGCTGTCCCTCCTCCTGGTCCCGACCCCTCAAACCCCGGGCCGAACACCGCCCTCTCCTGCGGGACAGTCTTTCTATGGCCGGCGCGTTTCGCCTAGCAGGGTCCTCAGAGGGACCGCGTTAGAGCCTGGGTTTCCTTCCAGGGGGACCAGCGCTCCCTGGGTGGACCGACCCCACCGCTTACCCATTGCTGGACGCCTGCGTGCACCGACCCCACCGCTTACCCATTGCTGGACGCTTGCCCTGTTGCCATCTCCTCGCTAGCGTGAACAGTGCTGCGTGCAGATCTCTCTTTCATTGATTGTTTTGCGTCTGTACCCAGAAGTGGGATTGCTGGACCATCTCTGCCCATTTTAAAATTGGGAAATGACATGATCTGATTTAAGCTATTTAAAAATCACTTGGGCCTGGGCTCGGTGGCTCACGCGTGTAATCACAACACTTTGGGAAGCCGAGACAGGCGGATCACCTGAGGTCAGAAGTTTGAGACCAGCCTGGCCAACATGGTGAAACCCGGTCTCTACTAAAAATACAAAAATTAGCCGGGCACGGTGGCTCCAGCCTGTAATACCAGCTACTCAGGAGGCTGAGGCAGGAGAGTTGCTTGAACCCAGGAAGCGGAGGTTGCAGTGAGCTGAGATTGCCTCACTGCACTCCAGCCTGGGCAACAGAGTGAAACAATGTCTCAAAAAAATAAAAATAAAAAAACTGAATGGTTCCACAGAAATACTGAGACTTCTGCTTAAACAGGCTTTCTTGAACCTGTACGCTTCCAGTTGGGTCTGCTGCTTCCAGGTCATTTACTAAAAATGATAGGAAGATTTAAAAAATAAAAATAAAAGGAAGGCCGGGCGTGGTGGCTCACGCCTGTAATCCCAGCACTTTGGGAGGCCTAGGTGAGCGGATCACGAGGTCAGGAGCTCGAGACCATCCTGGCTAACACGGTGAAAACCCGTCTCTACTAATAATACAAAAAAAAAAAAAAAAAATAGGGCATGGTGGCGGGTGCTTGTAGTCCCAGCTACTAGGGAGGCTGAGGCAGGAGAATGCCGTGAACCCGGGAGGCGGAGCTTGCAGTGAGCCGAGATCGCGCCACTGCACTCCAGACTGGGCGACAGAGCGAGACTCTGTCTCAAAAAAATAAAGGAAAATTGGGCCGGGCGCAGTGCCTCACGCCTGTAATCCCAGCACTTTGGGAGGCTGAGGTGGGCGGATCACGAGGTTAGGAGATCAAGACCAGCCTGACCAACATGGTGAAACCCCGTCTTTACTGAAATACAAAAAAGCCTGGCGTGGTGGTGCGCGCCTGTAGTCCCTGCTACTCGAGAGCCTAAGGCCGGATAATCGCTTGAACCTGGGAGGCAGAGGTTGCAGTGAGCCAGGATGGTGCCACTGCACTCCAGCCTGGGTGACAGAGACTCTGTCTCAAAAAAAAGAAAATCAGCCAGGCTCAGTGGCTCATGCCTGTAATCCCAGCACTTTGGGAGGCCGAGGCGGGCAGATCACCTGAGATCAGGAGTTTGAGACCAGCCTGGCCAACATGGTGAAACCCCATCTCTACTAAAAATACAAAAATTAGCTGGTACATACCTGTAATCCCAGCTACCCAGGAGGCTGAGGCAGGAGAATCGCTGGAATCCAGGAGGCAGAAGCTGCAGTGAGCTGAGATCACACTACTGCACTCCAGCCTGGGTGACAGAGCAAGACTCCATCTCAAAAAATAAAATAAAAAACAAGGGAAAATCCACAAGGACATAGTTGAATCCATAAGAAGAAATGACAGCAGATAAATCAGTTAACAAAAGTTCAAGAGCTGGAGATCAGATCTTTATCGACCTGAGAATATGGAACACCAGTGCCTATGTGGAAGGAAACCAGGAAGCAAGTTCATTTAATCCAGTGAGTCTGGAAGAGTCTGGGAGTTGGCAGCATTAGCCTCCTGTCTGAGAGCTGTGGGGCTGAAAGCAGGAGCATTTAGAGGAAAAGGTTGCCTTCCACATTTCGTTTCTCCCCCACATGTTCAGGGGAATAGCTCACTTTCATCACCGTGGAGCACTAGAGAAAGGCCATTCCAGGGGACTTGAACAGGAGGGTTCTGGATTTCAGGACACCAAGCATAGCTCAGATTGGGGATGCAGTAATAAAGATGGGATTATACAGAGTTCACATAAGGAAGAGTAGGACCTCTAACCCCTTTCCTCCAGATAGCCACAAGAATGTTGGCCACTAGGCTCATTCCCTGCTCAGCTACCACCACCATCCTTCCCCCAATGCCCTGACAAGAACTAAAGGATTCCTCTGTGTGGAAACTGACCAGCCCAGGAGAAAATATTTTTTTTTAATGTATTTTTTACGCCGGGCGCAGTGGCTCATGCTCGATAATCCCAGCACTTTGAGAGGCCGAGACAGGCGGATGGATCACTTGAGGTCAGGAGTTCGAGACCAGCCTGGCCAACATGGTGAAACCCCATCTCTACTAAAAATACAAAAAATTAGCAGGGCATAGTGGCACGCGCTGGTAATCCCAGCTACTCAGGAGGCTGAGCCAGGAGAATCACTTGGAAACGGGAGGCTGCAGTGAGCTGAGATCATGCCACCGCACTCCAGCCTGGGCAACAGAGTGAGACTCTGTCTCAAAAAAAAAAAAAAAAAAAAAGCCTGTTTTCTGATGACTGTTAAGTGTGTGAAACTAAAAACTCCTGGTCTCTGCTCTCCCCTGTGTGCCTGACAGCACTCCGTAAAGGTGTGTTCAGCGAACTGACCGGATGCGGGCTGTGGTAAGCCATATACATGATGTGAAATCTTCTCCAGCAAATTCTCTTGACCTTGCCGTGACACTCTGATGCCCTATGATGAGGTGGTGAAGATGGTGGCTCAAGACCTGGCTGACTGCCTCTGAATCAGGACTGTCTCTTGCTAGCTGAGGCATCTTGCATCCCCCACATGTGGAGTAGAGAAAACAATGGCACCTCCCTCAGGGCTGCTGCAGCTCTCAGAAGAGTTCCGGCACAAAGCAGCCCTAAGCGGTGTCAGTACTGTCATCTCTGGATTCTAATCTAGAATCTGTTCTGAGATCCAGGTTCTTAATCCTCCATCATGGCAGGGGGTGGGACTCACTGGGAAGTGGCAAGTTAGAGGGATAGTCAGAATTGTCACCTTCTGCATCAATTGCAGGAGCATCTGTTACTTTTGCAAATGCCCTAAACTTCCTTTGGGAACGACCCCACCTTAAATATTCTGAACTGAAAGAGCAGTTCTTTGAAAACCCAAGGCAAGCAGGACTTGAGCAGGCATTAGTGCCGCTGTCTTCACCGCCACATCCTTCACGGCATCCAGGAGCTGGAAACAGTCTAGCCACTGACGGACAGACGGACAGGCAAAATGCAGTCCACGCACACGGCAATGTTCAGCCTTTTAAGTTTTTAATTTTTATTTTATTATTTCTTAGTAGAGAGGGGGTTTCATCATGTTGGCCAGGCTGGTTTCAAACTCCTGACCTCAAGTAATCCGCCTGCCTCGGCCTCAAAAAGTGCTAGGATTACAGGCGTGAGCCGCTGCACCCAGCCCTATTTTTATTTTTTATTTTATTTATTTATTTTTTTGAGACAGAGTCTCACTCTGTTGCCCAGGCTGGGGTGCAGTGGCACGATCTTGGCTCACTGCAACCTCTGCCTTCCCAGTTCAAGTGATTTTCCTGCCTCAGCCTCCCAAGTAGCTGGGATTACAGGCATGCATCACCACACCCAGCTAATTTTTTTTTTTTTTTTTAAGACGGAGTCTTTCTCTGTCGCCAGGCTGGAATGCAGTGGAGCGATCTTGGCTCACTGCAACCTCTGCCTCCCAGGTTCAAGCGGTTCTCCTGCCTCAGCCTCCCGAGTAGCTGTGATTACAGGCACGTGCCACCACGCCCTGCTAATTTTTTTTTTTTTTTTTTTGAGACGGAGTCTCACTCTGTTGCCCAGCCTGGAGTGCAGTGGCACGATCTCGGCTCACTGCAAGCTCTGCCTCCCAGGTTCACGCCATTCTACCGCCTCAGCCTCCCAAGTAGCTGGGACTACAGGCGCCCGCCACCACGCCCGGCTAATTTTTTGTATTTTTTTTAGTAGAGACAGGGTTTCACCATGTTAGCCAGGATGGTCTCGATCTCCTGACCTCGTGATCCGCCCGCCTCGGCCTCCCAAAGTGCTGGGATTACAGGCATGAGCCACCGCGCCTTGCCCATGCCCTGCTAATTTTTATATTTTTAGTAGAGACAAGGTTTCACCAGGTTGGCCAGGATGGCCTCGATTTCTTGACCTCGTGATCCACCAGCCTTGGCCTCCCAAAGTGCTGGGATTACAGGCATGAGCCGCTCTGCCCAGCCGCTAATTTTTTATATTTTTGGTAGAGATAGGGTTTCACTATGTTGGCCAGGCTGGTCTTGAACTCCTGACCTCAAGTGATCCATCTGCCTCAAGTGATCCCAGCCTCCCAAAGTGCTGGGATTACAAGCGTGAGCCACCGAGCCTAGCCTATTTTTATTTTCTTTAAAGAATCTTAAGGACAATCAAAAGTCAGCCTTTATTAAAAGGAAAGAGGGCCGGGAATGTTGGCTCAAGCCTGTAATCCCAGCACCTCCGGAGGCCAAGGCAGGCAAATCATGAGGTCAGGTGTTCGAGACCAGCCTAGCCAACATGGCGAAACCCTTTCTCTACTAAAGATACAAAAAATTAGCCGGGCATGGTGGTGCACACCTGTAATCCCAGCTACTCGGGAGGCTGAGGCAGGAGAAATCTCTTGAACCCAGGAGGCAGAGGTTGCAGTGAGCTGAGATCACGCCATTGCACTCCAGCCTGGGCAACGGGGCAAGACTCTGTCTCAAAAAAAAAAAAAAAAAAAAAAAAGAGCCCAGTGCAGTTGCTCCCACCTGTAATCCCAGGAGTTCAAAGACCAGCCTGGGCAACACAGGAAGACCCCATCTCTACAAAAAAAAGAAAACAATTAGCCAGGTATGGCTGGGTGGGAACTTATAATCCTAGCTACTTGGGAGACTGTGGCAGGAAGATATCCCAGGAGTGTATGTGTGTGTGTGTGTGTGTGTGTATATATAGACACATATATACATATATATGTGTGTGTGTGTGTGTGTGTGTGTGTGTATATATATGTATTTCTTTTTTTTTCTTGTAGAAATGAGGTCTCGCTGTGTTGCCCAGGCTGGTCTCAAATTCCTGGCCTCAAGCAATCTTCCTGCCTCGGCCTCCCAAAGTACTGGGATGACAGGCATGAGCCACCACGACCAGATGCATGGTAAATTTTGTGTTTTATGTATCGTACCACACACACGAAAATTTAAAAAACATCTGGCTATGCATGTCTTTCAAAGCAACAGCAATTGTTCTGAGAGATTAAAGTCACCATTGAAGAACCTGCATTATCGTTTATTGTGATCCTAATTCGGTCCACAGTAACAATTGAAACTGCCTCGACTAAATTTTAAGTTTCTGGGGCAGCACCACCTGAAGGCAGCGACTGCCTTTTTAAAAGACAGGGTTCTGACATTCAGAGATTTCTGTTTCTCTATCCATCATTTTTGGGCATCTTGAATCACCTGATTTAGAGTCAGTGACATCCTGACTGGATTGGTTCTGCTCTCGCTGGGCGGGTGAGACCCCCAGACCCACGTCCACAGTGCACCTGATGTTCTCCCAGCGGTCGTCACTTCCCCAAGGAGGCCAGGTAGGCATACCAGAACAGAGCTGCCAGGTTGGCGAAGAGCACCCGGAACTGCCGAAAAGAACAGTCCAACAGGCCACGGTCAGCGGGAGGCCGTGGCCAGTTATCCAGCCTCAGTCACCCAGTTCATTTGTTTACCCGTTTGTTGGTCAGCTGGTCCAACCACCCATCCATTACTGCATTTACTGAGCCTTTGTTCGTACCAAACGCTGTGCTAGGCCCCTAGCAGAGAGGAGTGGAGAAGAAAAACGGTCCCCTAGTTACAGTGTTCACAGGCTACAGCGGCCCAGGAATCCCAAAGCCAAGTCACTCTCCTTTTGCCCCCTTCACCGCACACCTTAGCTCCTGGTTCAGCCTCTCTCACTCCAGGACCAGCCATCATGCAGGTGGCTGCACCCTCCTCAGGGGACACAGCTGACGAACAGCGGAGGGGCCCCAGACCTTCCCTCCTCTAACCCATCACCATCCCACTGCCCTGCTTTGGTGACTCAGCAGCTTCACCCTTCCCCAGAATCCTCTGGCCCAGTGCTGAGTCTCTCCCTGGCACGTGGTGCTATGAAAGTAGCAGCCCATGTGTCTGGTTAATCGCCGCGTCTCCGAGTCTAGCAGCATGGCGCACAGTCACTGCTCAGGAAACGCTTGCTGAATGAATGCTGCTTCCGCATACACCTGCACCCACCTAGGATGGCGACTCTGCCCCCACGCTACTCAGAGGCGCGGCTTCCCAGCTCTCCCCTCTTCCATCCCAGATCCTCCGTGTTCCCGGCCAGTCTGTCTTCTCAGTTGTCTCTGCTTCCTTCTCTAAATTCCCGAGAACCAGTGGCCCATGGCTGTAGCTTCCTTAGCCTACTGTTCTTCAGTCACACTCCCTGGAAAATCCTTTATCCTTCCTGCCTTCTCACTTCCCCAGATGCTGACCACAGCTGGACAAGCCCCAGCCCCCTCTGCCCAGAGGTCTTTGTCTCTGCAGTCAGCATGCTCTCCCATCCTCCACATGGCCAAACTTGCCCCTCCTGTATCCCCTTAAAATGCCCGCCTGACTTCCTCTGCCCTCAGTCCCAGCCCCTGGCCCTCCAGAGAGGCACGTGGGGGCTTGAGGCAGGATGTCCCACTCTCCTGTCCGCTCAGCTGTCACTTTCTCTCTCCTCTCTCATCACAGAGGGCAGGGCCTCTGTCCAAGCACCACTGTGAGTGTGCTGGGGGCTCACATCCACCCTGACTCCTTAGGGGACCCCGCAGAGCTGCTCTTTCTGGACATGCGTGTTTGCCCATCCCACAAGCAGCTTCACGTCTGCACCCACCATGGCCGCATCTCTGAGTGTCAGAACCCCCTCTGCCACCCAGCCTTCTTCCATCACTTCTCACCTTCTCTCAAACTTTTTAAAATTCATTTTTATAAAATAGAGATGGGGTCTCACTATGTTGCCCAGACTGGTCTCAAACTCCTGGCTTTGAGTGATCCTTCTGCCTCAGCCTCTCAAAGTTCTGGGATTACAGGCATGAGCCACCATGCCTGGCCCCCACAGACTTTGAGAGCATGTTCTAGACTTGTGATTTTTAAAATAATTCCCACCCACTCTTCAAGGCAATCTGGCTTCAGCCCCATAGAGCTGAAATTGCTCTGGGAAGGGCCACTGTTAAAGCCAAAGGAAATTTTTTTATTTTGCTTTAACTCCTGGCAACTTTGGCTAAGGGTGAACTGCCTCTTTGTCCTGTCTGTGTGCACCCCTGGTTTCCTGCTGCTTCTTGGTGTGTTTGTGGTGTGTGCAGTGTGCACACACTGGGCCGCCTCCCTCCTCTCCCTCGGGGGTCACCCTGGTCCTTTCCTCCCTCCTGGGCAGGGCTCAGAGCCGGTGCTAATGCAGGAAGGCCCTCTGCAGCTGAGGTCCAGCCACTGCAGGCCTGTTCAGGTCCTCCCTAGCAGCAGCCTGGGCTGGGACGGCACCCACCTTTCCCAGAAGGGCCACCTGCCCTGTGCCTGGACTGTTTGCACCAACAATGCAGGCTCCACACAGCTGCTGTCTTTCTAGGGGTCTGGAGCTTTGGGGCAGCAGGCAGAGATGCCCGCCCAGAGTACCAGTAAAAAACCCTGATGGGCGGCATACCTTCTGGGGGAGGGAAGCACGTGGCCCCTGCAGGCTCTGCCAGGCCTCCTCCTGTAGCATCTGGGGGTATCCTGCCATGCTGCAGGGGGTGCTGCACCCCATCCTCCCAGTGTGGGAGTGGTCCTGGGGACCCTGGCTGTGCATAAAGACAGTTGATCCCAGTGGCAGAGCCTGGAGCTCCAGCCTCCACACCACCAGCCCAGCCCCAATCTGACACCTTTGACTCAGCCCCCACAGCAGCTCCTTCATGCACAGGATAGCGGAAAGGCTCAGCTTACCCAGAAGGCCTTCACTCTGCACCTGGATGGGCCCACCCCTTGCCCAGGTGTGGCTGCCATGGCTGCAGGTGAGGCAGCTCTTCCAGGCCAGCGGCAGGACCCATGGCCGCACAGTGCCTGCCTTCAGGCTCAGCTGTAATTCATGAGCCCAGGGACCACGAATGCTTTGTTTCTTTTTAACATTTTATTTATTTTTTGAGACAGGGTCTTACTCTGTTGCCCAGGCTAGAGTGCAGTGGCACAATCTCAGCTCACTCCAACCTCCGTCTCCCGGATTCAAGTGATTCTTGTGCCTCAGCCACCTGAGTAGCTGGGACTACAGGCACCTGCCACCATGCCTGGCTAATTTTTGTATTTTTAGTAGAGATGGGGTTTCGCTATGTTGGCCAGGCTGGTCTCGAACTCCTGGCTTCAAGTGATTTGCCCACCTCAGCCTTCCATAGTGATGGGATTACAGGTGTGAGCTACTGTGACGGCCTTCTTTTTCTAAGTATAACTAGAGTTTATTTGGGCCAAGTTTGAGGACTGCAACCCAGGAGCATAGATTCAAGTTGCCTGCATGTACATTCCTGGGACTGGGAATGTTTCAAAGGCTAGAAAACTCATAGGCATCCCTGGCATGGGGGCTTTTAATGAGAATTTGCTGAACGAACAGAAGAGGCAAAGACGACCACTCGGGACACCCTTCTCTGTTGCTTCCTGAATCCCGAACTAGCAATGATTCAGGGTCATGGGCAAAATCCAAGGGTAGTTGAGGAGTCTAGACACGGATGAAACTAAGTCTAGCGGAAAACTACCAAAGAAAGAAGAGAAGAGAAAAGAAGAGGGGAGGGAGGGGGGGAGGAAAGAGGAAGGAAGGAAGGAAGGAAAAGGCTGACAAAGTAATGTTAGCAGAGGCTGAGCCCCGTGGCCCTCACCTTCAGAGGGACGTAGTTGATGTTGATGAACTGTAGTGGCGTCCACACCCGCCAGTTCATCCTCAGCGCCGGCCAGAAGCCCCCCCTCATCTTGGCGGCGAAGGCTGAGGCGTCTTTCCCCTGCAAAGGAGGGAAGGCGGGTGGTGAACAGTCTCACTGCCCATCAGAACTGAATTCCGGGCACCCAGACCCTATCGTGATGGTTTTTAAACTGCTATTGGATTTTGTTCTGTGTGTACGCAGACAGCACACATGTGTACTCAGCACTGCGGCTCTAAGGAGCCAACCAGCAAGATGGAAAATGATCAGTGAGATGCCAGACAGCAGCCTGCTCATGCTGGCAGTGATGTCTGTCCTGGCCCAAAACTCCTTGCGGACAACTGGAGGAGGTGACTCCCAAGGCTGGCCCTGGGCACCAGAACTGCTACTCAGAGCTACGCTGTCAATTCCTCCCAAATAACCTCCAAAGTCGATGTCTTTCCAATCAAAACTTGTTAGGAGTTATGAAAAAAAAAAAAAAAGGACTCCAGTAAGTTCATTCTAAATGTCAGCTGGTGGATTCAAGACCTGAACCCAAGACCTGACACCATAAAGATCCTAGGAGCAATTCCTCTGGACGTCCGCCAAGACAAAGAATTTGTGACTAAGTGCTCAAAAGCAAATACAGCAAAACCAAAAACAGACAAACAGGACTTCATTAAACAAAAAAGCTTCTGCACAGCAAAAGAAACAATCAACAGACAGTCTACAGCCTGGGAAAAAATATATGCATATTATGCATCCTACAAAGGACTGTTATCCAGAATCTGTGAGGAACTTACACAACTCAACAAGAAAGAAATGAATAACCTCATTAAAAAAGTGGGCAACGGATACAAACATTTTTCAAAAGAAGAAAAACAAGTGGCCAAGAAACATATGAAAAAATGTTCAACATCACTAATCATCAGAGAAATGCAAATTAAAACCACAAGGAGATACCACCTCACGCGAGTCAGAATGGCTATTATTAAAAAGTCAAGTGGCCAGGCGCGGTGGCTCATGACCGTAATTTAAGCACTTTGGGAGGCTGAGGTGGGCGGATCACGAGGTCAGCAGTTTGAGACCAGCCTGACCAACATGGGAAAACCCTGTCTCTACCAAAAAAAAAAAATACAAAAATTAGTTGGGCATGGTGGCGTGTGCCTGTAATCCCAGCTACTCAGGAGGCTGAGGCAGGAGAATCACTTGAACCCGGGAGGCGGAGGTTGCGGTGAGCCGAGATCGTGCCACTGCACTCCAGCCTGGCTGACACAGTGAAACTCTGCCTCAAAAAAAAAAAAAAAAAGGTCAAAAAACAATAGATGCTGGCAAGAATGTGGAGAAAAGTGAACACTTACACACTGCTGGTGGGAATGCAAATTAGTACAGCCCTTCTGGAAAACAGTATGGAAATTTCTCAAAGACCTGAAAATAGAACCACCATTCGATCCAGCAATCCCACTACTGGGCCTCTACCCAAAGGAAAAGGAATCATATCAAACAATCCCTGCCCTCGTGTGTTTATCACAGCGCTATCCACAACAGCAAACACGTGGAATCAACCTAAACGTCCCCCAACAGAGGACTGGATAAAGAAAAAGTGCCATAAATACACCACGGAACACTACTCTGCTATAAAAAAAAGAATGAACTCGGCCGCGCACGGTGGCTCACGCCTGTAATCTCAGCACTTTGGGAGGCTGAGGCAGGAAAATCGTTGAACCTGGGGGGCGGAGGTTGCAGTGAGATGAGATTGCGCCACTACACTCCAGCCTGGATGAAAGAGCGAGACTCTGTGTCAAAAAAAAAAAAAAAAAAAAAAGCATGTCTTTTGCAGTGACGTCGATTGAACCGGGGGCCATTATCCCAAGTGAAACAACTCACCAATGGAAAGTCAAACACTGCATGTTCTCACTTTTTTTTTCCAAGACAGGGTCTCGCCATCTCACTCTGTTGCCCATGCTGGCTGGAGTGCAGTGGCGTGATGTCGGCTCACTTGGCCTCAACCTCCTGACATCAAGCCTCCGTCTCAGCCTCCTGAGTAGCTGGGACTACAGCCATGTGCCACCACAACCCTTTGATTTTTAATTTTTTTGTAGAGAAGGGGTCTCACTCTGTTGCCCAGGCTGGTCTCGACATCCTGGGTTCAAGTGACCTTCCTGCCTCAGCCGATGTTCTCACTCATAAGTGGTGGCTAAACAGTGGGTATACATGGACCAACAGAGGGAAATAACAGACACCAGAGACTTGAAAAGGTGGCGGGGAGAAGAGGGTTGAAAATCACCACTGACTACTTGGGTGATGGGAAGTAAAAGCTCAGACTTCACCACAGCACAGTCACATAAGAAATCTGCACTCGTACCCTCTAAATATATACAAACTAAAAAAAATTTTTAAAGAAATGCTTAAATATTTTCTTGTTTAAAGTAAGGGGGAGAAGCTGGGTACAGTGGCTCATGCCTGTAATGCCAAGGTGGGCATATCACTTGAGGCCAGGAGTTCAAGACCAGCCTGGCCAACACAGAGGAACCCCATTGCTACTAAAAATACAAAAATTAGCCAGGCGTGGTGGTGGGCGCCTGTTGTCCCAGCTACTCTGGAGGCTGAGACATGAAAATCACTTGAACCCGAGAGGCGGAGGTTGCAGTGAGCCGATATTGTGCCACCACACTCCAGCCTGGGCGAGAGTGAGACTCCATCTCAAAAAAAAGAAAATAATCCAGCAAAAGAACAAAGAGTGCAGATAATTGCCTGTACAGATGGAAATGAGAATATTTCAAAATACTGGGGATTGCCCAATAAATGGTAATGAGAAAATTTGCTATGTAAGTGGAAAAATCAACACAGAAGTCTATCTCCTACTGTACACAAGTAAAACCATAAGAATACCGGAGGAAAGCAGAGGAGAATATTTCTATTATCTTCCTGTAAGGAAAGGCATGAAGGAGAATAATGTCATGTTTGAATACATGAACCTTTATAACTTCTGTATGGAGAAGTGAATGGTTAAAACAAATTTACTTTCAGGACAGAAGGTGACGCCAGGTGCAGTGGCTCACACCTGTAATCCTAGCACTTTGAGAGACCGAGGCGGGTGGATCACGAGGTCAGGAGTTCAATACCAACCTGGCCAAGATGGTGAAACCCCGTCTCTACTAAAAACACAAAACAATTAGCCGGGCATGGTGGCGGGCACCTGCAATCCCAGCTATTTGGGAGGCTGAGGCAGAGAATTGCTTGAACCCAAGAGGCGAAGGTTGCAGTGAGCTGAGATCACGCACTACACTCCAGCCTGGGCAACAGTGTGAGACTCCGTCTCAAAAAAAAAAAAAAAAAGGTGACACGTCTCAGACACACAGCACAACCTGGCTGGTGCTCCTAGAGATGGTGAGGATTTGAAGGTGCTCGTGAACGGGGGAGGTGGGACAGTCAGAACAGACACACCTGCTGAGTGCAGGTGAACACGCCTCCCATGCGTTGGATTCTGACTGGGATTATGCCGGTAGGTTAACCTCCAGGCCCGGAACTCTTCTGTGTTATCAGTAGGGGTCTCAAACTTCTTGTGCCACAGATCTCTTTGGCAGTTTAGTGAAGCCTGTGGACCCCCTTCTCAGAATGTTTTGTAATCTATAAAATAAAATACGGCTGGGCGCAGTGGCTCACGCTTGTAATCCCAGCACTTTGGGAGGCCAAGGCAGGCGGATCACGAGGTCAGGAGTTCAAGACAAGCCTGGCCAACATGGTGAAACCCCATCTCTACTAAAAATACAAAAATAAGCTGGGTGTGGTAGCGGGCTCCTGTAATCCCAGCTACTCAGGAGGCTGAGGCAGGAGAATCGTTTGAACCCGGGAGGCAGAGGTTGCAGTGAGCTGAAATCGCACCACTGCACTCCAGCCTGGGCAACAGGGCGAGATTCTGCCTCAAAAATAAAAAATAAATAAATAAATAAATAAAATAGGACTACAAAGGAACCAATAATACTGAAATACAGTTATCAAAATATTCAGAAAAAATTTTGACAGACTAATGTGTTTATTTATTTATTTATTTATTTTTGTCTTTTGAACCAGTGTCTTGCTCTGTTACCCAGGCTGGAGTGCAGTGGTGTGATCTCTGCTCACTGCAGCCTCCACATCTTGGGCTCAAGGGATCTTCTCACCTCAGCCTCCCAAACAGCTGGAACTACAGGTGCACATCACCACACTGGCTCATTTTTTACTTTTTGAGAGATGGGTATTCGCCATGTTGCCCAGGCTGGTCCCGAACTCCTGGCCTCAAGCTATCCACTGGCCTTGGCCTCACAAAGTGCTGGGATTACAGGTGTGCACCATCATGCCCGGCCCTGTTTCTTTTTTCTTTTTTCTTTTTTTTTTGAGGCAGAGTCTTGCTCTGTTGCCCAGACTGGAGTGCAGTGGCACAATCTCAGCTCACCACAACCTCCACCTCCCGGCTTCAAGCGATTCTCCTGCCTCAGCCTCCCGAGTAGCTGGGATTACAAGCACGCACCACCATACCTGGCTAATTTGTTTTGTTTTGTTTTTTGTTTTTGAGACGGAGTCTGGCTCTATTACCCAGGCTAGAGTGCAGTGGCGACATCTCGGCTCACGGCAAGCTCCACCTCCCGGGTTCACGCCATTCTCCTGCCTCAGCCTCCCAAGTAGCTGGGACTACAGGCGACTGCCACTGTGCCCAGCTAAATTTTTTGTATTTTTAGTAGAGACGAGGTTTCACCATGTTGGCCAGGCTGGTCTCGAACTCCTGACCTCAGGTGATCCACCCGCCTCGCCCTCCCAAAGTGCTGGGATTACAGGTGTGAGCCACTGTGCCCGGCCTGTTTCTTTCTTTACACAGTGACAAGACCTCTAATGGCAGGTCCAAGTAGTAATGAGCATAAATTATATTTCGAGATATCTGTAACAACTGATGTGATATAAAAATATCTGATTAGCTGGGTGTGGTGGCACGCACATGTGGTCCCAGCTACTTGGGAGGCTGAGGCAAGAGGATCGCTTGAACCCAGGAGTTTGAGGTTTGCAGTGAGCTATGATTGTGCTACTGCACTGCAGCCTGGGTGACAGAGTGAAACCCTGTCTTTAAATAAATAAATAAATAAAGTGACTCTACTGGGTACAAACAGGTCCTGCCAATACTAGATGTTTGCTTCCTATATTCATAAAAGAAAATGCAAAATTTCAATTTGAGTGAAAAATCTGCAGACCCTCTGAATTCTGCCGAGAATGTCAGGTGAAGAATCCCTGTGCTAAACGAAGAGCTGCAGTAAGTGCTGTGGCAGACACCCACCTCCAGAAAGTTCATGATGAGGAAGAACAACATGAGGAAGGCCGGTGCAAAGACGAGGCGGTCCAGGAGAAGCCTCCTGAGCCCTGCCAGGGGGACCTCAGGAGGGATCCAATGTTCCATGAAGAAGTAGAAGAAGTGACTCAGCGGCCCTGTGAAGAAGAACCTGAGGCCCCCAGGGGGTGTGAGCCAGATTGTGGTTCTCTGGATGTGCTCTTCTCTGGTCTAGCTTCACCCCCAAATCCCAGGTCCTAACCCCTGCTTCCTGATGTCCCTCAGTATTGGCCACACAGGTCTGTACAGATAAGTCGGCTTCAGGGGCGCTCTGTCTCTGTTGCTCTAACAGACCAGACTTGCTCCTGCCGTTGACTCTCTGCTCCCAGCGCGTCCCCGCCTAGCTATGTTGGCTCGCTCCTCCTCACACTGTCAGCTTCCAGGTCGTCCCAGCACGTGTGCACGCCTGTGCTAACACTCTTGGCCCTGGTTCATTTTCTGCCTAGCACTGTCCTTATCTCATATGTTAGGTTAGTCTGTGCCTCTCGTCCCCCCTAGAAGGCAGGCTCCACAAGGGAGGCTACGTCTTCTGTCCACTGCAGTGCCCAGAACAGGGCCAGGCTTCGAGAAGCACTCAATAATGAATCATCAGACATGTCCCTGGTTGTGGAGCTTTTCATTAAACTCACTAGGCTAACTGGCAAGGGAACTCACTAGGTTAACTGGCAAGGGCACTCACTAGGCTAACAAACTGGCAAGGGAACTCACTAGGCTAACTAACTGGCAAGGGCACTCACTAGGCTAACTGGCAAGGGCACTCACTAACTGGCAAGGGCACTAACTGGCTAAGGGAGCTCACTAACTAACTGTCAAGGGCGCTCACTAACTAACTGTCAAGGGCGCTCACTAACTAACTGGCTAAGGGAGCTCATTAACTAACTGGCAAGGGAGCTCTCTAACTAACTGGCTAAGGGAGCTCACTAACTAACTGGCAAGGGCACTCACTAACTAACTGGCTAAGGGAGCTCACTAACTAACTGGCTAAGGGAGCTCACTAACTAACTGGCTAAGGGAGCTCACTAACTAACTGGCAAGGGAGCTCACTAACTAACTGGCTAAGGGAGCTCACTAACTGACTGGCAAGGGCGCTCACTAACTGACTGGCAAGGGCGCTCACTAACTAACTGGCTAAGGGAGCTCACTAACTGGCTAAGGGAGCTAACTAACTGGCTAAGGGCGCTCACTAACTAACTGGCAAGGGCGCTCACTAACTAACTGGCAAGGGCACTCACTAACTGACTAAGGGAGCTCACTAACTAACTGGCAAGGGAGCTCACTAACTGGCAAGGGAGCTCACTAACTGGCTAAGGGAGCTCACTAACTAACTGGCTAAGGGAGCTCACTAACTAACTGGCAAGGGAGCTCTCTAACTAGCTAAGGGAGCTCACTAACTGGCTAAGGGAGCTCACTAACTAACTGGCAAGGGCGCTCACTAACTAACTGGCAAGGGCGCTCACTATCTAACTGGCTAAGGGCGCTCACTTAACTAACTGGCAAGGGCGCTCACTAACTAACTGGCTAAGGGAGCTCACTAACTGGCTAAGGGAGCTCACTAACTAACTGGCTAAGGGAGCTCACTAACTGGCAAGGGCGCTCACTAACTAACTGGCAAGGGCGCTCACTAACTGGCAAGGGCGCTCACTAACTGGCAAGGGCGCTCACTAACTAACTGACTAAGGGAGCTCACTAACTAACTGGCAAGGGAGCTCACTAACTAACTGGCAAGGGAGCTCACTAACTGGCTAAGGGAGCTCACTAACTAACTGGCTAAGGGAGCTCACTAACTAACTGGCAAGGGAGCTCTCTAACTAGCTAAGGGAGCTCACTAACTGGCTAAGGGAGCTCACTAACTAACTGGCAAGGGCGCTCACTAACTAACTGGCAAGGGCGCTCACTAACTGGCTAAGGGCGCTCACTATCTAACTGGCTAAGGGCGCTCACTTAACTAACTGGCAAGGGCGCTCACTAACTAACTGGCTAAGGGAGCTCACTAACTAACTGGCAAGGGAGCTCACTAACTGGCTAAGGGAGCTCACTAACTAACTGGCAAGGGCGCTCACTAACTAACTGGCAAGGGCGCTCACTAACTGGCTAAGGGCGCTCACTATCTAACTGGCTAAGGGAGCTCACTAACTAACTGGCAAGGGAGCTCACTAACTAACTGGCAAGGGAGCTCACTAACTAACTGGCTAAGGGAGCTAACTAACTAACTGGCAAGGGCGCTCACTAACTAACTGGCTAAGGGAGCTCACTAACTAACTGGCAAGGGAGCTCACTAACTAACTGGCTAAGGGAGCTCACTAACTAACTGGCAAGGGCGCTCACTAACTAACTGGCAAGGGCGCTCACTAACTGGCAAGGGCGCTCACTGACTGGCAAGGGCGCTCACTAACTAACTGGCAAGGGCGCTCACTAACTGGCAAGGGCGCTCACTAACTAACTGACTAAGGGAGCTCACTAACTAACTGGCAAGGGAGCTCACTAACTAACTGGCAAGGGAGCTCACTAACTGGCTAAGGGAGCTCACTAACTAACTGGCTAAGGGAGCTCACTAACTAACTGGCAAGGGAGCTCACTAACTAACTAAGGGAGCTCACTAACTGGCTAAGGGAGCTCACTAACTAACTGGCAAGGGTGCTCACTAACTAACTGGCAAGGGCGCTCACTAACTAACTGGCTAAGGGCGCTCACTATCTAACTGGCTAAGGGCGCTCACTTAACTAACTGGCAAGGGCACTCACTAACTGGCAAGGGAGCTCACTAACTGGCTAAGGGAGCTCACTAACTAACTGGCTAAGGGAGCTCACTAACTAACTGGCAAGGGAGCTCACTAACTAACTAAGGGAGCTCACTAACTGGCTAAGGGAGCTCACTAACTAACTGGCAAGGGTGCTCACTAACTAACTGGCAAGGGCGCTCACTAACTAACTGGCTAAGGGCGCTCACTATCTAACTGGCTAAGGGCGCTCACTTAACTAACTGGCAAGGGCGCTCACTAACTGGCAAGGGAGCTCACTAACTGGCTAAGGGAGCTCACTAACTAACTGGCAAGGGCGCTCACTAACTGGCAAGGGCGCTCACTAACTAACTGACTAAGGGAGCTCACTAACTAACTGGCAAGGGAGCTCACTAACTAACTGGCAAGGGAGCTCACTAACTGGCTAAGGGAGCTCACTAACTAACTGGCTAAGGGAGCTCACTAACTAACTGGCAAGGGAGCTCTCTAACTAGCTAAGGGAGCTCACTAACTGGCTAAGGGAGCTCACTAACTAACTGGCAAGGGTGCTCACTAACTAACTGGCAAGGGCGCTCACTAACTAACTGGCTAAGGGCGCTCACTAACTAACTGGCTAAGGGCGCTCACTATCTAACTGGCTAAGGGCGCTCACTTAACTAACTGGCAAGGGCGCTCACTAACTAACTGGCAAGGGTGCTCACTAACTAACTGGCAAGGGCGCTCACTAACTAACTGGCAAGGGAGCTCACTAACTAACTGGCTAAGGGAGCTCACTAATTAACTGGCAAGGGAGCTCACTAACTAACTGGCTAAGGGCGCTCACTAACTAACTGGCTAAGGGAGCTCACTAATTAACTGGCTAAGGGAGCTCACTAACTAACTGGCAAGGGAGCTCACTAACTAACTGGCTAAGGGCGCTCACTAACTAACTGGCTAAGGGAGCTCACTAATTAACTGGCAAGGGAGCTCACTAACTAACTGGCTAAGGGAGCTCACTAACTAACTGGCTCAGGGAGCTCACTAACTAACTGGCTAAGGGCGCTCACTAACTAACTGGCTAAGGGAGCTCACTAACTAACTGGCTAAGGGAGCTCACTAACTGGCAAGGGAGCTCACTAACTAACTGGCTAAGGGAGCTCACTAACTAACTGGCAAGGGCGCTCACTAACTAACTGGCTCAGGGAGCTCACTACCTAACTGGCTCAGGGAGCTCACTAACTGGCAAGGGAGCTCACTAACTAACTGGCAAGGGTGCTCACTAACTAACTGGCAAGGGAGCTCACTAACTAACTGGCAAGGGCAGGACCTGGTGCAGCACTCTAGGTTGTGTGCGTTGCTACTAATCATTCCCCTGTGTGTTTGGGAGAGAATGGAACCAGCTGCCACATCTACTGGGACAAGAGGCCTGCAGTTCCATAAAATTCAGCAACAAAAAGAGGGGTCTTTCAACTTGTGACGTTGACAGTCTTTAGATAAGTGGTTCTCAGTGTTTTTTCCCACCCAGTCATAGGGGGTTATGTGGCCTATGCAGGGATTCTCAGTGGGGAAGGGGACTGAAGTCCTGTGGATGGGAAAACTGTACTTGGATGAGGCCTGCTAGGTGATCTCATCACCTGCCCCTCTTGGGGGGATTACTGCTTTAAATACAGTATGGAAAAATCCATGATGACTCAAGTTAGCAAGCTTGGAAGTATAAAAATGATCTTCAGGAATTCTGAATTAAAGAAAACATCACTGTAGTTGGAAAATACTTCACATTACTGTTGGCCGAGAGCTCACGGTGGATTAAATTGGTAAAACTCTTGAATTACTGTGCTTTTGCAACTCAGAAAGTGGTTCAGAAACTGGACATTTTTCAGGGTACCGAAGCATTTATTTTCTGGATGTTTACACTATGAAAATAACAATAGAGGCCAGGCACTGTGGCTCGCGCCTGTAATCCCAGCACTTTGGGAGGCCAAGGTGGGCGGATCACGAGGTCAGGAGATCCAGACCATCCTGTGAATGGTGAAACCCCGTCTCTACTAAAAATACAAAAAATTAGCCGGGCGTGGTGGCAGGTGCCTGTAGTCCCAGCTACTCGGGAGACTGAGTCGGGAGAATGGCGTGAACCCAGGAGGCAGAGCTTGCAGTAAGCCAAGATCGCGCCACCGCACTCCAGTCTGGGCAGCAGAGTGAGATTCCGTCTCAAAAAAAAAAAAAAAAAATTAAAATAACAATAGAAACTAACTGGTCAAATTGGAGTCAGTTTTCCCTTTCCATGAGCCCAGTCTAGGACGCTTTCAGGGTTTTTGAATCCTGAAGTCTGACTTTAGGTTAAGTTGAGTTACTTGTCCTCAGGTTTGCCTCTCAGCCCAATTAAGACAGTCACCCCTACCCATCCAATTAAAAAGAAACATGATAAAACCACAAATGTGAGCCTGTACTCCTAGCACTGTAATCCCAGCACTTTGGGAGGCCAAGGAAGGTGGATCACTTGAGGTCAGGAGTTCAAGACCAGCCTGGCCAACATGGTGAAACCCCATCTCTACTAAAAATAACAAAAATTAGCTGGGCATGGCGGTGTGTGCCTGTAATCCCAGCTATTTGAGAGGCTGAGGCAGGAGAATCACTTGAACCAGAGAGGCAGAGGTTGCAGTAAGCCTGGGTGACAGAGTGAGACTCTGTCTCCAAAAAAAAAGAAAAAACAAAAAAAACCACGTATGCGTATATATGCCATACAAACTATATGAACCATTCGAGTTTTTTCCCATGATGATTACTACAATGGTTTTTAAAAAATTATATTTCCAAATAAGAGTACTCCAACTACTCGGTTTTGGTGCCCAGCTTGGTTGCACTCAGCGGCTACAAGGTAAACCCACCCCTTGTATGGCACTCACCCGTAAACGGCATATCTCAGAGGCCCACCGACATCCAGACTTCTAGAGTTTTCTTTTTTCCGCTTCTTCTCAATCATCTGGGCCAGGAAGTTCCCAAGTGCTGACAAAATGCCACTGTGGAGAGGGAGGTCATCAGAAAACAGCAGTGACCAGCAGGAGGGTGTCCCTTTCCCATAGGTGAATTAGCAGGGCCGTTCTGAGGCCATGCAGCAGATGGGCGGGGGGTAGGAATTCTTGTTAAAGCGGCTGCAATGTATAGTTCTTGTATCAAAAGGTGGAGACGGTGGACTTAAACACACAGGTAAGGACAAGTGGCTTTCCAGTATCTATGTCAACATCCTGGCTGTGATGTTATACTATAATTTGGCAGTTTGGGAGTTGGGAAGCTGTGTGGTTATGAACGGGCAACAGGACAGCCCTATCATGACGCTGTTCTGCATTTTGACTGTGGTAGTGAACACAAGAATGTACAGATGTGATAAAACTGTACAGAACAGATACAGCTACAAGAAAAATGGAGAAATCCGAATAGGATCTGTGGACTGTGTCCACGCAATGCCCTGGTCGATACTGCACTACGTTTCACAGAATGTAACCAATGGGGGACACTGGGAAGGTGTGCAAGGAATCTCTCCATGTTAGTCTTGTAACTGTTTGTGAATCTACAATTATCACAATAAAAATTTCCATAAAAAGGTGGAACAGGCCCAGTGGCTCCCTCCAGGCCTTGGTTTGTATTTGCCTTCTGAGAAGCTCTCTGGACTATAAAATCCAAAATTCCTAGCACGGACCTAGACACCTTCTCGATCAGATCCCTGGCGATTCCCTTCACATCTCCTGCCTCTTGCTCAGGGTTCACTTTCTCCACACACAGATCTTCCCTCCCTCGGGACTGAGTCCAAGCTGCACCTCTCTCCGCCTTTCTTTAACGCCGGCCTTCCCTTCAAAACCTAACAGAGACCTTTGCCCTGCTGTTCCCTGTGCCAGGAGAGCCTCTGCTCCACTTCTTTACACAGCCTGTTCAATGTCACCTTCTCAAAACACCTTCCCTGGCCGTGTCTCCACCCGCGCCGTGCGGACCCGCGCCCCGCAGACTCGCTCCCTTGGCCCTGTCTCCACACGCTCCATGTGGACCCGCTCCCCTGGCCCTGTCTTCACCCGCACCACGCAGACCCGCTCCCTTGGCCCTGTCTTTACCCGTGCCCCGCAGACCCGCTCCCCTCGCCCTGTCTTCACCCGCGCCCCGCAGACCCGCTCCCTTGGCCCTGTCTTCACCCGCGCCCCGCAGACCCGCTCCCTTGGCCCTGTCTCCACCCGCGCCATGAGGACCCGCTCCCCTGGCCCTGTCTTTACCCGCGCCCCCAAGACCCGCTCCCCTGGCGCTGTCTTCACCCGCGCCCCGCAGACTCGCTCCCTTGGCCCTGTCTCCACACGCTCCATGAGGACCCGCTCCCCTGGCCCTGTCTTCACCCGTGCCCCGCAGACCCGCTCCCCTGGCCCTGTCTTCACCCGCGCCCCCAAGACCCGCTCCCCTCGCCCTGTCTTCACCCGTGCCCCGCAGACCCGCTCCCCTGGCCCTGTCTTCACCCGCGCCCCCAAGACCCGCTCCCCTCGCCCTGTCTTCACCCGTGCCCCGCAGACCCGCTCCCCTGGCCCTGTCTTCACCCGCGCCCCCAAGACCCGCTCCCCTCGCCCTGTCTTCACCCGTGCCCCGCAGACCCGCTCCCCTGGCCCTGTCTTCACCCGCACCACGCAGACCCGCTCCCTTGGCCCTGTCTTTACCCGTGCCCCGCAGACCCGCTCCCCTCGCCCTGTCTTCACCCGCGCCCCGCAGACCCGCTCCCTTGGCCCTGTCTTCACCCGCGCCCCGCAGACCCGCTCCCTTGGCCCTGTCTCCACCCGCGCCATGAGGACCCGCTCCCCTGGCCCTGTCTTTACCCGCGCCCCCAAGACCCGCTCCCCTGGCGCTGTCTTCACCCGCGCCCCGCAGACTCGCTCCCTTGGCCCTGTCTCCACACGCTCCATGAGGACCCGCTCCCCTGGCCCTGTCTTCACCCGTGCCCCGCAGACCCGCTCCCCTGGCCCTGTCTTCACCCGCGCCCCGCAGACCCGCTCCCCTCGCCCTGTCTTCACCCGCGCCCCCAAGACCCGCTCCCCTCGCCCTGTCTTCACCCGCGCCCCGCAGACCCGCTCCCCTCGCCCTGTCTTCACCCGCGCCCCGCAGACCCGCTCCCCTCGCCCTGTCTTCACCCGCGCCTGCGGACCCGCTCCCCTTGCCGTGGCTTCCCCGGGCGCGCGGGGCCCCTGTTGGGTCCTTGGGTGGAACCTCAGCGCCGACCCCCGGGTCTGGGCGGGCCCTCCACGCGCTGGGAGGGCGGGATCCGCAAGGCGCCTCACAATCGCTGACTGCGGACGCGGGTGTCGCCGCGGGAAGTTCAGCGCCGGGTCGGAGGGCGCCCGCTCCGGGGGTTCTGACCCGGGCGCGCCCCCAGCCTGGTCCCGGCCCGGCGCTCCCGTCCAGGCCCCGCGCCGCTGCGGCCGACCTGGGGCCGGGGCGGCGTCCGATTCCCGCGCCCCCGCTCACCTGGTGGCCGCCTTGGTGAGCACCGGGTAGAGCCGCAGGAAGAGCAGGTACTGGGCGAGCGCCCGCCGCGGCAGCGCCCCGAGCCCGGCTTCGGCCCGCAGCCTGGACGCGGCCGGCGCCATCGCCTCCCCAGCGCCGTGCCGCCGGGGGCACCGACCCCACCTCAGGCTGGCCGGGCGCGGAGCCCGAGGCGCCGAGAGCGGAGTGGGGACCGCCTGACATTTCCGGCCCCACCGCGGCCCGCAGCGCCGCCCGGTCCCAACCCCACGGTGCGCCGCGCGCGCCTACCACACACTTTTCCCCGGTCCCTGCCGGCCACCTCCCCCGCCGGGCGCCGGCGCCAATTGGAGCGCCTCGGGGGGCGGGGGAGGGGCGGAGCGCGCCTCTTGATGGACGGCGGCATTTCCGGCTCTCGCGAGTCTGGGTGGGAGCGCGCCAAATTTCTCCCCTGAAGCAGAGGTGGTAGCCAACGGCTCCATGTCTCTGAGGAGCGGCGGGCGGCGGCGCGCGGACCCAGGCGCGGATGGCGAGGCCAGCAGGTGAGGGGCGCCCTCCTGAGGCTCTCGGGCCGGCCCTCCGGAGGGTGCCATGGGGCCGTCCTCGGCTGGCGCCGCCGAGGCGGGAGGGAGGCCCGGTTCCCGCAGCCGCCCGCACTCGCCGCGCCTGACTGGGGTAGGGCGGCGCGCCCCGACCGCCGACGGAGGGGCTCGGGGCGGGCGGAGGCGCTACGGGCGCGGCTTCTTTGCGGGGAAACGAGGCGGGCCGCGCGGCCTTTCCCTGCTCGGCTCTTTCTGAGGTTTTTCGGGCCTCGCCTTCCGCGCAGCTGCGTTTGGGACCTGCCGCGCGGCGGGGGCGATGAGAGCGGCGGGACCCGGGCCAGGCCCTGCGGGGTGGACGCGCGGCTGGGGAGGGTGCGGGGAGGGGCGGGGCCGGGGACCCTGCCTGGGGGCCTAGCGCTGGGGGAGGCCGAGGCGGGCGGATCGCTGGAGCCCAGGATCCTGTTCTAGATCAGCCTGGGCTACAGAGAGAGACCTCGTCTCCTCTGTTTTATTTTTTTGGGCAGGGAGTCCCGCTCTGTCGCCCAGGCTGGAGTGCAGTGGCGCGATCTCGGCTCACTGCAACCTCTGCTTCCCGGGTTCAAGCGATCCCGCTGCCTCAGCCTCCCGAGTAGCTGGAATTACAGGCGCCCGCCACCAGGCCCGGCTAGTTTTTGTATTTTTAGTAGAGACCGGGTTTCACCATGTTGGCCAGGCTGGTCTCGAACTCCTGACCTCAGGTGATCCGCCCGCCTCGGCCTTCCAAAGTGCTGGGATTACAGACGTGAGACTCCGCGCCCGGCCCTTCTCTTGTAAAAACAAGAAAAATTAGACAGGCTGGTGGTGCGCGCCCGAGGTCCCAGCTATTAATACTCCCGAATCCGAGCCGGAGGTTCACCTGAGCCCGGCAGGTCAAGGCTGCTGTGAGCCGGGATCGCGCCACCGCACTCCAGCCTGGGCGACGGAGCCAGACCCAGTCTCAAAAAAAATAGAGCAAGGATAAGACGCGGCTGCTTGGTGGCCAGAGCAAACGGTAAACATGACCGGAGGACTGGCCTGCCATAAGCAGAAAACGGATGAGGCCCGGCGCGGTGGCTCACACCTGTAATCCCAGCACTTTGGGAGGCCGAGGCAGGAGGATCACCTGAGGTCAGGAGTTCGAGACCAGCCTGACCAACATGGAGAAATCCCGTCTCCACTAAAAAAATACAAAATTAGCGGGGCGTGGTGGCGCATGCCTGTAATCCCAGCTACGCAGGAGGCTGAGGCAGGAGAATCACTTGAACGCGGCAGGCGGAGGTTGCGGTGAACCGAGATCGCGCCATTGCACTCCAGGCTGGGCAACAAAGAATGAAACTCTGTCTCAAAAAAAAAAAAATAGAAAAAACGTGTGAGAACGTGAAGCTTTTTACAGACACTTAGCTGAACAAAATTCTTCCCAGAGGAGAAACCAAGTGGTAAGGATCCCTAACTGCTGTTGTGCTCATCGCTGTCTGTCCATATCAGGCAAGCCCTAGAGAGGCAGGTACCCTTAGGGTCTACATGGTGTGTTGGAACTTGGAGCTTAGAGACGGTTACTGACTGCCCTGCTTCAGGACACAGGACTGCACTCACGTGCTCCACTCCACTGCCCTGCCCCAAGCTCAGTGATGGCCTCCAGGCAGGGGGAAGGCTGCTGCTGGGATAAGTACAAGTGATGGCTTTTACCTTACATGCTTTATGTGGGTTACCTCATCTCATCCTTAAAACAGTCCTGGGAGGTGAGTGTGCCCCAGGAGGCAGTGGGTGCTGTTTGCCTGCGTTTCTTCTTGTGTGAAATGGGGACACCAGTGGCCTCCCTCGTAGGGGTTGTCATGAAAACTGAATGAGAGCATATGTGGAGTACTGGGACGGTGTGATACAGTAACCAGTCAATGGTAGCTCTCTGTGAATGAGAGCCTGTGTGGAGTACTGGGACAGTGTGATACAGTAACCAGTCAATGGTAGCTCTCTGTGAATGAGAGCCTGTGTGTAGTACTGGGACGGTGTGATACAGTAACCAGTCAATGGTAGCTCTGTGAATGAAAGCCTGTGTGGAGTACTGGGACGGTGTGATATAGTAACCAGTCAATGGTAGCTCTCTGTGAATGAGAGCCTGTGTGGAGTACTGGGACGGTGTGATATAGTAACCAGTCAATGGTAGCTCTGTGAATGAGAGCCTGTGGAGTACTGGGATTGTGTGATACAGTAACCAGTCAATGGTAGCTCTCTGTGAATGAGAGCCTGTGTGGAGTACTGGGACGGTGTGATACAGTAACCAGTCAATGGTAGCTCTCTGTGAATGAGAGCCTGTGTGGAGTACTGGGACGGTGTGATATAGTAACCAGTCAATGGTAGCTCTCTGTGAATGAGAGCCTGTGTGGAGTACTGGGACGGTGTGATATAGTAACCAGTCAATGGTAGCTCTGTGAATGAGAGCCTGTGTGGAGTACTGGGACGGTGTGATACAGTAACCAGTCAATGGTAGCTCTCTGTGAATGAGAGCCTGTGTGGAGTACTGGGACGGTGTGATACAGTAACCAGTCAATGGTAGCTCTCTGTGAATGAGAGCCTGTGTGGAGTACTGGGACGGTGTGATACAGTAACCAGTCAATGGTAGCTCTCTGTGAATGAGAGCCTGTGTGGAGTACTGGGACGGTGTGATACAGTAACCAGTCAATGGTAGCTCTCTGTGAATGAGAGCCTGTGTGGAGTACTGGGACGGTGTGATATAGTAACCAGTCAATGGTAGCTCTGTGAATGAGAGCCTGTGTGGAGTACTGGGACGGTGTGATATAGTAACCAGTCAATGGTAGCTCTGTGAATGAGAGCCTGTGTGGAGTACTGGGACGGTGTGATACAGTAACCAGTCAATGGTAGCTCTCTGTGAATGAGAGCCTGTGTGGAGTACTGGGACGGTGTGATATAGTAACCAGTCAATGGTAGCTCTGTGAATGAGAGCCTGTGTGGAGTACTGGGACGGTGTGATACAGTAACCAGTCAATGGTAGCTCTCTGTGAATGAGAGCCTGTGTGGAGTACTGGGACGGTGTGATACAGTAACCAGTCAATGGTAGCTCTCTGTGAATGAGAGCCTGTGTGGAGTACTGGGACGGTGTGATACAGTAACCAGTCAGTGGTAGCTCTCTGTGAATGAGAGCCTGTGTGGAGTACTGGGACGGTGTGATACAGTAACCAGTCAATGGTAGCTCTCTGTGAATGAGAGCCTGTGTGGAGTACTGGGACGGTGTGATATAGTAACCAGTCAATGGTAGCTCTCTGTGAATGAGAGCCTGTGTGGAGTACTGGGACGGTGTGATATAGTAACCAGTCGATGGTAGCTCCCTGTGTGACACTTATCCCCATTTTTCAGATTTCTTACTGTCCCTGGATTAAAAGTGAGATACACAGCTCAGAGAAAGCAGTTTTGGGAGGAAATATGGTCCCAGTGAGCAGTTTTCTAGTCTACTTAATCCAACTTACTTGAGGCAAGGATATTTGGAGGACTGGCATAGAGGGCCGTGCGCCCCTGTTAAGAGGTGATGCCTCGTAAATAGCACTTCATTCACTCTTGATTTTGATAAAGATCTGGGACTCAGAACTGAGGCTGTTCTCTAGCAAGATTTGGAATATAGTTTTTCTGTGTTTTTGATTACGGGTGCATTCAACTATTTAAAAGATTAAACCTTTATTATACAGTATGGTGGTGTATCAGTTTCCTATTGCTGCAGTAACACATGATCACTTAGTGACTATATAAATTTATTCTCTTACGGTTTTAGAAGTCAGAAGTCGTAATATGAAAGTGTCTGGTTGGTTATATTTATTGTGATGGTTCCCGGGGGAGAATCTGTTTCCTTGCTGCTTCTTCATCTTCAGAACCAAGGGTTGCATCTCCTCTCCCCCCTACCCTCTCTCTCCCATCCCTTTCTCCTTCCTGACTCTAGCTCTCCTGCCTCACTCTACAAGGATTCTTGTGATTACACTGCGCCCACCCAGCTAAGCAGAATCTCAAGGCCCTTAATTTAGTCAGATCTGCAAAGACCCTTTTGTCTTGTAAGATAACATTCACAGGTTTGGGGGATTAGGATGTGGGTCTTTCATGGGGGGTGTCATCCTGCCTGCCTACCACAAGTGGTTATAATCTTTCATGAGAAGTAAGGATCCTAGTCTTGGAATATGGTCATTCTGCTCTTGAGTTGAAGGTGATCCAAGGAATACCTTCAGACAAAGGAAGGGTCTTCCTTTCTTTTTTTATCTTGTTCTTTTTTTATTTTATTTTTTTTTTAGACGGAGTCTCGCTCTGTCGCCCAGGCTGGAGTGCAGTGGCATGATCCCAGCTCACTGCAAGCTCTGCCTCCTGGATTCACGCCATTCTCCTGCCTCAGCCTCCCGAGTAGCTGGGACTACAGGCGCCCGCCACCACGCCCGGCTAATTTTTCGTATTTTTAGTAGAGACGGGGTTTCACCATGTTAGCCAGGATGGTCTCAAACTCCTGGCCTCAAGTCATCCACCCTCCTTGGCCTCCCAAAGTGCTGGGATTACAGTTGTGAGCCACTGCGCCTGGCCCTCAACCTTTTTTTGAGGTAATTGTAGATTGATTCTCATGCATTTGTCAGAAATGATACAGAGATTCCCGTATCACTTCACCATAACATCTTGTGTAAGTAGAGTACAATTGTCACAACTAAGAAATTGACATTGAGACGACCCATCTAATTTATTTTATCTTATTTTATTTTATTTATTTTTTTGAGACGAAGTTTCACTCTTGTCACCCAGGCTGGAGTGCAGTGGCGCAATCTTGGCTCACTGCAACCTCCACCTCTAGGGTTCAAGTGATTCTCCTGCCTCAGCCTCCTGAGTAGCTGGGATTATAGGCCCACCCCACCACACCCAGCTAATTTATTTATTTATTTATTTATTTTTATTTATTTTTTTTTTTTTGCCGGAGTCTCGCTCTGCTGCCCAGGCTGGAGTGTGGTGGCGCGTTCTCGGCTCACTGCAAGCTCCACCTCCTGGGTTCACGCCATTCTCCTGCCTCAGCCTCCTGAGTAGCTGGGACTATAGGCACCCACCACCACGCCTGGCTAAGTTTTTGTATTTTTAGTAAAGACGGGGTTTCACTGTATTAGCAGGATGGTCTAGATCTCCTCACCTCGTGATCCGCCCGCCTCGGCCTCCCACGGTGCTGGGATTTAATTTTTTGTATTTTTAGTAGAGACAGGGTTTCACCATGCTGGCCAGGCTGGTCTCAAACTCCTGACCTCAGGTGATCCACCCGCCTTGGCCTCCCAAAGTTTTGGGATTACAGGCGTGAGCCACTGTGCCTGGCCTGACAATCCGTCTGTTTTATTCAAATCATGTCAGTGTTACATGCACTCTCATGAGCCACCGCGTCTGGCTAGTTTTATGCATTTTTAGTGTCCCAAGAGGCAACAGTGTCTAGCCATCATGACTCTTTTTGTTAGTATTCTGGTTATAAAGTTGAACAGGTTTTGAAGGGCCTGCCCTAATTGTGTTTTTCCAATGAGTCCTTTTATCTTAATGAGCCTTTTTCCAAGCTCGGGGTTTTTCAGGAATATATATACCCTGTCATATCCGAAACACTTAACACTAGGTGGGATGAGGGTTGCAGAAGTAGGTGGCAGTCGGATCACAAGGTCAGGAGATCGAGACCATCCTGGCTAACACGGTGAAACCCCGTCTCTACTAAAAATACAAAAAATTAGCCAGGCGTGGTGGCTGTCGCCTGTGGTCCCAGCTACTCGGGAGGCTGAGGCAGGAGAATGGCGTGAACCCGGGAGGCGGAGCTTGCAGTGAGCCGAGATCACACCACTGCACTCCAGCCTAGGCGACAGAGCAAGACTCCGTCTCAAAAAAAAAGAAAAAAAAGAAAAAAAGAAGCAGCAGCAGGTGGCATTACAAATTAAGCACGGGGTTCCCTTCTTTCACTCAGGGATGATGGCGCCACTTCCTCAGTTTCGGCACTCAAGCGCCTGGAACGGAGTCAGTGGACGGATAAGATGGATTTGCGGTTTGGTTTTGAGCGGCTGAAGGAGCCTGGTGAGAAGACAGGCTGGCTCATTAACATGCATCCTGTAAGCACTAGGTCCTTCTCCCACCCAGGAATATGGCTGCAACCCTTCTGGTCATAGCGTGGTCCTTATCTAAAGAGTGGGGGACACATGAGGGAACTTTGAGTGAATCAGGTGGGAGATGTGAAGGTTCCCAGCTCTCCTTTCCTCTTTAACGTCATTGAGGGCCACAGAGAGGCCACTGTGAGAAGCCGGAGGTGATGGGCATCTCTTTTAGCCATCAGAATAAAGCTTTCAAGGATTATGAGGGAGAAATTGAGAGAGATCCCCATTTGGAGGCCGTTACAGTGTGGTTCTTGTGAATAAGGCTGGTAGTGTTAATGTAGGGGTGGAGTAAAGACCTAGATGAGAGGGTTTGTTTCTAAAGTGCTGAGTTTCCCGAAAGGTAGGAGGAAAGTTTCTCTAACTGTGTAGAGGATGGTCTTGTGTCTGTGTTGACTGATTCTCTTGTAGACCGAGATTTTAGATGAAGATAAGCGCTTAGGCAGTGCAGTGGATTACTACTTTATTCAAGATGACGGAAGCAGATTTAAGGTAAGCCCCTGACTGCGACAAGCTAAAACCCACTTTTATGGGTGTTCATGTAGCTCTGTGACTGTCAGGGAGGGCATGGGAGGCTTCCAGTGCACAGCAGCCCATAGCCCAGCAGAACTCGGGCCCCTGGAGGCCCCATCAGTCATCACGTAAGATGTCCTGAGAGAGGTCAGTTCAGGAAGACTCTGAATGGTGAGAAGTAGCGTGTCTTTCAGATTCTTGCCCCTGTGAAAAGTGCGCATTCTGACTTCCTGTATGCTACCAAGGTCAAGGCTACCCTGGCCCTAGGCTGTTCATGGGATATAGGAGCAAGCAATGTGTTTTCACTTTTCTCTCGCTTTCTTCTTTCTCATCACCCCTGGATGGGTTGGTGACTCTTAACAGGTGGCTTTGCCCTATAAACCGTATTTCTACATTGCGACCAGAAAGGTGAGTGTGTTTCATAGACTCAGGTCAGACGACCTGTGTGTCATTCTGTGGTGGGCTTTGCAACTGGGAAATAGGCAAGGAAGGAAATGTATTTTACCAATGGAAAGCCTTTTCATTCTGATCCTGATTAGGGTTGTGAGCGAGAAGTTTCATCTTTTCTCTCCAAGAAGTTTCAGGGCAAAATTGCAAAAGTGGAGACTGTCCCCAAAGAGGATCTGGACTTGGTGAGTATCACCCAGACTTTCCAGGGGTAAATGAGGCCAGAGTCTACATTGTTCCTGGCAGGTGGGATCGGAAGAGGTAGAAATTCAGGTCATCTGTTGGGTGATGGGGCGGTGTGGTGACCGTCTATAAAATTCCTTCCAAAGAGCTCTAGTGGTGTTAGTTGGTGCCACGTGCAGAGTTGGACAAGGTGCCTTGAAGTCGCCAACTCTTTGACTTGTGTGTTTACCTTTGAGTGTTTACCCTCTCACCCATAAAGTCCTATTTCTCTTGAACCAATGAGCGTGATCTCTTCGCATTATAGCCAAATCACTTGGTGGGTTTGAAGCGAAATTACATCAGGCTGTCCTTCCACACTGTGGAGGATCTTGTCAAAGTGAGGAAGGAGATCTCCCCTGCCGTGAAGAAGAACAGGGAGCAGGATCACGCCAGCGACGCGTACACAGCTCTGCTTTCCAGGTAAACTTTGGTCTTGTGAGCAAAGCATCAGCGGTTCAGAACGACAAGATGGATAGGAGACAGGAACACGTAGCAACAAAGTTACCTTAATGGCTGGCTCTGTTTGATACGGAAAACTTGAGCAATTAGGTAGAGATTTCTGTATGTTCTGTGTTAAATAAACAGTGGCTTCCCAGGTTATATTTTATGTGTTAGCTCTCTTTTCCAATGGAGGGGTGGGTTTATGGCTCTAAAATTGAGTGGTTGTAATAGTAAAGTCACCTTAGAGGGGAAAAGATCCCTCATCCTACTGCCCTAACACAATCCATCTATGAATTTCATTAAGTGCTGAGATTTACACAGCACATCTCCAGAGAACCTTGGGTATCGTCCACAGAAATTTAAGCCTAGAACACTAAACACTGTTCTTCAAGTATTTGAGCATCAACAATAATAGGATGCAAAGTAACCAGTTAGGAAGAGAAAATCTTGAGTAATGAAGTTTAGATGACTTCGGAAGAACCTACCTTACCCTCTGACAAAAGAGGATCAGTTTGGGATGCTGAACATTTCTACAGTCCCTACCCGGAGTCCGCCTTCCCTGGCAATGCCACAAGTTGCTTTTTGAAATATTGGAAGGTGTGATCAGAGACTGAGTCCTCAGAGACTTGAGCCATATCTGAGACTCGTCTGTCTTTTTCCCCCTGAATAGCCCGTTCAGTATTTGAGCTTATAGGCCAATAGTGGCCGCAATGGTGGGCCACTTCTTTAGACATGGCAGAGACCCATGCACAGGCTGTGTGAAGCCCAGGCCTGCTCTTCAGCCTGCATGAGGCAGCCTCCTGAGTATCAGGACCATGGTGGGATGGTCATGCCTGGCTCTCCTGACTGGCAGCACTTAATGTTTTCTTTCTTTTTTCTTCTATTTACTTATTTGTTTTGAGACAGGGTCTTGCTCTGTTGCCCAGGCTGGAGTGCAGTGGTGCAATCATAGCTCACTGTGGCCTCGAACTCCTGGGCTCAAGCGATCCTTTCACCTCAGCCTCCTGAGTAACTGGGATCACAGGTGTGTACCCCATGCCTGGCTAATTATTATTATTATTATTATTACTTTTGTAGAGATGAGTCTCCCTATGTTGCCCAGGCCTGTCTTGAACTCCTGGGCCGAAGCGATCCTCCTGCCTCCCAGAGTGCTGGGATTAGAGGCATAAGCCACCATGCTTGGCCCTCTTTTTTTTTTTCTAGTTGGGGTGTAACTCACATCATATAAAATGAATACATCTTACACTGAATTTTCTCCTGTCTGTAGAGTTATCATCCAAGCTATTCTTTATTTTTTTGAGATGGAGTCTCGCTCTGTTGCCCAGGCTGGAGTGCAGTGGCGCAATCTGGGTTCACTGCAACCTCCGCCTCCTGGGTTCAAGTGATTCTCCTGCCTCAGCCTCCCAGGTATCTGGGGTTACAGACATGCGCCACCACGCCTGGCTAATTTTTGTATTTTTAGTAGAGATGAGGTTTCGTCGTGTTGGCCAGGCTCGTCTCGAACTCCTGACCTCGGGTGATCCGCCTTCCTTGGCCTCCCAAAGTGCTGGGATTACAGGCGTGAGCTGCCACGCCTGGCCCAGTCCAAGCCATTCTTAAAGGAAGGACTGCCTTGGTCGTTGAAACCACATCAATTTACCTTTTGTGTTTCCTCGGTTTGAACTCTGGTCTCACCTCTTCCTACTGAGTTGGAACTCTGGTCTCACCTCCTCCAGACCCTGGCAGCTGAGTTAGTTGCTCTCTTGTTAATTCCTAGTGTTCTGCAGAGGGGCGGTGTCATTACTGATGAAGAGGAAACCTCTAAGAAGATAGCTGACCAGTTGGACAACATTGTGGACATGCGCGAGTACGATGTTCCCTACCACATCCGCCTCTCCATTGACCTGAAGATCCACGTGGTGAGTGGGGCAGGGTTGGGTCGCTGCTCACATGAATTTCCTAACAGCCAGGAGATGATCATTATGGGTGAATCCACAGAAGAATAGACTTTCCTGGATGTAGAACTCTAGTTAGCACACTGTGTGTTTTGCAGGCTCATTGGTACAATGTCAGATACCGAGGAAATGCTTTTCCGGTAGAAATCACCCGCCGAGATGACCTTGTTGAACGACCTGTAAGTTTTGCTTGTGTTACCTTCATCCTAAAATTTCCAGTTTTCTGGAGAGAATATTCTTCAGTGCTGGAGAGTGAATCTGACTCAAAGATATGTTTGCTGCTTTTCCCCCAAATACTTTATTAAAGGAAATATGGAGTTAGAATTTTTCATCAGTTTCTGACAGTATCATTTCCTTTTTTGTTGTATATCACTGTATGACATCAGTGTTTGAGCTAGGCAGGATTTGGACACTCGAGGGAAAGCTGGGACTTCCGTTTGGGTAGTTGATAGTGAAGGGACATGGTGAAAAATGGATTTGTAACTAGAAGGCCTTGGTTCAAACATGACTTTGTGGTGTTGGGAAAGTCTTTGTATTCAGTTTTCTCTTTTCCGAAATGAAGATATCATCTCTGTGCCACAGTTACCTTTCAGAGTTGTCATAACCACCAGAATGAGGTGATGTCTTTTGAAGAGTTTTTCTCCTAAAGTTCTGTGATTTTAGGCTTGTCCTGTGATCAGCTGCTCTCTTAGGTATGTCAGTTTTCATACCATAGGGAGTCGTGATACTCTTGATGTAGGTTGGTTAGTCTTAGGGTCCTTCTCCCAGCTCTAGAGCCTTTTGACTCTTTTAACAACCAGAGGGAGGTAGAGCAGGCTGGGGGTGGGTGTTCAGGGAGGCCTAATGGGGAGTTTAGAGCTTGGCTTTATGCTTATTTTGTCCCCACAGGACCCTGTGGTTTTGGCATTTGACATTGAGACGACCAAACTGCCCCTCAAGTTTCCTGATGCTGAGACAGACCAGATTATGATGATTTCCTACATGATCGATGGCCAGGTGAGCAGGTGGCTTCTGGGAAGTAAGCTCCTGGGATGGGGACCTTGTCTGGTCCCCATACTACAGCAGCATCTGCCCCACTGTTAGTATTTGTTGAGTGAATAATGAGTTAGTCCAGGAATGGGAGCAACCAAGCCGTTCCGACCTCCAGCTGTACCCTCCCCTTTCGAGTGGGAATCCACACACAGAGCGTCTCTTCTCAGGAAGCTTAAAGCACTTTCACATTGCTGTGGACTTCTTTGTAGTGAGAATCTCTAGGCAGAGTGTGTGGGCAGGGTGGGAACGCCATTTCTTGGCTTTGCAGCCTCTGACTTGTGCTGATTGCTAATGAACTTGGCTAGGGCTACCTCATCACCAACAGGGAGATTGTTTCAGAAGATATTGAAGATTTTGAGTTCACCCCCAAGCCAGAATATGAAGGCCCCTTTTGTGTCTTCAATGAACCCGATGAGGTAAGGAGGTATCACTTGGGAAACTACCCGGTATTGTGGGAAGAACGGACATGTGGATCTTTCCAAGGCCTCAGGCATTCCGTCAGATCAGAATTGCAGCTCCATGAGCTTTGTTCTCAGGGTATGACCGTCTTTTCTGCCAGAGACGGGCGGAGGGGCGGGGCAGGAATAAGGGCCAACATGAGGCTGCTGCTTCTGAACTTTGGGAGAGGAATTTGGAATAGCTTGAAGAAGAGAAAGAGCAGACCTCTGACTGCTGTGACTTGGGTTCAGGCTCATCTGATCCAAAGGTGGTTTGAACACGTCCAGGAGACCAAACCCACCATCATGGTCACCTACAACGGGGACTTTTTTGACTGGTGAGTCTGTGTCTTCTCTATGAGTAACTGGGCAGCATTTGAGAGGGAGGGCGTTGCGTGGTGCAGGGGCGCTTCCCATGTCGACTTAGGAGGTGGCTCCTGGGTTCACTCTGCACCTCCCGTGTCTGGGTTCCTCCCTGGGTCTGAGGGAGGAATGGAGAAAGGGGCATTAGAGCCTGACCTGCCCACTTGCTTGTCTGTCCTCTTTCCAACCCAGGCCATTTGTGGAGGCCCGGGCAGCAGTCCACGGTCTGAGCATGCAGCAGGAGATAGGCTTCCAGAAGGACAGCCAGGGGGAGTACAAGGCGCCCCAGTGCATCCACATGGACTGCCTCAGGTAGGGGCCACAGAGCAGCATGGCTCCTCACTGCTGTCCGTGAGCGAGATCTGAAGGCCTCTTGCAGACTGTGCTGTCACCACATCTCATGGGAGGAGGGTGGCCTCCGAGAGGCCGTTTCAGGTCACCCAAGAGTATGGCAGCTGCAACCCTGCCAGGGCCCGGGATGTGCTGTCTTTGACTGTTGACTGACAATTCATCAGTGACCAGGCACATTGAGCATCAGCCTCTGGGGTGGGGAAGCCGCTGGAAAGACGCACTCAGCTGACAGGTCCCAGACCTAGGACCTCATGGAGCTGCTCTGCCCAGGCAAGGTTGGGATGTGGCAGCCCGGCTGCCTCACAGGACAAGCCTCACGGGACAACCACAGATTCCATATGAGCTAGGGTGGGAGGCAGCTCAGAGCTTCGGAGAGTCACGGCGTTCGGGGGCTCTGACATGACTGGTTGGGAAGACAGGTGGATGTGGAAATGCCAACAGAAGGAGGCTGGAAGGGAAGGAAGGGAAGGGAGGGAGGAAAGGAGGGAAGGGAAGGAAGGGAAGGGAGGGAGGGAAGGAAGGGAAGGGAGGGAGGGAAGGAAGGGAATGGAGGGGCCTCCACGGCCTCTGTATTCTGCACAGTGCCACTGGGGTGCTTGCAGCCTGAATGCGTTTCTGTTTAGCTCTGATGCTCAGCACTTGGCTTGGAGAGGGAGGCCAGGAGGCTGGGGCCGGTTTAGCGTGTGACGGTGTGACAGTCCTGATCCAAGGCAGGGAGTGAGGGTTGTGAGGATTCAGGATCTGTCATGTGGGGCAGGGGGAGGCCCAGGGATGCTGGTTCTTAGGGAGGGGTTGGCACCTGGGGTTTTTGTGCCATCCGTGGAGACAGGGAATGGGTAGAGAAGGGGCTTGAGGCAGGAGGTGACCCTGCTACCGATATGCTAGCCTGGAAGCCCCACCCATATGGGGGCCCTGAAGACCACCATGAGGCTTGGTTTGGGCTCGCACTGTAGATTGGGACTCACTGGGTTGCGGGTGGGTCTTGGTGAAAGCTGGGGTAGTGGATGAACTGAAGGCAAGAGGTAAAGTGAGAGAAGAAGGCCACAGGGTGGAGGCTGCGGGGGGTGGAGACCGGACATGACCCCTGGACAGCTGCTCCAGGGAATGCGTCTGTAGGGAGGAGGTAGAGACAGGTTCCGGGTAGAGTGTGGGGGGCCTTCTTTTCTTAATTTTTATTTTTTATTTATTTTTTAAATTTTTATTCTTCTTGGCATCTGATCACATCTTGCCTTCTATTAAAGGAGGGTGGGCTTGAGTGTTTCCGTGCTGAAGGGACAGTGTGAGGAGAGAAGATCAGTGTGGTTGATAGAACTAGGCCCCAGGGGTGCAGACCTGAGGTCTGGGGAGAGGCCCAAGGAGGTGGGGCGCCCGTCGGAGAGGCCACAAACTCTGCTGAGGATGGGAGGAAGGCGAGGGCCGGAAGGACCAGTCCTGGTGCTTCCTTGTGTTGTGGATAGGTCTGTGAGATTAACTAGATCCTGATGAAGGGTTTTCACAAGGTGTCTACACCATGTGGGGCCTTGGTGTGAGGCTCCTGGGTGCCTGTTAGGAACTTGCATCTGTCTGTGTGGTGCCCAGTTTTGCCAGTTCTCAGGGGTTCCCGGGCTGCATGTTAGAATCATCCTGGCTTCTGTTCTCATTCTCCTTCCAGGTGGGTGAAGAGGGACAGTTACCTTCCTGTGGGCAGTCATAATCTCAAGGCGGCCGCCAAGGCCAAGCTAGGCTATGATCCCGTGGAGCTAGACCCGGAGGACATGTGCCGGATGGCCACGGAGCAGCCCCAGGCACGTAAGCCACATCCCGGCTGCCCCTGCTGCCGTGTGCACGCATCCAGATGGCCACGGAGCAGCCCCAGGCATGTGAGCCACATCCCGGCTCCCCCTGCTGCCGTGTGCACGCATGTATGCCAGCCCGCTCCACCCAGCAGGCTGTGTCTCCGGGACACACGTGTTTTGTCCTGTGCCGGTCTCCTTACTGTGTGTGCGGCAGGCTGGTCAGGCCAGGCTTTGCTTTCTGTGCTTCACACTTGACCCTGGGCTCTTGATTTTTGATGGCCCTGCTCTCTGGCGTTCTCTCCTCAGACTCTGGCCACGTATTCTGTGTCAGATGCTGTCGCCACTTACTACCTGTACATGAAGTACGTCCACCCATTCATCTTTGCTCTGTGCACCATTATTCCCATGGAGCCCGACGAGGTGAGCATTATCTGTCCTGTCGGCACCCTGGCCTCCTCAGCCCTTGCCCCATTCCAAATGCACTGGAGCTGAATGGAGGTGGATGTCCCAGGAGTGCTGGCACCAGAGGCGGCAGTAGAATTCTGGTGTGTGACGTCAGGGATGTCCTTTGGGAATTCTCTGGCCCTGGTGTGAGGAAGAAACCACAGGAGGCAGAATTTGCAGCCATTTACCACGAGGTTTTCTCTCCTTTCACACTGAAGTTCAGCTTAGGTTCCTGGACTTTGCCTGCAAGTCAGGGCCTTTGGTGTTGCTTTTGGCTGGAAGCCTTGGTTTCTCTTGCAGGTGCTGCGGAAGGGCTCTGGCACTCTGTGTGAGGCCTTGCTGATGGTGCAGGCCTTCCACGCCAACATCATCTTCCCCAACAAGCAAGAGCAGGAGTTCAATAAGCTGACGGACGACGGACACGTGCTGGACTCTGAGACCTACGTCGGGGGCCACGTGGAGGCCCTCGAGTCTGGGGTTTTCCGCAGCGATATCCCTTGCCGGTTTAGGATGGTGTGCTTCTTCCCTGGGATTCAGATTCTTCCCACTCTTGTGCTGTGGTAGGACCCAGAAGCTGCAGGGGCTGAAATAAAGCCCCTTCTCCCCATCCTGTCCCACGGCCCCTCACCGGGTGTGGCTTCTCTGGCCCAGCACCCCCCGGGGGCTTCTTTAGGGCAGTGCACTGCAGATTGTGCACATGAGTCCTTCCGGAGCTTTCTCGGGCACAACCTGCCACGTGCAGCCACAGCGTCAAACCTGAGGCAGGCTAGTGTGGGTGTGTTTCCCCTCTGACCCCGTCGTCTCACTGTTGTGCTAGAATCCTGCCGCCTTTGACTTCCTGCTGCAGCGGGTTGAGAAGACCTTGCGCCACGCCCTTGAGGAAGAGGAGAAAGTGCCTGTGGAGCAAGTCACCAACTTTGAAGAGGTAACCATCAGGGAGGCAGGAAGAGCCAGTCTGTGTTTGGCGCCTTCTTCACAGACCACGTCTTTCAGCAGCACGTTTATTGTGCACCTGCTGCGTGTGGTGCTGTGGACGGATGACACAGGGTCTCTGGTGGGACAGGGCAGTCATGGTTGTGACGTGTGATGCTGTCACAAGGTCGGAGGGCTTCATGAGAGGTGGGGTGTGAGCTGCTCCTGAAATGCAGTAACATGGAAGGTGGGTCCTGGTGGGATGTATCCCGTGTCCTGTTTTAAAGCATTAGGACTTTATTTTATAGGCACTGGGGAGCCATTGGAGGTTTTAAATTTTATTTACTTTTTGTTGTTGAGACTTAAAAATGACAGTAAATTCCTACAAATGACAGGATTAGTGACTGTAAAATCTGTTTACATAATGGTTAGAAAGCACACTTACAAAGTGTGTTATGTGACTGGAGAGGGAGACACCAGTTCTTCTCTGATCCCTGTTCCTCAGGACATGGCACATCTCAGGTCTTTTTTTTTTTTTTTTTTTTTTTTCCCTTTTTGAGATGGAGTCTCGCTGTTGTTGGCCTGGGCTGGAGTGCAATGGCATGAGTTTGGCTCACTGCAACCTCTGCCTCCCGGGTTCAAGCAATTCTCCTGCCTCAGGCTCCCCAGTAGCTGGGATTACAGGCATCCGCCACCACACCTGGCTAGTTTTTGTATTTTTAGTAGAGACAGGGTTTCACCATGTTGTCCAGTCTGATCTTGAACTCCTGACCTTGTGATCCGCCTGCCTTGGCCTCCCAAAGTGCTGGGATTACAGGTGTGAGGCACCGCGCCTGGCCTATCTCAGGTCTTTATGTCAGGCACTGTGCAGCACTACATCATGTTCAGTGAGGTTGCTGGTTTAGAGTTTTTAACAGTTTTCACATTGATGCCAAGAAACTTTTTTTTTTTTTTTTTTTTTTTTTGAGACGGAGTCTTGCTCTGTCACCCACACTGGAGTGCAATGGCATGATCTCGGCTTACTGCAACCTTTGCCTCCTGGGTTCAAGCGATTCTCCTGTCTCAGCCTCCTGAGTAGCTGGGATTACAGGTGCCCACCACCATGCCTGGCCAATTTTTGTATTTTTAGTAGAGATGAGGTTTCACCACGTTGGCCAGGCTGCTTTCGAACTCCTGACTGTAAGTGATCTGCCCACCTCAGCCTCCCAAAGTGCTGGGATTACAGGTGTGAGCCACTGTGCCTGCCCTCAAGAAACATCTTGTAATAGATTCACTAGTCAAAATTTAAACAAGAATATGTGTACACTCTTGGCAAGCTGTGAAGCACTGTTTGGCTATTGTCAGCCACATCCATTATTATACTTCAGGGAACTCTTATGAACCGATCAGGAAGAGAGCCTTGTCTGAATAACAAATAGGAGTTAAAGAATGTCGGCCATGGCCGGGCACGGTGGCTCACGCCTGTAATTCCAGCACTTTGGGAGGCCGAGGTGGATCACGAGGTCAGGAGATTGAGACCATCCTGGCTAACACGGTGAAACCCCGTCTCTACTAAAAAAATATAAAAAAATTAGCCGGGCGTGGTGGCGGGCACCTGTAGTCCCAGCTACTCGGGAGGCTGAGGCAGGAGAATAGCAAGAACCCGGGAGGCGGAGCTTGCAGTGAGCCGAGATCGCTCCACTACACTCCAGCCTGGGCAGCCTGGAATCCCAGCATTTTGGGAGGCTGAGGCGGGTGGATCACCTGAGGTCAGGAGTTTGAGACCAGCCTGGCCAACATGGAGAAACCCCGTCTCTACTAAAAATACAAAAAAAAATTACCCAGGCGTGGTGGCGAGACGTCTCAGAATCTGAGACAGAGTTTCACTCTTGTTGCCCAGGCTGGAGTGCAATGGCATGATCTCGGCTCACCACAACCTCTGCCTCCTGGGTTCAAGAGATTCTCCTGCCTCAGCCTCCTGAGTAGCTGGGATAACAGGCGCTTGCCACCACGCCTGGGTAATTTTTTTTTTGTATTTTTAGTAGAGACAGGGTTTCTCCATGTTGGCCAGGCTGGTCTCGAACTCCCGACCTCAGCTGATCTGCCCGCTTGGCCTCCCAAAGTGCTGGGATTACAGGCGTGAGCCACCGCGCCCGACCTAGAAGCAGATATTTAAAGTCTTTAAGAAACAGTGAGATGGGCAGGTAGAGTGAGGCTGGAGGTGTGGTAGATGTGAGGATGCCAGGCTCCCTGGTGAGTGAGGAAGAGAGCTCTGTAGATGTGAGGACGCCAGGCTCCCTGGTGAGTGAGGAAGGGAGCTCTGTAGATGACATTGTCCTGTTAGCGATTCCTAAGTCCTCGCAAGTGCCCTTGAAAGGGAAGCCCAGGATCGCCTTTGTGTCCCTGAAGGGTCACCTGTTGGGCGGAGGGTGGCTGGGGGGATGTCAGCAGGGGCTCACAGCCACGTGGGGCATGTCCAGGTGGTGTCCCCACCATGGAAACTTGGCCATTCACTTGTCCCAGCCCATCCTCCCCTTCTTGACTGGACAGCCTTTCAGAACACGCCGTTACTGGGCAGAGAAGGGTGCAGTGGAGGCTCTTCCCCGGCTGATTCGTTTATCTGTAATTCAAGTAGAAACAATAGGTGTTACTGTTGTGGTATTTCCTGTTCTATGGAATAGATGTTATTCCTTGTAATCACTTTTTTCTTAAAATTTTAGGTGTGTTTTCTATTTTTACTACTTTGGAGGGTTTTAAGGATTTTTCTTTTTCTTTTTTTTTTTCTGAAACAGGATCTGGCTCTGTTGCCCAGGCTGGAGTGCAGTGGTGCAATCTGGGCTCACTACAGCCTTGACCTCACGGGCTCAAGCGATTCTTCCACCCCAGCGTTCCGAGTAGCTGGGACTACAGGTGCCACCGCCACACACGGCTAATTTTTTATTTTTTATAGAGACGGGGGTCCCACTGTGTTGCTCAGGCTGGTCTCGAACTCCTGGGCTCAAGTGATCCTCTGGCCTCGGTCTCCGAAAGTGCTAGGATTACAAGCATGAACCACTGCACCTGGCCTAAGGATTTTTTTTAATACTAAGGAGAGTTTAGTGTTCAAGTAATTTTCTAATGACTCCACCAAATTTAATGTATTTCATAGAAATGATGGCAACCCTTCTTAACTTTTTTCTTCTGGCTAGTTTTTGCTCTATTTATATATTTTTCAGCTTTTTCCTCTCCTGAATGTCTAAAAGGGGTTGGTGAACTGCACACGAGGCAAGCTTGGTCACCAGCCTCTACTGAGTTTCGCTTTCTCTGCAGGTGTGTGATGAGATTAAGAGCAAGCTTGCCTCCCTGAAGGACGTTCCCAGCCGCATCGAGTGTCCACTCATCTACCACCTGGACGTGGGGGCCATGTACCCCAACATCATCCTGACCAACCGCCTGCAGGTGAGACTTTACTTCCCGTGTCAGAGTCGGAGCTCTCTCTGCCCAGCCCTAAGTGCTTTCTCACCCCTCCCAGCCCTCTGCCATGGTGGACGAAGCCACCTGTGCTGCCTGTGACTTCAATAAGCCTGGAGCAAACTGCCAGCGGAAGATGGCCTGGCAGTGGAGGGGCGAGTTCAGTGAGTGTCGGCCGCCTGGGTGGGCACTCGGTGGGAAACGGGTGGGTGAGTGTCGGCCGCCTTTCTCCACTTGGTGGGAAGCCGGTGTGTCTGTGCCTCCTTTTGAACTTGCCCCCATTGCCTCCTTCCCAGTGCCAGCCAGTCGCAGCGAATACCATCGGATCCAGCACCAGCTGGAGTCAGAGAAGTTCCCCCCCTTGTTCCCAGAGGGGCCAGCTCGGGCCTTTCATGAACTGTCCCGCGAGGAACAGGCGAAATACGAGAAGAGAAGGCTGGCGGGTGAGTGCCTGGGCATGGTCACGGCTGTAAAGATGTGGCTCCTGCTCCCACTTTCTGTTCTTACTGGGCTGCGTTGGTCCATCCCAGCTGGGGCCCCAGAGGTGTTGTCACAGCAGACCAGAAGCTGCTCTAGGTCACTGTAAGCTGTGCTCTCACTGCAGGGTCCTTTATTTGCTTCCCCATCTGCAAGTGTTAGACACTGCTGCTCTGTGGTCTTGGGGTATTTGGCCTGTTCCTACCCCTGGGCTGTCCTATTTCTTTCTTTTTTTTTTTGAAATGAGGTCTCACTCTGTCACCCAGGCTGGAATGCAGTGGTGTGATCTTGGCTCACTGCAGCCTCAACCTCCCAGGCACCGGCAATCCTCCCATCTCAGCCTCCTAAGTAGCTGGGACTACAGGTGTGCGCCACCATGCCTAGCTAATTTTTTGTATTTTTTGTAGAGATGGGGTCTTGCCATGTTGCCTAGGCTGGTCTCAAACTCCTGGGCTCAAGTGATCCGCCTGCCTCGGCCTCCCAAAGTGCTGGGATTACAGGTGTGAGCCACCGTGCCCGCCCACCTTTTTCGGTATGAGAAACTAGCAGTGTATCTGAGCTGTTGCTCCTTTGTGGTGACGTAGAAGCCATGTTCTTCAGCACCCCTGTGCCCTGGCTCCCTCTGCTCTGGGAGATCTCACCCACCTGCTCTGCCCATCTCCGTCGTGCTTAGATTACTGCCGGAAAGCCTACAAGAAGATCCACATCACCAAGGTGGAAGAGCGTCTCACCACCATCTGCCAGCGGGAAAACTCCTTCTACGTGGACACCGTGCGTGCCTTCCGGGACAGGCGTTACGAGTTCAAAGGGCTCCACAAGGTGAGCTCTGAGGGGCTGCAAGCTTTGGCCTCTGTGAGGGCAGTTTCAGTCGGCTCATGAAGTGGGCACTCTTGGCTCCTTGCCTGGGATCCTCTGAGCAGGCACTTGCACTCGGATGGTAACGTGCAATTGTTTTTGACTTGGAAGAGTTGATGGCCACGAAGGATGCAGACCATCATCCACCCTGGTCTGAGGCCTCAGAAGGACCCTAAAGGATGATTTCTAAAGTGATTATTTAGAGCAGGGGTCAGCAAGCTACAGCTGGCTGGCCGTTTGAGTACATCAAGTTTTACGAACCCAACTGCCTTCGCCTATTGTTTATCTCTTTCCCGCTGTCATGGGAGGTGAGGAGTTCCTAGAAACTCTAAGGCCTTCTCATCTATGGTATTCACCATCCGGCCCCTCGTGTTTAACTGACGTATTTCATCCGGTAGGAACATGGAAAATGCATAGCAACACCTCTGTTTTGATACCAACGGGTCATTATTTTATATCTGATCAGATTGAGCCATTTTTTTTCTGAGAGACCTTCACTGTAGACTCAGCACGGCCCCTGCTGTGCGGCCCCCTGGCATCCTGCACTGCCCTGCTGAACTCATCGTCACATGTTCTTTTTTATAATGGTAAGGCGGACATAATATGACATTTAGTGTTTTTAAGTGCTCAGTTCAGGGGCATGAAGCATATTCGCACTGTTGTGCAACTATCACCACCATCTACCTCCAGAATTCTTCGCCTTCTGAAACGGAAACTCTTATCTCCATCAAACAGTAGCTCCCCACCTCCTCCCTGGCCCCTAGTGACCCCATTCCACTTTCTCTCTCTGAATTCCACGACTCTAGGGATGTCATGTAAGTGAACCGTGCAGTATTTGTATCTTTGTGACCGGCTTTTTCACTTAGCATGATGCTTTCTTTTTTGGAGACGGGGTCTCACTCTGTCACCAAGGTTGGAGCACAGTGGTGTGACCTTGGCTCACTGCAGCCTCCACCTCCCAGGCTCAAGTGATCCTCCCGCCTCAGCCTCCCCAGTTCCTGGGACCACAGGCGTACCATCACGCCTGATCGTTGTATGTTTGGTAGAGACGGGGTTTCACCATGTTGCCCAGGCTGGTCTCAAAGTCCTGAACTCAGGTCATCTATCCACCCCAGCCTCCCACAGGGCTGGGATTACAGGCGTGAGCCACCGCGCCCAGTCTTAGTATGATGTTTTCAAGGTTTATCAACATACAGCGTGTATCTGTACTGTATTTTTGTAAATGGCTGAATAATATTTCATTGTGTGGATTTGTCACATTTTGTCTATCCTTCATACACCGACGTGCACTTGGGTTGCTTCCACCTTTTGGCTGTCGCGAGCAATCCTGGTTTCAACATGGGCTGCAAGTGCGTCTTCAGGTCTCTGCTTTTGGTGATTTTGGATATGTACCCAGCAGTAGAGTTGTTGGGTCATATGCTAATTCTACATTTACCTTTTAAGGAGCTGCCTTACTATCTCACTTTATTTTAATTAAGCAACTGCTAAATTACTTGTTCATCTGTCTCCCTCATCAAATAAGCACCAAAAGTGTAGTGACTGTCTCGTGCTTCAGAGTACAATGGAGTTCCTGGCACATACTAGGCACTCAGTAATTATCTTAAGGAATTTGCTTTTGTTCCTTAAATACCCAGCCTTTAAAAACCTTTTCTCATGTTGGGTGGGGAATTTGATGAGACATCTGTGGTCTTAGCTGCATTTCTTGATTGATTTTACCAGGCACCCCCGAGTAGCTCTTGTTCCCTAGAAACTGTGCTGAAGCGTTTAGGATGTCAGACCGTGAAATCTACAATGTTCAAATGATTCTGTCAACACAGAGAGACAGAATAAAGGAAGTGTGACAAAATATTGACAGTTGGCCAGTCTAGGAGAAGAATGTACACTCTTCATTGTACTGGTTTTTTAGGTTTTCTATAGATTTGAAAATTTTCAAAATACTAAAAACCTGGGCTATTGACTTTGTAGAATGTGAAATGGAAGAATCTGTGAGGTGCTCCATGTTCATGTGCTTCTCAGGTGTGGAAAAAGAAGCTCTCGGCGGCCGTGGAGGTGGGCGACGCGGCTGAGGTGAAGCGCTGCAAGAACATGGAGGTGCTGTATGACTCGCTGCAGCTGGCCCACAAGTGCATCCTGAACTCCTTCTATGGCTATGTCATGCGCAAGGGGTAGGTGGGCCCGGGCCCGGGAGAGGCTTATGGGAGGAATGGATGAGTCCACGTTTAGGGCAGCTTCAGGTGTAGGCTGCTGTGCATGGAGGGCCGTTCATCTGATTCAAGGAATGTTGGAGGGAGAAGGCTTTGGGCTGGGGTGGGGCTGGGAGGTTGAAGAGAGTGGGGGCCACGCTGACTTTGAGGGTCTGGGTGTCCATGAGTGATGCGTGCTGTGGGGTGTATGTGTCTCTGCATCATGGGCTGGAGACACGACTTGCCATTTTCCAGCGCGTTCATGTCTCCCAGCGTGGATCCTCACTCAGGGACTTGCAGAGTGTCGGGCAGTTGCTTCACAGCATGTCTGCGTGTCCGGGAGGGGCAGAGAAGCAACTGACAAGGGGCATGGGGCTGGTGCCGGGAGGGGAGGGTGGGACAGCTGACAGCAGGGCTGGGACCCAGGCTGGAGGAGGGTTGGGCCTGGCAGCTAGGCCTGGGCTTTCTCTGAGAAGCTGGAGGTGAGAATGGGGCTTGGGAGGAGGTGTGAAGAGAGTAGAGAAGGCGTGAATGGGTCTGGGTGGTATTAAGAGTCCTGCTGAGGCTGGAGTCCTGAACGGCTGGACGCAGTGGCACATACTGCACCCTTCCAGATCCTTCCTGGGCACCAAGGTGGGGACAGAGAGGTGTCCTCGGGCAGAGCCAGATTCCACCTTAGTTCTGTCCTGGTGCACGCACATTTGGCTGCTTCCCTTGTCCCTGTCGCATCTCTCCTTTCCTCCTCCCTACTCCTCACTGCCTCTGATACCCCCTGGAGGAGCCATGCCAGCCCCACCCACCAGTTTGTGGTGTCCTCTCAGGGCTCGCTGGTACTCCATGGAGATGGCTGGCATCGTCTGCTTCACAGGGGCCAACATCATCACCCAGGCACGGGAGCTGATCGAGCAGATTGGGTGAGTGCAGAAGGGGAGCCGTGGGGCTGGGAGCAGGTCCTGGGGGCAAGCATGGGCAGGAAGGAAGGAGGGAAGGCTGGAGGCCACACACTGGGCAGGAAGGAAGGAGGGAAGGCTGGAGGCCACACACTGGGCAGGAAGGAAGGAGGGAAGGCTGGAGGCCACACACTGGGTGAAAAGGAAAGGGGAACTCACGACCTTGCTCCTCTCTTTCTCTGAAGGAGGCCCTTAGAGCTGGACACAGATGGTATATGGTGCGTCCTGCCCAACAGCTTCCCAGAAAATTTTGTCTTCAAGACGACCAATGTGAAGAAGCCCAAAGTGACCATCTCCTACCCAGGCGCCATGTTGAACATCATGGTCAAGGTGAGTCTGGGGCCTCTGGTCCTGAAGCTCTGGCTGGCCTGGCGTCAGTGCCCTGATGTCACTGGCTCTGCAGCACCTCACAGTGTGCATGCCTTCCTGGCACCCAGCACTGCTCACATTGCTTTTCTATAGCCTGAAGACCATGGTCAGAGGTATCAAGTGATTCCACTCCTTTCTCTTTCAGCATAGCTCCCAGAATTTTTTGCTTTTAACTTTTTATTTTGAAATAATTTTAAACTTACAGGAAATTACAAAAATAGTACAGAGAATTTCTGTATCCCCTTCAACCTGCCTTCCCCTAATGCTGACCTCGCATAAACCATGGTGCGCTTGTCAAAACTAAGAAACCTATGTCTGTGCCCCAGTAACTGCACTGCAGGCCTCACCTGGATTTCCCATTTCCCACCATAGCCCCTCTTCTCTCCCAGGATCCCAGCAAGGACCCACGTGGCGCCGAGTTGTCCTGTCCCGGTCTGTCCTCGTGTCACGACCTCCCCCTCTGGTGGTGCCGGCCAGGCGATGGTTGGCTGTCCCTTGATCAGGGGTTGTCTGTTGTTTCTCGTGACTAGACTGAGGTGATTTGGGTTTTTGGAGGAGCTCCACAGGTGCGACACCCTCCCCACGTTCTCACACGCATCGTGTTGGTTTGTGGTGGTGTGGGAGTGTGGGTGTGTTGTGGGGACGGCTTAGTCTCCTGCCTGAGGGGCTTCTGCAGGCCTTACTGTGGCGCTCCTGTGCCCCCTCCCATACGGCTCTTCAGTCGTAAATACACACCCAGTGGGGAGGATATAAGCGTCCCTGGAGGAGGGCTGTCAGAGTTTCTGGACCTGTATTAGAGCCATCACAGCAGCAAATAGATATCGTGGAGCAGGTGCTTCGAGACAGTGTATCCACAGCTGCTCCATAAGCTTCTGCCCACTGTGTTAGCGTTGCTGATGGGCTGTGTTTGCTGGTGGGCCGCACCTGCAGCAGTTACGCCTGAGGTTTCCTGTCGTGGTTTTTCTCTGGCGATTGTCTGTTTCCTTCATTCCTTCTACTGTATCAATTGGGATCCTGTAGGGAAGCGTTGCTATCCTTCTCTTCCATTTGTTCTCGTTTATTTGTCTGCTTATTGACATCAGTGTGGATTTGCGGATCAGAGTGGACATCCCAGGGTTATTGTTCATAGGACCGGAGTGGCTTCCTGCTCCACGTGTTCCCCTTGGGCCACTGGGGCCTCCTAGTTTGTGGCGTGTTCTTGGGACACGCCCTCTTCTGGTCTTTGTTTCTGGAGCACTTTCCTACTTCTTGGTACTGTAAGGTCCACCAGCCTCATCTTGTATTTTCCCTGCTCCAACCTGGAGTCAGCCAGTTCTCCGAGAAGAATGATGTAAAAACCCGAGATGGGGTGCTTGCTGTGCTCACTGTTCCTGGGAGTGTCATAGCTTCCAGTCTCTCATAGTGGAGGCAGCCAGGAAGTATGTCTCTAGTAACGCACGCACACAGAACTGTTTATTTCTGTGTCTGTCTGTCTGCATGGATGCATTTAAACACATGAGTCTGCCCCTTTCTTATTAGTGACTTCTTTCTCCTTCAGTGATAAACCTGTTTCGAATTTCTCAATATATGTGTTTGTTCAATCCTAGAGTCCATGTAAAGTAGTTTTAGAATTGCTAACAGACTTGTGTCCCATGAGAAATAATTTCACCAGCCACTGTACAGCATTTGTAGATAGTTACTTTTGTTTTCAGCCTTACCCTGTCCAGTCAGCAGAGTTCACGGGCAGCTCCTTCCTCCCCACCCTGTTGGCATGTTCTGCTGTATGTCCACAGTGCTGTTGGGCTCATTTGGCCCAGTCTGCACCCCTCTTGGGATCCCAGCACCATGGCTGGATGGCTTGTAATTTGCACACAGTGACGTTCACTCTGTAGCGTACAGCCCTGTGGGTTTGGACAAGTGCATAGTGTGTGTGTCCAGCACCACGAAGCAACACAAAACAGCTGCAACCCCTTTGTCAGCAAATCCTCTCCCTACCCCGAAACCCTGGCAACCCACAATGTGTTTTTTGTACTATAATTTTGCTTTGTCGAAAATGTCATGTAAAGGGAAGCATACGGCCTGTAGCATTTTGGGTCTGGCTTCTTGGACCTAACAGATACACCTGAGTTTCACCACTTGGTTGCATGCATCAGAACTTCCTTCCTTCCTGCTGCCAAGTCGTGTTAGTTATGTGGAAAAGCCTCGGTTTGTCAATCCATCCACTCCTGGAGGGACACCAGGTGGTTTCCAGGTTTGGGCCATCATGAGTGAAGCTGCCCCCTCTTCACTCTTGTTTCTCAGGAAGGCTTCACCAATGACCAGTACCAGGAGCTGGCTGAGCCGTCCTCACTCACCTACGTCACCCGCTCAGAGAACAGCATCTTTTTTGAGGTTGATGGGCCCTACCTTGCCATGATTCTTCCAGCCTCCAAGGAAGAAGGCAAGAAATTGAAGAAGAGGTGGGACTCTCATAGCTTTTGTGCTTTAGAAAGGACATGGATTGAGATAGATTAAATTTAGCCCAGAAAGGAGGTTGGATCAGGAGCCAGGATAGAAACAGACCTGGGTTCTTGTGATCTTACTGATTCCGTTTGCACCAGCTCTGTCTGCCCGCCTGCTGTATTCTGGCTCTGTGGCTGCAGGCCCTTCAGCCATTTTCCTTTTAGAGAAGCAGTGGCCTAAGGGAGAGAGACGTTTGCTGCCTCGTGGATGACAGGTGGAGGGTTGGAAAGGGAAGAGGCGGGCAGAGAGGATGAGGCACAGCTGGTGGCTCCCCAGCGCTCCTTGCCACTGCTGTGCTTGCCTTTTTTTTTTTTTTCAGGTATGCTGTGTTCAATGAAGACGGTTCTCTGGCTGAGCTCAAGGGCTTTGAGGTCAAACGCCGCGGGGAACTGCAGCTGATTAAGATCTTCCAATCCTCGGTGTTTGAGGCCTTCCTCAAGGGCAGCACGCTGGAAGAGGTGTATGGCTCTGTAGCCAAGGTGGCTGACTACTGGCTGGACGTGCTGTACAGCAAGGTAAAGGCCTACCCTCCACCCTCACCTGCTCTGAGGGATGAAGGATGAAGCAAGAAGGGGACCCCGTGCTTCCTGGGCTCCTGGAGACCAAGGTGACCGAAGAACACAGGGCCAGTCCTAATGAAATCCCAAGACCTCCTGAGCACAATTACCCCCTTGGAGTTCCCCTCAACTTCTGCATCCAGGGACACAACTCTGAGGGAAACGTTTTTCTAAATAGCGTGATAAGCCTGGCATGGTGATGCGTGCCTGTGGTCCCAGCTACTTGGGAGGATCACTTGAGACCAGGAAGTAGAGGCCACAGTGAGCCGTGACTGCACCACTGCACTCCAGCCTGGGATATTTGTTTATTTCTATGTTACTTTGTATTTTTTATATTTTTCAGGCTACATAACATTTTGACAGTTTACATACCTTAATTTACGTAACTAGCCCACGATTATTTACTACCAGATAGGTTTCACATTTCCATTGTTATCAATGGTGTTGCATTGAACGAGATATCTCGGTGCATATGTTTCCCAGGCACAGGCGTCTTGGGTAGAAGGAATACTGGAACACTCTGCAGTGCTTTCCTGGCTTGCTTTGCTGTGTGGGCTTCTGTTTCTTGGCATATTGTCTTGTATAGAGTGAAACACACGAGCAAGGGAGCACCAGGGTATCACACAGAATATTCATGAGCCCAGCACTCCTTACAGGATGTGGGGGGCCTGTGGTCAGGAACATGTGTGCAAAGCACAGCTCCAGCTGGATGTGGGTGCCACACTGGAACTGCTCAGGCCTCCACTGCTCAGGCCACTCTCCAGCCGGCCGGAGTTTCTCTTTCCTCTCTTCTGGCTCTTCCTGCCCCTTCTTTCTCTTCCTTTCAAGGAGAAAAACTTCCTGTCTTAGGCCGAGCAACATCCTTTTCTGCAGCCTTGGTGCTCTTCAGTAAATTCTTCTTGATATTTTGTGCACAGTTTAATAAAATAAAAGCCAAGCCAGGCGTGGTGGCTCACGCCTGTAATCCCAGCACTTGGGAGGCCTCGGCGGGCAGACCACTTGAGGTCAGGAGTTGGAAACCAGCCTGGCCAACATGGCAAAACCCTTTCTCTACTAAAAATACAAAAATTAGCTGGATGTGATGGCATGTGCCTGTAATCTCAGCTACTTGGGAGGCTGAGGCACGAGAATCTCTTGAACCCAGGAGGGGAGGTTTTAGTGAGTTGAGATTGCACCACTGCACTCCAGCCTGGGTGACAGAATGAGACTCTGTCTCAAAAAAAATATAAAAGCTAAAGTTTTGTGTGTGTGTGTATGTTTTAAAGTATTGCCACACAGGCATATTAGAGAGCTCTTGAAATTGCAGCCTTCTGCGTCTCAGGCTAGAGAAGGGCATGGCCTAGAGGAGCACAGTCCAGGGTGAGCTCAGACTCTGCCCCTTGATTTCTGCAGTGTTTTACCCATTGTCTTTCTCTAGGCAGCCAACATGCCTGACTCTGAGCTATTCGAGCTCATCTCTGAGAACCGTTCCATGTCTCGGAAGCTGGAAGATTACGGGGAGCAGAAGTCTACGTCCATCAGCACAGCAAAGCGCCTGGCCGAGTTCCTGGGAGACCAGATGGTCAAGGATGCAGGGCTGAGTTGCCGCTACATCATCTCCCGCAAGCCCGAGGGCTCCCCTGTCACGGAGAGGTGAGGGCTCCCCCCATCACGGAGAGGTGAGGGCTCCTCCCATCACGGACAGGTGAGGGCTCCCTCCGTCACGGAGAGGTGAGGGCTCCCCTCATCACAGAGAGGTGAGGGCTGCCCTGTCACGGAGAGGTAAGGGGTTCCTTACAGATTTGGGCTGTGTTTAACACCAAGTTTGGGGATGGCATAAGTGTCCATCAACCAGAAATGGATAATTGCCATTTTGTAGGGAATGAGATACACTATACCAGAGTTCAAAGGGTTGAATTGCAGCTACAGGTTACAACACTGACAGTTTGAAACCACTTTGGAGAAAAAAGCAAAAATCAGGTTGAAGGAAGACCCTTATGCCTCCGTGTATGTAAAACTTAAAAACATGGAAACTGCTCTTTTTTTTTTTTTTTTTTTTTTTTTTTGGTGGTTATATACAAATAGGACCAGTACAAATGCCTGCATGGGGTTGATGAACACCAGAATAAGGGTTGTCTTTACTTCTGTGTGAGGAGGGAATAGGTTGGGGTCACACAGGGCTTCACTCTAATCGTCTCACAAAGGAAGTCAGAGTGGCCAAGTGTTGAAGCTTGATGGAGCCGAGTGGATCATAGTGTGCGTGTCTTCTTTAGGTCTCCTTATGTTTGCAGTATTCACCACAGATGTTTCCTCCAGTGAAAGGGAAGCACTGACGGTTGCCAGTTGCTTTGCTAGTGACATGAAAACAGGCTCGTTTTTTCTAGAAAGCAGCCTGAGTCTTCTGTGTGTTACTCAGCAAGGAACATGTAGACATGGTTATGAACGTGCACGTTTGCCTGTATGCATGCACGTGGTTACTCAGAAACGCAGACATGTTTACGCACACACGCATGTCTTTGCCTATACGCATGCGCGTGGTTACTCAGAAACGTAGACATGTTTACGCACGCATGCGTTTATGTATGTGCATGCACATGGTTATGCCGTGAGAAACATGTAGACATAGTTACGAACATGCACGTGTTTGCCTGTACGCATGCACGTGGTTACTCAATGAGAAACGCAGACATGTCTACGCACACGCATGTGTTTATGTATATGCATGCCCATGGTTACGCTGTGAGGAACATGTAGACATGTTTACGTGCACACACGCACGTGTTTACACATACGCACGTGTTACTCCCCGAGGAACCTGTAGGCATGTTTGTGCATACATATGCACGCAGATGTATACATTGATGTTTGTGAACAGCTGTTACACGTCCTTATTTCCATGTTCATTTGATAAGAGTTAGGATCAGATTTTGGGTGATTTTCACTGTTACTGAGCTGTGTGCCTGTCTTCCTTACCCAGGGCCATCCCACTTGCCATTTTCCAAGCAGAGCCCACGGTGAGGAAGCACTTTCTCCGGAAATGGCTCAAGAGCTCTTCCCTTCAAGACTTTGATATTCGAGCAGTGAGTGCCAGTTGCGTTCTCTACTCTTAAAAGTTTACAAGGAAAGCTAGACAGAGCAGAATATGTCTGAGTTGGATTATGTTTTTTGTCTGGCGTCTTCACTCTTGACTTCCTCCTTTCTGATAAGTAATAGGTGAGCACCTAATAACCTTTTAGGGCAAAACTGAAAACATGAAGTGCCTGGGGCCCTTTAGCTGTTCTATTGGATGGACTAAGGCCAGGGGTGTTGGCTCAGCCACCTACTAGCTCTGTGATCTAGAGGAGTCAGTGAAGCTCCCTGCCTTGGTGTCCTCTGTTGTGCAATGGGCACCTTTCATCATAGAGTTTCTGAGAGGATTAAATAAGACACAGTGGTTAGCCCTGTGCTCAGCATGAAGTGAGCCCCACTCTTGGCTGCTGCCACCTGCTGTTCTCTGTGCCCGTTTCCTGCACATGCAGATTCTGGATTGGGACTACTACATTGAGCGGCTGGGAAGCGCCATCCAGAAGATCATCACCATCCCTGCGGCCCTGCAGCAGGTAAGGGCGGGGTCAGTGGCACGGGCTGTGGGGCTAAAAACTGTGCAGTTAGACAAGGGTCTCTCTCTGATGGGTGTTGGCCTCACACAGGTAAAGAACCCAGTGCCACGTGTCAAACACCCCGACTGGCTGCACAAAAAACTGCTGGAGAAGAATGATGTCTACAAGCAGAAGAAGATCAGTGAGCTCTTCACCCTGGAGGGCAGGAGACAGGTGACGGTGGGGCCCCAAGGCTGGGCTGGGCGGGATCCTTGTGACACACAGGACTCCAGGCTTCTTGCGCTGCTGTGTGTGCTGTAGTGAAGCTTCTGTTCAAGCATCGAAAATGGACTTTTTCTGAAAATGTGCCCATTGGCACTTTACTCTCTAACTCTGAGTGTCACTCTTTTGTTAATAGGACACCATTGTGAGGCTGAGGTGAGGGCAAGGAACTGTCTCCTTATGTGAAAATATTAGGGTGCACTACTTAGACTCAGTGCCTTGGGCAAATCACTGTCTCTTGAAGCCCCAGTTTTCTGAATGTGAAATGAATATCTTCCCTATGGAAACACTTAGAAACACAGGACACAGTGTAATAAAAGGTACAGTGAAAGTCAGAAGAGCAAAAGGAAAATTCTTAAATGCTGAAAATTAAAAGTAAGCTATAAATCAGAGCAGTATACAAACTCACATGACAAGAACAAGGTTCTTTGACCAGGTGCGGTGGCTCACACCTGTAATCCCAGCACTTTGGGAGGCCTAGGTGGGCAGACCACAAGGTCAGGAGATGGAGACAATCCTGGCTAACACAGTGAAACCCCATCTCTACTAAAAATACAAAAAATTAGCCAGGCGTAGTGGTGGGCGCCTGTAGTCCTAGCTACTCGGGAGGCTGAGGCAGGAGAACAGCGTGAACCCGGGAGGCGGAGCTTGCAGTGAGCCGAGATCACGCCACTGCACTCCCCTGGGCGACAGAGCGAGACTCCGTCTCAAAAAAAAAAAAAGAAAAAGGTTCTGAGATGGATTGGATTTTAAAATTTAACTGTCTTATTTGTAAGAGTTATATATGTATTCTTTCCCCTGCCCCCCAAGACGGAGTCTTGCTCTATTGCCCAGGCAGGAGTGCAGTGGCACAATGCAGCTTCTGCCTCCTGGGTTTGGCTCACTGCAGCTTCTGCCTCCTGGGTTTAAGCAGTTCTCCTGCCTCAGCCTCTAGTGTAGCTGGGATTATAGGCACACACCACCATGCCTAGCTAATTTTTATTTTTTTAATTTTTTTCTGCCTCAGCCTCTAGTGTAGCTGGGATTATAGGCACGCACCACCATGCCTAGCTAATTTTTATTTTTTTAATTTTTTTTTTAAATTTTTAGTAGAGACGGGGTTTCACCATGTTGGCCAGGCTGGTCTCAAACTCCTGACCTCAGGTGAATGCACCCGCCTTGGCCTCGCAAAGTGCTGGAAATACAGCACTGCGCCCAGTGGCTTATGGGCCAGTATAACAATTTCAAGAGTTATATTGAAAAGATAGGACGCAGGAAAAGCAAAAGGAGTAAAAAATACGTATACCAGGTAAATGTTAACCAAAAGAAAGCTGATGTGGCTGTATTAATACCAGACAAAATACTCTTTAGGCCAAAAGTATTAGGAAACATAAGGACTATTGTTACATAATACTGAAAGTCACAATTCTCTGGAAATATATACTAATTGTAACAATGTAGCCTCACATTAAATAATGTAAACATTTACCTAATTATAAGAAGAATTTACCTCCAATCAGTTTGGGAGATGTTAACATCCCTCCCTCAATTGATAGTTGGAGCAGACCAAAAATCAGCAAAAATATGTTTGGAATGACACAATCAACTAACTAGATTTAGTCACTAGCTATAATACATTTAGTGAACAAATGTAGTCTTGCACTAAAATTAGAGAATACCTATCCTTTTCAAGAATACATAAAATAATGACCATATATATACCACAGAGTAAGCTGCAACCAATTCTAGATAACTTAAATACAGACCATGTTTGGAAATTTAAGAAAAAAAAAACACATTTATAACTTGTGGATCAAAAAAGTCATAGAACTTAGACAATACTTGGAACTGAATGTAAATACAAATGCTATTAAAATTTGTAGTATGCAGTTAAACAGGACTTGTATACGCATTTATATATCTAAATGCATGTATTAGTAAAGAAAAACAAATAGAAAATTAAGTTTCCAACTGAAAAAGTTAGAGAACAACAGATCCATCAGAGGAAGTAGACAGAAGTTATAAAGAGTTATAAAGGTAACCAGGCATGGTGGTGCACACCTATAGTCCTAGCTACTCGGAAGGCTGAGAGGCAGGAGGATTGCTTGAGCCCAGGAATTTGAGGTTGTAGTGGGCTATGATGGCACCTGTGAATAGGCACTTCACCCCAGCCTGGGCAACACAGGGAGAACCCAACTCAAGAAAGAAAAGAAAGAGGTTACAAAATTGAGCCAGAATGAGTGAAACAAACAATACAACCAAAATGTTGTTCTTTGAAAAGACTTAGGAAAATAGTCACATCTTTTTCTTTTCTTTTGAGACAGGGTCTCATTGTGTCACCCAGGCTGGAGTACAGTGGCGCAGTCATGGCTCACTGCAGCCTTGACCTCCCAGGCTCAATTGATCCACCTGCCTCAGCCTCCTGCATAGCTGGGACTATAGGCGCACACCACCACATCCAGCTAATTTTTGTAATTTTTTGTAGAGACAAGGTTTTGTCATGTTGTCCTGGCTGGTCACATCTTTTTCAGGACAGAGTTTTTTATTTTAATGAAAACAGACATCATTATAGATATAGTAAAGCCTAAAAAAATGGAAGGATTCCCATTTTCTGCTAAACAGTTGGAAAACATAGATGGAACGGACAGTATCCTCAAGTTATGCACTGACCTAAGAAGTAATAAAAACCTGAATAGAACTTTAACCATTACAGAAATTGACACTTAAAAAGAAACAGGCCAGGCGCAGTGGCTCACACCTGTAATCCCAGCTCTCAGGGAGGCAGAGGCGGGAGGATAGCTTGAGCCCAGGAGTTCGAGACCTGCCTGGGCAATATAGCGAGACCCCGTTCTCCACAAAAAGAAAAAAAAAAGAGACGAAAAAAAATAAGTGTAAAAGAAACATCAAACCCAAATGATTTTTAAGAGAAAAAGGAAAAAAAAAACCCTTAGCTCATTTGGTAACCTTGGCAATCCTTGTTACTTTGGTAACATAATTGAAAACAGGAAAGGAAAGTTACGGGCCATGAACAATAGATGAAAAAATATCAACATACATGAACAATAACAATATGACCAACTAGGACTTATGCTGGGAATAGCAAGCACTGTTTAATTTTAGAATTTGCCAGGTTAGTTTTTCTTGGGAGAAATCCACTAATTCATCATTAAAGGAGAAGGCTCGTAAGATCATCTCCAATAGATGCAGAAACAACATGCGGTAAAACTTTAACATCTGCTCATGTTAAAGTTTGAACAATCAAAATCAGAATAGATGAGATGTTTCTTAACCTGATAAAGTGTTCTTGAAACCTAACAGCAGACCTCATACTTAACCACAAAACACTGGAAGCATTGAAGTAAGGAGTAAGAAATGGATGCCTGTTAACCACTGCTTCTGTTCAAAACAGTTTGGAGATCCTAGCCAGCATAATTAAACCAGAAAAAGAATTAAGGATTGAAAAGGGAGACATCAACTTATTATTTACAGGCGATGTAATTTGTTAACAGAAAATGTAAGGAAACCTAGATTTTGTGTTAACTTATATGTATTTCAGCAACAATTAGATACCAAGGTAAGATATAAAAGTCTATTGCTTTCATTTATACTAGAAACAAAATATTTTTTGAAAGATACCATTTACAATAGCAATAAATAATGTACTAAGGAATAAATTCATGGTAACAATGTGTGTAAGACTTTTACAGAAAAAATTACACAACTTTTTTCTTTTTGAGACATGGTCTTCCTTTGTCACCCAGGCTAGAGTGCGGTGGCAAGATCATGGCTCCCTACAGCCTAGAACTCTTAATCTCACGTTATCCTCCCACCTCAGCCTCCTGAGTAGCTGAGACTGCAAGTGTGCACCACCACACCTGGCTATGTATTTTTTGTAGAGGCTGGGTCTCACTGTTGCCCAGGCTGATCTTAAACTCTTGGGCTCAAGTGATCCTCCTGCCTGGGCCCCCCCCAAAGCACTGGGATTACAGGTGTGAGCCACCATGCCTGGCCTATACACAACTTTATTGAACATATAAAAATTTACCTAAGTAACAAAAAGAGGTACCATCTTTACAGATGAAAGGACTCAGTATTAAAATATGGCAGTTTGCCCCATATTAATTCATAAAATTCAGTGTAATTCCAATAAAAAAGAATCTGCCAAAAGCTTTTTGGATAGAACTTGACAGACGAATCCTAAAATTCATATAAAGGGTAAGGATAAGAATAACCAAAGAATTTTGAAGAATAAGGAGGGCACGTTGATCTTACTATGTAACGAGACACACTATCATGGCATCTTGACAAGATGAGAGGAGAGCAGTAGAGCCGATTGGGAGCCTAGAAACAGACTCCCCTGTTAGTCGGAAGTTGGTAGGTCACAGATCGTTAAGGAGAGAGTGGACTGCAGTGAGTGATGCTGGTGAAAATGGTTTTTCATATTTGGAGAAGTAAGTTGTTGTATCACACTGAGTGTGAAACTAAGGCTGAGTGTGATGGCTCATGCCTGTAATTGCAGTGCTTTGGGAGTCCAAGGAAGGAGGATCAGTTGAGCCCAGAAGTTCCAGACGAGCCTGGGCAACATAGGGAGGTCTCGTCTCTACAAAAAAAATCCGGCACAACATTAGGCATGGTTGTGCATGCCTGTAGTCCCAGCTACTTGGGAGGCTGAGGTGGGAGGATCACTTGAGCCTGGGAGGTTGAGGCTGCGGTGAGCCAAGATGACCACTGCACTCCAGCCTAGGTGACAGAGCGAGACCCCTGTGTCTTTAAAAAAAAAAAAAAAAAAAAAAAGGAAACTACAATCTTTGGTAAACAACTCAGGAGACTATGATGCTGGGGTGGGAAGGGCTTTTTTAAGGCACATGTGAAAAACATCACAAAGGGAAAGAATGATCAATTAATTAAAAGTTAAATCTTGTGTAGTCTGTGACAAGAAAGGCAGAATGTTGATAATTGTTGACACTGGTGATAAGAACATGGGAGCTCATTACTGTGCTTTCGTGTATGTTTGAAAACTTTCCTGATAGGAAGTCAACACACACAAACTTACATGTAGCACAGAAGTCACCATGAAACAAAGGCCTGAGTCACATTTTGAAGATGTTTAGAATGTATAAAAGTTAGAAATGGCTCATAAACGTGTTAGCTATCTATTGCTGCATAGCAAGTAACCCCAAAACTTAGCAACTTAAATGCACTCGTGTATCCGAGGGCTCCACTGGAGAAGGAGCCACTTCCGAGCTCCCTCCCATGGGGATGGCAGGACTCGGTTCCTCCTTGGCCTTTGTCTGGACGTTATCCTTAGTCCCCTGCTCCATGGGGCTCTTCACAGGACAGCTCACAGCATGGCACTGGACTTTTGAGAGAGTGCCAGCCAGGCAGAAGCCACAGTGTTTTATAGCTGCTCTCAGGAGTGGCATTCCATGACTTTTGCTGGAATCTGTTCATTACGGGCAAGTCACCGGGTCCCACCCCCACTCAGGGAAGGAGTCACACAGGGTGTGAACACCAGGAAGTGGGGGTCGTTGGGCCATTTTGGGAGCTGCCTGCACAGGGCCAAGATGTTCAGCCTTACTGTTGATGAGGTAAATGCAGCATGATGTATTTAGATAGCAGGTCACACTGAAGGCAAGTAAGTGTGGTGGCATCAAGTAGCAAGATTGTGGGAAGTAGGAAATCCCTGGTGCTAGAGGTGGAGGTGGTTGTTCTCCGGGACCAGGCAACACATACAGAGATGGTCATTGAGTCACAGTTTGTAGTTTTGAAAAAGTAGGCGCTTGTCATTCTTCATTTGCAAAGTCATGGGTAGGTAGGCTGATGTGTTTATATGATAAATCATTTCACATCAGTTACAATGAACGAACCATATGTGCATGTTTCACCCGGTGTCAGTCTCAAAAATACATGGCTGAATAAAGAAACAAGTTGCAGGGACAGGCATGTGGCTCACGCCTGTAATCTCAACACTTTGGAAGGCTGAGGTGGGTGGATCACTTGAGGTCAGGAGTTCGAGACCAGCCTGGCCAACATGGTGAAACCCCATCTTTACTAAAAATACAACAAAAAATTAGCCGGGCTTGGTGGCAGGTGCCTGTAATCCTAGCTTCTTGGGAGGCTGAGGCAGAATTGCTTGAACCCAGGAGGCGAGGTTGCAGTGAGATGAGATCGTGCCATTGCGCTCCAGCCTGGACAACAGAGTGAGATTCTGTCTCAAAAAAAAAAAAAAAAAAAAAGGAAACAAGTTGCAGTCAGATGTGTCCCACATGTTACTATTTAGGTTAAAACTTACAGCTGTGGCATGTGTCTGTGGACATGTGGTAAAAATTTAAAGGTGTGTGGGGGCAGACAGAAGAGGGCTGTACCCATTATTTGCAATATTTTCTTTCTTACAAAAAGCATTCTGGAGCAAACATGGCAAAATGCAAAGATTTACTTATTGGTGGTATTGAGTGACGTTTTATTTTTCGGTTTGATCTTTTCACTTTTTTTTTGAAAGAGGGTCTCACCCTCTCGCCCAGGCTGGAATGCAGTGGCGCAACCTTGGCTCACTGCAACCCCTACCTCCTAGGCTCAAGTGATCCTTCCACCTCAGCCTCCCAAGTAGCTGGGACCACAGGCCCACACAACCACACCCAGCTAATTTTTCTATTTTTTGTAGAGACGGAGTTTCACCATGTTGGCCAGGCTAGTCTCAAACTCCTGGGCTCAAGTGATCCGCCCACCTCAGCCTCTCAAAGTGCTGGGATGACAGGCGTGAGCCACCACACCCGGCCTTCACTATTAAAGGTTCAATAAACTTGTGTAAACGAACATCCCATTTCAGGTGATATACTTATACTAGATTTCGAGAAGTAGAATTTGTGGGGATGAGATCCTGAGATTTTTGTTTGCTTGTTTTTATGAGGCAAGGTCTCACTTGCCCAGGCTGGAGTTCAGTGGTGTGATCATAGTTCGCCGCAGCCTCCAACTCCTGGGTTCAAGTGATCCTCCTGCCTCAGCCTACCAAGTAGCTTGGGACTACAGGCGCACTACCACGCCTGGCTAATTTGTAATATATTTTGTAGAGACAGGGTCTTGCTGTTACCCAGGCTGGTCTCAAACTCCTGGCCCCAAGCAATTCTCCTGTCTTGGCCTCCCAAAGTGCTGGCATTCCAGGCATGAGCCACCCTGCGCAGCCCGAGATCCTGAGATTTAAGGCTTCACTGGGTCTTTCCAGGTCACGATGGCCGAGGCCTCAGAAGACAGTCCGAGGCCAAGTGCTCCTGACATGGAGGACTTCGGCCTCGTAAAGCTGCCTCACCCAGCAGCCCCTGTCACTGTGAAGAGGAAGCGAGTTCTTTGGGAGAGCCAGGAGGAGTCCCAGGACCTCACGCCGACTGTGCCCTGGCAGGAAATCTTGGGGCAGCCTCCCGCCCTGGGAACCAGCCAGGTAAGGCACACAGCTGTGATACTGTCTGTCTCTGAGGGGTCTGCACAGCCCAGGGAGCCCGAGATGCGTCCTGACCCCTAGGGAGGCTGCTTGTGAGAAAGTCATGGCGGGCATTCCCATCTCACCACTTGCACACTGGCTGTGCTCACCATCCATCCCAGGAGGAATGGCTTGTCTGGCTCCGGTTCCACAAGAAGAAGTGGCAGCTGCAGGCCCGGCAGCGCCTCGCCCGCAGGAAGAGGCAGCGTCTGGAGTCGGCAGAGGGTGTGCTCAGGCCCGGGGCCATCCGGGATGGTCCTGCCACGGGGCTGGGGAGCTTCTTGCGAAGAACTGCCCGCAGCATCCTGGACCTTCCGTGGCAGATTGTGCAGGTATAGACCTTGATCCAAGGGGAGGGCAGTGGCTCTGCTGATGGCCCAGGGAGGGGGTGTCCAGCTGGGCCCTGAGGTCTGGGATGGGAGGGTTAGAGTGGGCCTGGAGTTTCCTGCCCATCGTAGGGAGGCCTAAGGCCCTGTGCTGGGAGCTGCAAGCTACCTGGAAGGTGGCCCCGTCTGTGGGTTCCAGTGTGTCCTGTGATGTGCTGTATGTCCGTGTGGCCTTTCAGATCAGCGAGACCAGCCAGGCCGGCCTGTTCAGGCTGTGGGCGCTCGTTGGCAGTGACTTGCACTGCATCAGGCTGAGCATCCCCCGTGTGTTCTACGTGAACCAGCGAGTCGCTAAAGCGGAGGAGGGTGCTTCGTATCGCAAGGTAGGGAGGAGCTGGTGCTGCCTCTGCAGTCATCTGGGCAGCCTGAGGTGGCTTTCCCATGATCTAGCCTGGCCTCCAGCCTCCATCTCCTCAGTACCTTATGGGGATGTTCTAGGAATTCCTCAAAACAACGTGTGTGAGCGCTGAGCACCGAGCCTGGGGCAGAGCGAGTGCCGGGAATGGAGCTGCTGGTGTCCTTGTCACGATGAGCTTGTCTGCCCGCGAGGTCCATGTTGCGGGGACAAACCAAGTGGCATTGGTTAGAGATTGTGAACTCTGTCTCCGTAGGCTCTTTGGTTGTTAACAGCTTTATTGGGATGTAAAGTTACGCCATCCAACTCACCCATTTAAAGTGCAGAATTCAATGACTTTTAGTGGCATGACTATTGCCAGTCAATAGTGACATTTTCTTTTTTTTTCTTTTTTTTAATTTTACTTTGATTTCTGGGATCCATGTGCAGAAAGTGCAGGTTTGTTACATAAGTAAGCACATGCCATGGTGGTTTGCTGCACCCATCACCCCGTCACCTGGGCATTAGGCCCCACATGCATTAGCTGTTTATCCTGATATTCCCCCTCCCCTCACCCCCCCATTCGGATATTTTCATCACTCCAAAAAGAAACCTGGCATCCCTTACCTGTCACCATCCTCCCCCAGCCCTCAGTAGCCACTGATCCACTTCCTGTCTCTGGGTTTGCCTGTTTGGGCATTTGATGTAAATGGAACCCTACAGTAGGTGGGTCTTTGTGCTGGGCTTCTTCCACCTGCAGAAACTGCGAGGGTTTTCATGTGGCCATGAGTGCGCTGAGGCTCTTAGATGGCATCTCCACCCGAACTCCCCGTTGTTAATGTGTCGGCTCAGCACATTTCTTGACTGGATGCTGTGAATCACGTAAGAAGTGACACGTAGTTGGGGAGATGAGGTGTGCATATTTGTACCTACACAAGGAGGTTTTCTGGAGAAGGTGAAACTCGATTCCAGCCAGGTGATTCAGTAGAATGTGCATATAGAAAGTAGACGCAGAGCCAGGTGTGGTGGTTCACACCTGTAATCCCCGCACTTTGGGAGACCGAGGTGGGCGGATAACAAGAGGAAAGCGGACGCAGAGGCATCGAGACCACAGAGAACAGGTGGGACTGTGGGGTTTCTACACCTTCCTTTCGATGCGTGGTGCTGTGGTGCTGTGGCCGTGTGGAAGTGCCCTAACTTTTGGGATGTTTCCCTTTATGACTATCAGCTCATCTCGAGGGAGGTTCTGGCGCTGTGTGAATATTCTGTCCTCAACGTTTGACTGGATGGTGTCAGCATCCATGTCTCGTGGGGTCCATGGGGCTCCAGGATGATATCTTCAGATTCTGTTCCTCTGTGTGTATTAGCTGTTTCCTTTATAACGAAGAGCTTTGTGCAGATCAGGTAGAAATGAACTCTATTCCTTAAAAAGCAAGATACGAGAGGGATAATACGCTTTTTTTTTTTTTAAGCAAGATAAATGCTTTTTCCCTTTAAATTATTTTTAATTTTCAAGGTAGGGCATGGCAAAATGGGTTTATTCCTTTCATTTTTCCTCTCTTTTTAAAGTATTACTATGGATTAGAGGATTTTTGTTTAACTTTTTTGTTTCTGTTTTTGAGAAGGTCTCTCACTCCATCACCCAGGCTGGAGTGCAGTGGCATGATCTTGCCTCACTGCAGCCTTGTACTCTTGGGCTCAAGCAATCCTCCTGCCTCAGTGTTTAATGTTTTAACATCAACCGTAGCCAAATCCCGCCCAACACACACACGTTAGGTATGTTAAGGTACACGGTAGGCCCTCACTTTATGTTGTTGATAGGTCCTTAGAAACTGCAATTTTAAGTGAAATGACTAAGTAAGATGATGTATAATGAAACAGATTTTTTTTCTTCTCAGAAACTATAATGAAACTGTGTTGGCCAGGCGCAGTGCTGCATATCTGTAATCCCAGCAATTTGGGAGGCTGAGGCTGGTGGATTGCTTGAGCTCAGGCATTCGAGACCAGCCTGGGCAACGTGGCAAAACCCCTTCTCTACAGAGTATTTTTTAAATTTATTTATTTTTATTTGTTTGTTTGTTTGTTTTGAGATGGAGTTTCTCTCCTGTTGCCCGGCTGGAGTCCAGTGGCGCATCTCGGCTCACCGCAACCTCCGCCTCCCGGGTTCAAGAAATTCTCCTGCCTCAGCCTCCCAAGTAGCTGGGATTACAGGCACGCACCACCACGCCCGGCTAATTTTGTATTTTTTAGTAGAGATGGGGTTTCTCTGTGTTGGTTAGGCTGGTCTCGAACTCCTGACCTCAGGTAATCCATCCACCTCGGCCTCCCAAAGTGCTGGGATTACAGGTTGAACCATGGCGCCCGGCCCCAGAATTTTTTTTTTTTTTTTTTTAAAGGAAGAAAGAATGTTGAACAAAATGATGTTATTTGAGGACCTGCTATACATTACTTCACTTAACCATCACAGTTTCCAGGAATCCATTGATGTTAAGTGAGGACTTACTGTAATTTACATATAGTTAAGTGCAGATTTTTAAATGTGCAGTTGATTGGGTTTTTGGACACATGACTATGCCTGTGTCACCCACACCCCCACCCAGGTGCAGAACGTTTCCATCACCCGGGAGGGTGCTCTTGTCCCCCTGTGCAACCTTCTGCTGGCCTGATTTCTGTATTTCTGTAACTGTGTGCATGTGACTTTCTAGAACTTCATATTAATGGAACCAGACAGTAGACTCTTTGGTGGTCAATATCTTCTTGAGACTCAAATTATCCCAAATTGGGCTGGCCAGATCCCTTCAAGCTGGCACCTGAGTCCTTTTGACATGCCCTGTTGGTCTTTGAAAACTTCCTTGCTTTTTGGCCACTAAGAGAGGCCAGGCTCACCTTGAACTTCCAGACGTGGAATTAGCTGTTCCTCTAAAGAGCCTGAGCCTCGTTGAGAGGTTATGTTGAGAAACCAAGCTTAGAGCTCAAGGGGTATCATTTCATCTAGATTCCTTCAGTGAACAGCCAGGAAATATATACATTTTAAAAAGTGCAATTACACTAATTGTTCCAGTTCATATTTACCAGAACATAATTTTTCATTTCTTTGATTTTGTGTGTGTGTGTGTGGGTGTGTGTGTGTGTCGGTCTAATTTCATGTTACTGGAAAAATCTAACCCTACTGGTTCTCTTCTCGCTTGAGAATTATTCAGATTTTCCTGGTTGTTGTTACGCCAAATAACGCTTTATTGCAACCTGGACATTTTACATATTTGAGACTTTGGGTATTTTTAAAAATCCTTTAGCGTGTCAGGTTTTTTTGTTTGTTTGTTTTAGCAACAACCAACACGGTTAATTCCAGTGCCCAAGCTCTTCCTTGCCTCTTTGTGCAAAGCTTCCAATGTCAGCTCAGCCTCCAGAGCCTCTGCTGCGTTGTTTTGGGTCACCTGTGCAAGTGCAGCTCGTAGTGAGCCTGGGACTTGTGCTGCTGGTTCATGCATGAAGCTAGGGTGCTCCTCTCCAGGATTCCCCCAGCCCCCCACACACGAAGCTAGGGTGCCCCCTCTCCAGCTCTCCTCTCCAGGATTCCCCCAGCCCTCCACACAGGGAGCTAGGGTACCCCTCTCCAGCTCGCCTCTCCAGAATTCCCCCAGCCCTCCACACAGGGAGCTAGGGTGCCCCCTCTTCAGCTCTCCCAGACCCCCCAGGACCCCACACAGGAAGCTAGGGTGCACCCTCTCCAGCTCTCCCAGACCCCCCAGGACCCCACACAGGAAGCTAGGGTGCCCCCTCTCCAGCTCTCCCAGACCCCCCCAGGACCCCACACAGGGAGCTAGGGTGCCCCTCTCCAGCTCTCCCAGACCCCCCCAGGACCCCACACAGGAAGCTAGGGTGCCCCCTCTCCAGCTTTCCCAGGCCCCCCCAGGACCCCATTCACGAAGCTAGGGTGCCCCTCTCCAGCTCTCCCAGACCCCCCCAGGACCCCACACAGGAAGCTAGGGTGCCCCTCTCCAGCTCTCCCAGACCCCCCCAGGACCCCACACAGGGAGCTAGGGTGCCCCCTCTCCAGCTCTCCCAGACCCCCCCAGGACCCCACACAGGGAGCTAGGGTGCCCCTCTCCAGCTCTCCCAGACCCCCCCAGGACCCCACACAGGGAGCTAGGGTGCCCCCTCTCCAGCTCTCCCAGACCCCTCCAGGACCCCATTCACGAAGCTAGGGTGCCCCTCTCCAGCTCTCCCAGAGCCCCCCAGGACCCCACACACACACTCTGGCTCCCCCAGGGGCTCTCTTTCCGTTTCTCTGACTAGGAAAATGTGATTTCTCTCAGTTTTTGCCATCTACACCCTCAGGTTAAACCCATGAGAGAATGGAGGAAGATGAACTGGGAACCTCCCCAGATCAGTGTTGACTGCTGTATTCTGACAGCTCTTGTCTATTCTCAGAGGCTGCAGGTTGCTTTTCAAAATTGCGTCCAGAGGCCAGGCATAGTGGCTCACACCTGCAGTTCCAGCGATTTGGGAGGATCACTTGAGTCCAGGAGTTTGAGACCAGCCTGGGCCTCATAGTGAGACCTCCTTTCTACAAAAAAAAAAAAAAAAAAAAAAAGCCATCCGTGGTGGTGTGTTCCTTGTCCCAGCTACTCAGGAGGCTGAGGCTGGAGGACCACTTGAGCCCAGGAGTTGGAGGCTGCAGTGAGCTGTGATCACACTGCTGCACTCCAGCCTGGGCAACAGACTAAGACCCTGTCTGTAAAAAATAAATAAATAACATAAAAATTACATCCAGAGTTTTTAGTTGTAATCATTGAGAGAGGTGGACTGTGGCGTGGTGGGTGTACCCCGTCGCTAGGGGCACCAGAAGTCTAGGACTCCGAATAGCGTGTGCTTTGTGTGTGTACCACAGACATTACCACTTACGCCCAGTGACGAGATCATCGTCGTATTCTCGCCAGGTAAATCGGGTCCTTCCTCGCTCCAACATGGTCTACAATCTCTATGAGTATTCAGTGCCAGAGGACATGTACCAGGAACACATCAACGAGATCAACGCTGAGCTGTCAGCGCCAGACATCGAGGGCGTATATGAGACTCAGGTGACTCCCCAGCCACCCTCGACTGAACTGGGGGAGGCTCCAGCAGGGTGGTATGGAGGAAAGAAACCCGCCCAGGGTGTGGGCTGGGGAACAGCAGCGACAGTGGACTCGTTCCCACAGGTGAGGTGAATGTCAGCAGTGTGTCTGCCAAAAGTGGCCTTTGGGCAGTGGGCCGGGCAGCTGCAGGGGCACAGCCACATCCCGGGCAGAAGTCACGTGGGCAGCCAGAGCCCCCACCATCCAGCCCTTGCCGGCCTGTCTGCCCGATTCTTCCAGGTTCCGTTACTGTTCCGGGCCCTGGTGCACCTGGGCTGTGTGTGTGTGGTCAATAAACAGCTGGTGAGGCACCTTTCAGGCTGGGAAGCAGAGACCTTTGCTCTTGAGCACCTGGAGATGCGCTCTCTGGCCCAGTTCAGCTACCTGGAACCAGGTATGGCCTGCACCAGCCGCCCATCATGTGCCTGCCTCCCACACATCTGGGGTGACGGTCTTGTTTCCTTCTCCAGGGAGTATCCGCCATATCTACCTGTACCACCACGCACAGGCCCACAAAGCGCTCTTCGGGATCTTCATCCCCTCACAGCGCAGGGCATCCGTCTTTGTGCTGGACACTGTGAGTCCTGGGCCCTCCATGGCAGCACATTGGCTGGGGCAGGGTTTGGGGAAGGAGGACATCTCCCAGGGTGCCCAGGCCCTCCAGGTCTTGTCCTCAAGGGCCTTTGCCCATGAGTGCTTGTCGTGATTGAATTGGCAGTGCCGTGGCAGTGGTGGAGTCTGCCCCAGGGCTGCCCCCACTTCCTCCTGCGCAGGGGGAGGCTGACGTGGCCTGCGTTGGTCTAGGTGCGCAGCAACCAGATGCCCAGCCTTGGCGCCCTGTACTCAGCAGAGCACGGCCTCCTCCTGGAGAAGGTGGGCCCTGAGCTCCTGCCACCCCCCAAACACACCTTCGAAGTTCGGGCAGAAACTGACCTGAAGACCATCTGCAGAGCCATCCAGCGATTCCTGCTCGCCTACAAGGTGAGAGTGGTTGGGGTCTTGCTGTGTGAGCCCCATCTTCTTTGAGGCTGGGTCCACCCAGGTCTTTTCTTCCATTTTGCCTTGACCCAGGAGGAGCGCCGGGGGCCCACACTCATCGCTGTTCAGTCCAGCTGGGAGCTGAAGAGGCTGGCCAGTGAAATTCCTGTCTTGGAGGAATTCCCACTGGTGCCTATCTGTGTGGCTGACAAGATCAACTATGGGGTCCTGGACTGGCAGCGCCATGGAGCCCGGCGCATGATCCGTCACTACCTCAACCTGGACACCTGCCTGTCGCAGGCCTTCGAGATGAGCAGGTGAGCACAGTACTGTCGTTGTGGGCCAGTGGTCCCCAGGCAGAGCCGGCCTCGGTGGTCTCTGTGACCCGGCGATGTGCCCCGGTGCTGACCTGTGCCCTGGTGCAGGTACTTTCACATTCCCATTGGGAACCTACCAGAGGACATCTCCACATTCGGCTCCGACCTCTTCTTTGCCCGCCACCTCCAGCGCCACAACCACCTGCTCTGGCTGTCCCCTACAGCCCGCCCTGACCTGGGTGGAAAGGAGGCTGATGACAACTGTCTTGTCATGGAGTTCGATGACCAAGCCACTGTTGAGATCAACAGTTCAGGCTGTTACTCCACAGGTAAGTGGGCGGGAGGACGAGGCCCATGAGACCTGGCTGGTGTTTCTGCCATTCTGTGACATCTTCTCAAGGCAATAGTGCCGAGGATGGGCTCAGAGTTCGACCGCGCAGGTCAGAGCTGAGGCTGCAGGAGACGGTCCTGGGGTCAAGGTCCAGGTGGGGCCTCCTGTGCCCTCGGGAATCTGAATAGCCTGGCAGGTGTGAGGATGGGTGTGGGCAGGTCTGTTGCTGGTTCTGGAGGTGGTGGTGGCTGGAGTCAGGCCCAGGGGGCTGGTGGTGCTGGAGCTGGCAGGATGCTGGCTGAGCATGGCGTCTTCCTGTGCAGTGTGTGTGGAGCTGGACCTTCAGAACCTGGCCGTCAACACCATTCTCCAGTCTCACCATGTCAACGACATGGAGGGGGCCGACAGCATGGGGATCAGCTTCGACGTGATCCAGCAGGCCTCCCTGGAGGACATGATCACGGGTGGTCAGGCTGCCAGTGCCCCGGCCAGCTACGATGAGACAGCCCTGTGCTCTAACACCTTCAGGTGCCACCCTCTCTGGGAAGGAGTGTTACTAATAGAAGGGTCTTATCCTTTGCCCTTAATTTGGAAAGCTAAGGTCTAAGACAGGGTCCATTGGGCTTCCCTTAGTCTTAATGGCAGAGCCAGAGACCACTGTGTGGCGAGTTTTCCATAGTCTATTGTCTTTACCACTGTGGGGGTCCGGCCTGGTCCCTGGCGACTGTTCAGTGTGCTGCCTCTGACCTCCCTGTGGCCAGAGGTACTTCACACAGAGTCTTTCTAACCAGGGCCACTTTTCGATGTGACCAAAGGTACATCACAGGGATCTCCAGCCAGCTCTACTGAGTATGATGTGTGAGGCATCAGCACTTAGGTGTCAGGAGCCGTCGGTCTGCTGCAGAGGGCGTGGTTGAGGGTCAGGAGCCATCAGTCTGCGGAGAGCATGGTTGAGGGCAGCTACTCGCATTACCCACCAGCGGTGGTTCATGCTGGGCAATGCTTGCTGTGTACCAGGAGGTGGGCCGAGCACTTCGCATTCTGCCTCTGTCCCCACATCAGCCCAGGGACGGGGAGCGGTTATTGTCTGTTTTTCAGATAAGGAAACTGAGGTCAGAGGGGCTGCCTTTGTGGTCATACCACAAATGAATGGAAGGGTAGGTGCTCAAAAACAAGTCTTTGTAATTCCAGAGCCTGTACTCAGCTGTAGTTTTAATGACTCCATACAAAAGGGGAGAGGGAGCATGCCAGAGCTGGGAAATGAGGCAGGGAGAGGACTGGTGGAAAGAGGCAGGGAGGCAGTTGGGAGCCGGGAGCAGGGTCTTGGCAGAGAGACAGTAGCCCAGGCCTGAAAGGTAGAAGGAGTCCAACAGCAGATACCCAAACTGCCGCTCTGGAGAATGTGGGGTTTGCCAAATTATTGAAGAGTTTGTGATGAAAGGGAGTTTTAGGAATGGGACTTGGACCTCTGTAGGTTCTCTTGTAACATTCTGTTCTTGACCCCATTGAAGTTCCCGCTTCTTCAGTAGGGTGATGTGCAGTTTTGGAATCCTTTAGCTGAATTGGGGTTCCAGTACCAGAGCAGCTGGCATCTCTGCCCCATGGGAAGTGAAGGGGGCCAGACAGGGCGTGTACAGTGCACTGGCCAATGCCTAGCTGTCTGGCCTGTGACCAGGGCCCCCCGGAACGGGAAACTTGTTTACACTGGCACACGCCCTTGTGGCTTTTGTGTGACCTGTGTCTAGGTACCACCTGCCTGACCATTGCTTCGGTGTAGGGGCCCAGCCTTGTGTTCCCCCTAGTGTCGTAGGGAAGACCCAGCCCAGGGCAGCCCCTGCCTCTTCAGAGGGAAGGCACAAAATCAGTCACCACCACAATAGGGAACAAGTGCAAAGATGTGTTCCTTACAGCTCCTGGGCAGGGAGGGTGCCGTGAGTAGGGAGGCCATCCTCCATCCCTGGGTCCTGCAAGGCAGGACTGAAGAGTCAGACAGGGAGGGTGCCCAGGGCAGCTAGGCGTGTGAGGGAATGGGGTGTAGGCATGTGTTAGTTCACGGGCGAGCGCCTGAATGGTCCATTTAAAGGAAGTGGCGGGAAGGCAGGGCCCAGCCTGCTAGGCGGGAGAGAGGCCTCTAAGTTCTTGTTTCTGACCAGCTGGGGCCATGTGGGTATGGTGATGTTTTGTTTTGTTTTGTTTTGTTTTGTTTTGTTTTGTTTTGTTTTTGTTTTTTGAGACAGTCTCACTCTGTCACCCAGGCTGGAATGCAGTGGCACCATCTTGGGTCACTGCAACCTCCACCTCCCGGGTTCAAGCGATTCTCCTGCCTTAGCCTCCCGAGTAGCAGGATTACAGGCATGCACTAGCCCAGCTAATTTTTGTATTTTTAATAGAGACGGGGTTTCACCATGTTGGCCAGGTTGGTCTCAAACTCTTGACCTCAGGTGATCCACCTGCCTCGGCCTCCCAAAGTGGTGGGATTACAGGCGTGAGCCTCTGCATCCGGCCTAGTGTGGTGTTCTGATGTCTAGGCAGTGGCTTTGCTGTGTCCTTCCTGTCAGGGTCCCCGGCCCGTCACACACTTGCTGCTTTGTACTGTGCTGCCCTCCCGTCCTGCTTTAGAACACACAGAGTTTGGGATGCGGTGAAGCCTGAACAAGTTTAAGGAATGAAATGGGAAGAAACAGATGAGGCATGAGGGTGAAGGGATGAAATTTGGACCGTGACTTAAGGTGGGGACAGTGAGAAGGGGAGGCGACAGTGACGGATTTGGACCCAGCCGTGTAGGGAAAACCTGTGCCCATTTCAGTTGGAGCGTCCCGCGTGGCAGCAGCGTGGGAGGCTGAGGGTACGAGGGTGTCGTGCACCTTCTCTTTCAGGATCCTGAAGAGCATGGTCGTGGGCTGGGTGAAGGAGATCACCCAGTACCACAACATCTATGCAGACAACCAGGTGATGCACTTCTACCGCTGGCTTCGGTCGCCATCCTCTCTGCTTCATGACCCTGCCCTGCACCGCACACTCCACAACATGATGAAGAAGCTCTTCCTGCAGTGAGTGCTCCTCCTCCCTGGGCTGTCCACCGCGTCCTCAGCTGGGCTGGTCCCTTACTCCCCAGAACCAGAGACATGGCCAGCCAGTGCCTCTGGGATAAGTAGTGTATTTCTGAGTTTGTGGAGCATAACAATCCAAAGGATCCCAGAGAAACACGCAGCTGCTGCTGCAGCGTCGCCTGCACATCCTGCAGAGAACACTAGGTGGCACCTCCTCTCCTGCCCCTTTCCTGCACAAAGTCATGCTACACATTGTATTGCTGTGTGCCTTGTTGTTTTAGTGAAAATATGCCTGTGTCAGGAGATCTGTGTGAGGACATGCCATATGAAAGAACATTTAGCCTCTCTCCAGCCTTGTGCCGTTGTTACAAATAGCAAATCAGTGAGAGGCTTCATGCATGAGCTCATGCAGATAGATCCGTGGGGTAATTGCTGGGGCGTAGCCCTCTTGCAGGCCTCAGAGGTGTTGTAACTCGGGATGAATCCTGATTTGATGGACTTCACCAGAGCGGCCCCACAGAGGCCCCTTGTGGACACTTCTTCCCTGGCCGCGCCTCACCAACATGGCCGGGGATTATTACCCAACTGCTGGGATAAAAGTGCTTCTTGGTGCAGTCTTAACTTAGGATTCTTACAATGAATGAAGTCGAATTTTCTCTTCTAGTCCTTTGTCTATTTTTCTGTAGTTTTGGTGGTTCTTCTCTTATTAAATATCGAATGAGTTGTCTCCATACAAAAAGTTGCCATTTTTCTGTGATAAGAATTTGCTAATTTTTTCCTGTTTTTGGTTATCTTTTGCCTTTGTTTGTGGTGGATTTTTGCCATGCAGAAATCTTTGCTCTTCATTAGCTTCTGGGTTCTAGTGTATCTCGGAGGCTTTTCTGCTTCAGGACCCTCAGCTCTTTTCCCTCTTGGATTTTCTGGGTGCCCTCTGGCTCTCCATGACTGTGGCGTCTCCACCACGGACTCTCAACTTGCTCCACAGGCTCATCGCTGAGTTCAAGCGCCTGGGGTCATCAGTCATCTACGCCAACTTCAACCGCATCATCCTCTGTACAAAGAAGCGCCGTGTGGAAGATGCCATCGCTTACGTGGAGTACATCACCAGCAGGTGCGGCTGGCTGGTCCTGGTGACGCAGCACTGTGGCTTTGAGAGGGATGCTAAAATGACCCCCTGAGGTGCCAGCTCTCCTCCTGGGTGGGCTGGGAGGTCGTTAGAAGTGCAGGACTCACCATGGTGAATCTGAGCAGCGTGAAAAGGGGGTTACCGCCACCTGTGCGCGGTAGCAGATCGGAGGCCACTCAGCTGTGCAGCTTGAGTTGGGCAAGTTCAGGAAGTGGCCTGCCTTTGCTAAGAAGGTTCCACAGTGATTTTTGTTTGTTTGCTTTTTTTCCCCATGGATATTCAGGGCACAGATTCAAGGTGCCCTGAATATATGCACCCCGTAAGTGTTGACGTTGTAAGCCTTTTCATAGACGTCAGTGTTGGCGAGTGGAGTGGTGTGGTTCCCGGGTGCTCAGGTGTGCACAGCTCTCAGCTGTCAGAGCCTGGTGTGGTTTTGACTTCCTGCCTTCCAGGCCATGTTCCTGAGGTTCCCTCCTAGGCCTTGCTGTGCTTCTCACACACTCAGCACTATTTAAATCTAAATAGAAGACAAAGCAACAGAAAAATCTCCACCAGCAACTTTTGTTCAACTGATAGTAGGAAGCTCCCTCCTAGGTGCGCTCACCCTGGGGATGAATGCAGCCCTTTCTGAGCACAGAGGGGAGTTGCTTGTGGAGGCACAGAGAGTCTGCATGGGTCTGATCTTTGCATGGTTACAGGGGTAGCATCTGGGGGCGCTGCAGAAAAGGCTGACACTAAATTGATAATAGGCCTTATCACTGAGAAGTAGGAAGGTAGAGCTTATAAGACTTTCATTCCTAATCAAACCATATGCACTGGATTAATTTGAAACACAAAAGCACTGTTGTCCTCCTGCAGACCCACTGTGGCCCCTTATGTCTATCCAAGATGAGCCTTGATGGTCAGTGGTCACGCTGTGTGCCTGGGAAAGCTGGCTTGGGCTAGAATTGTATTTCGGAGCATGGCTGAGATAATGGGAAGGATGTGCCTCTCCCCACGTTGGCCATGGGCAGCTCCAGGGGTGCCCTGTACCTGAGGAGGCCGGGGTTGCTCATGTCGAGAAACAGGCTGCTATTCTTCCTTAGCGCGAAGAGCAGAGTTAGGGAGAACATAAAGTTCTCCTGCAGGAGCTGCGATGTGGGCTACTCAGCTGCATTTTGAAACTGTGATTTAGGATGTTCCTCCTTCCTTCCTCTCTTTCTTTGTTTATTCTTCCATTTTTTGGGGTTTTGTTTGTTTTTTAGGAGATGGGGTCTTGCTCTGTCACCCAGGCTGGAGTGCAGTGGTGCAGTCATGGCTCACTGCGGCCTCAAACTCTGGGCTCAAGCTATCTGCCCACCTCAGCCCACTGAGTAGATGGGACTAGAGGTGCATGCCAGCATGCCCAGCCAATTTTTGTATTTTTTGTAGAGACAGGGTTTTGCCACGTTGCCTGGGGTGGTCTTGAACTCCTGAACTCAGGCGATCCTCCTGCCTCAGCCTCCCAAAGTGCTAGGATTACAGGCGTGAGCCACCGTGCCTGGCCTGTTCTTTTTTTTTTTTTTTTTTTTTTTTTTTCCTTAAATGGATCTAATGTGCAGAGGATTGGGTCAGCGCTAGGGAGGCTTAACCGAGGAGTGACAAGGATGACGATAGCTTAAAAGAGCTTGGCAGTGGGAAGCACTGTGGTTGGTTACCAGCAGGTGCAGGTCACCTAAGGCCGCAGAGCAGAGGCAGAACACCCTGTGGGCCATCCCCAGCACGAGGAGGCACCCAGCTCTCTTTGTGGCGCCAGCTCCCAGGGGCCTGGTGGGCCTCCTTAGTTTTACGTTTACCACATTTCCCCAGGAAGCCTGAGGGATGATGTGGTCTGAATGAACTTTCAAATTCAGTGTTAAGTAAGTGGAGGGTACAGATAGATACAAGGGGAAATAAAGGAAAGTTGAGAACAAGGTCGATTTCACTGAAGCAGCGTCTTCAATGCTTCCTCTGCAGCATCCATTCAAAGGAGACCTTCCATTCTCTGACAATTTCTTTCTCTCGATGCTGGGAATTTCTTCTCTGGATGGATCCATCTAACTATGGCGGAATCAAAGGAAAAGTTTCATCTCGTATTCACTGTGGACTGGTAAGCGAGCTGCAGTGTGGCACCCGAGCCAGCTTTGGGGGTCGCGTTCATTCCTGCAGCAAGTGCTGAGTGCTCAGGGCCCCGGCGGGCCTGGCCGTGAGCAGCAGACACTGCACCCGCATCCTGCCCTCATGAACACGGGGAGGGACCATGCGCAGACAAGCACGTCAGTGTGGAGTGTGGCGTCAGCCCTGGTGATGGCAAGGCTTGCCGTGGGCAACAGGGAGGTGGAGGCCCATGAGGTGGTGACAGGGAATCCGAGAGCTGATGAAGTGCACCATAGTTGTGCGAGCATAAGGCGCCTCCAGCGGATGGACACCAGGGAGGCAAAGCACAAGTCAGTGGAGCAGTGGTTGCAGATGCAGGCAGAGAGCTGACAGAGCCAGGCAACTTGGGCATGGCAGGGCAGGGCCTCGGCTTTCGTGGGGATGGGAGCTTCTGTGTGGGTGATGTTGGAGCTTTCTTGGCCCCATGTGGATAACCCACCATTGGAGGGCACAGGCAGGTAAAGCCGGTTAGTGCCTGTGTCAGGGAGATGCTGGGCAGCGAGGTTGGTGAGAAGGGCCTGGGTGGGCTTTGAAGTGGAGCCAAGGGGCCAGCGGATCGGATGTGTGTAAATGCCCAGGTGCGGGCCAGGCTGTGGGTGAGTGGAGGTGGCTGTCGGGAGCAGTCTGGGGAAGGGGTCACGTCTGGCTGGGGCTCATGGTGTTTGCAAGGTTGAGACGTGGGTGGTCAGCTGGTGCAGGAGTGGCCAGAGAGTGGCTGGGTGGGTTGAGAGGAGGCCTGTGTCCTCCACAGGGGCCCTCATAGTGGACTGAGAGGAAGCTGTGGGTACCAGAGCCAGGGGCTCAGATGTCAGAGGGAAAGCCCTTTGTAAGGACGCAGACGCTTCTGGGAGCTGGCAGGATGAAGCCAAGACTGCCCAGGACACCTGGATGGGAGCGATTCTGGTTGGAGTTGGGGGATAAACCCTGATTGAAGGGATTCAGAACAAAGTGGGAGGGTAGAAACTCAGGCAGTGTAGACCGCTCTGAGGAGGGGATCAGCGTGTGGTCAGGGCAGGTGGCAGTGGGTGTCGGTGTCTACACAGACGTGGATGGTGCCGTGGCACGAACACAGGCTGCGCGGGAGGCTGGGTCTGTGATGGGGTCGTGCCGTCCCAGGAGATTCATGGACTCAGAGGAGAGAACAGTCACCGGGAAGCTCTGGCTGGTTCTTTCGTCCTTGGGGGGTGGGAGTTCAACAATTAAAGTGAACTCTGGAAGAGCAGAGTGAAGCTCACAGTCCCAGGTCACGAGCACTTCTGTGTGCCAGGCGCTTCCCACAAAGCACTTTGTACTGGGAGCCACCCTGGGGGATTCACGCAGGCTCCAGGGGATGCCTTGACTGCGAGGAAGGCCTCTGGTCAAACGGGGCAGATGGACCCAGGTTGGAGGAGCCTTCGCTGTGGCATCCTACCCCTCTACCAGGCCGCGATGGTGCAAACACAGCCGCGTTGTCTCATGTGTTACAGCAAGACTCCCAGAAAGCAGGGGGAGCAGAGGATGAGCAGGAAAATGAGGACGATGAGGAGGAAAGAGATGGGGAGGAGGAGGAAGAGGCGGAGGAATCCAACGTGGAGGATTTACTGGAAAACAACTGGAACATTTTGCAGTTTTTGCCACAGGCAGCCTCCTGCCAGAACTACTTCCTCATGATTGTTTCAGGTAAGCCCAGAGCCCAGGGCTGCGCAGCCCCCACTGAAGGGACTCATGGTTAGTAGATGTGGCTCCTGTGCCATGGTATCGCAAGAAGGGAGACAGGGAAAATCAGATCGGGCGGAGCCTGCCCAGCAGTTGGGACTTTGTGAGCCGAGGGGCCTCCTCTCCAGGCTCCAGGCATGTTCCACTGGAGGGCCCGGAGAGGGGTGACTGTCTTCCCTCCAGCCTTTGCTCTCAGGAAACTCCATGGGGAGCGGCTGCCCCTGGCCGTGTCATTGAGGAGTTTCCTAGCTCTGCTCCCGCCATCTGATTCGGTAACTCAGTCACATACATTCCCAGGGAACATTTGTGTGTGTGCACGTTCAGTAGCTGAAGATAAAGCCCTGGGTCAGGTCAGCTGCCCCCTGGCTGGTCTGTGAGGCCTAACTTTCTGGTGGGGGAGTTCCTATGCCTTGGTTTGGGTCTGCAGGCTTAGAGTTTGCAAATCAAGCTATGCAGGTTAGTGTGCAGATGAAGTGTATCGAGGAAGCACTGTTTGTAGTTGACAGCCCTAAGTTAAAGAATGCCCTAAGTAAAAACAGCAGGTTGTGATGTGCACACACAGGTGGATGCGGTCACAGAGGCCTTCGTTGATGATCATTTTATATTTTTGTCTACTTGTCCTTGAGTCTTTAACTTTCTCAGTTCTCTCTTGCAACTTTCTATGTCTCTTTTGAAAAGTTCCGGGTTGGCCGGGCGCAGTGGCTCATGCCTGTAATCCCAGCACTTTAGGGGGCTGAGGCGGGTGGATCACGTGAGGTCAAGAGTTTGAGACCAGCCTGGCCAACATGGTGAAACCCCATCTCTACTAAAAATACAAAAAGTAGCCAGGTGTGGTGCGCACACCTTTAATACCAGCTACTCAGGAAGCTGAGGCAGGAGAATCACTTGAACCCAGGAGGCGGAGGTTGCAGTGAGCTGAGATTGCGCCATTGCACTACAGTCTGGGCAACAAGAATGAAACTGTGTCTCAAAAAAAAAAAAAAAAAAGGGTAAGTGCCAGGTGACAGGCCCGGAGTAGTTTTTGGAGAAGCTTGCTGATGCCAGGGGCCCTGCCTTTGCTTGTGTTGGGAGCTGTCTTTCACGCGCTACCCAGTGAGAGGCTTAGTGTACATGGCCCCATTTATACAGTTTTCTCTCTGACAATGAACTCAGGTGTCAGCGAGTGTTCCTTCTCATTTCCACTTCTCACTTCTCTAATTTACTTTTAGCTCATCTAAAGGCTGCAGATAAAATTATTAACAATGACATTTTAGCCTCATCTGTGAGGCAATCTGACCAGCCATGGGTCCCCTCAGATTCTAGGGTGTTTGCAGCAGCCCGACTCAGGGCCTGTGGTGTGTGTGCCTCTCCACAGCGTACATCGTGGCCGTGTACCACTGCATGAAGGACGGGCTGAGGCGCAGTGCTCCAGGGAGCACCCCCGTGAGGAGGAGGGGGGCCAGCCAGCTCTCCCAGGAGGCCGAGGGGGCGGTCGGAGCCCTTCCCGGTGAGCAGTCTTTTGTCTTTTGAGGCCACTGCCATGTGCCAGTGACCTAACTCCTCTGTGTGCCATGGGTGGTCCCCGGTGCCAGTCCCCCAGGTGGGAGGTCCCCAGTGCCAGACAGGTCCCAGACCCCTCCCTCAGCATCCTTATACTTCCAGGAATGATCACCTTCTCTCAGGATTATGTCGCAAATGAGCTCACTCAGAGCTTCTTCACCATCACTCAGAAGATTCAGAAGAAAGTCACAGGCTCTCGGAACTCCACTGAGCTCTCAGAGATGTTTCCTGTCCTCCCCGGTTCCCACTTGCTGCTCAATAACCCTGCCCTGGAGTTCATCAAATACGTGTGCAAGGTGAGAGTGCCAGCGTGCGTGTGAGGAGAGGACACTAACGTACATGTGTAAGGCGAGAATGTTACTGTGTGCAAGGTGAGGCTGTAATGCGTGCACCATGAACGTGCTAGCGTATGTGTGCAAGATAAGGACACCGACATACCTGTGCATGGTAAGGATGTTAATGAATGCAGGATGAGGCTTTCAGCTGTGCAAGGGGGAGGTACCTACATGTGTAGGGTCAGGGTGCCAGCGTGTGCAAGGTGAGGAGCAGGTGTAAGTTACTTGTTCATTCCACCAACATTTATCATGTCCCTGTCACATGCAGCCACAGTTGCGGCATCTGTGCTCAGGTGTGAGCAAGACAGGAAAGGTCCTGCCTTGTGGGGCCTGTCTGCTGCCAGCCGACCCGAGAAGGGAGAGGGCCGTTCAGAGGCGCAGGTGCTGTGGGGATGGAGCCTGTGAGGGGCGCTGGGACCAGGTGCAGGAGGAGGGAAGACGCAAAGGCCCTGGGGGGTGAGCTTGGTGTGTTGGTGAAGGCACAGCCGAACACCCAGTGCCACCGGCTGGGAGGATGGGTCACCGGAGACCAGTAGGCTGGACCAGGACCCAGAGCTGATGAGATGAGAGCTTGCTCGGATGCTGAGGCCTTTCTGGGAAAGGCAGGCTGAGTCCAAGGAGGGATAATATTACCAGATAACGACCGCGGGTGTCAGCCCTTACAGAGCAGAGTGCTTCACTGTCCATTTCCTCACTCAGCCTTCCCAGCAAACTGCATCTCACACACGGCTAAGGTTACGCTGGAGATCAGGTGACAGCCTCAAGGTCTGGTTGTGGTGAAGAAGTGTTTTTAGCTCACCATTTTAATTCCTTTATTGACTTTTACATATTTTAAATTCATTTTTATTAAGGTGTAATTTATATACAGTAAAATGTACTCTGTGGCGTGCAGTTCTGTGATTTTTCCTAGGTGAATGGAATTGCATCATCATCAGCAGGATACAGGATAGTCACCGCCCGAAAACATTCCCCGCACTGCCCTCCTCACCTGACACCCTTTAGCCACTGGTGTGTCTTCCGTCCCTGCATTTTTTTTCTCTTCTAGAGCGTCACATAAGTAGAGACATTGTGCAGCCTTTTGGATGTGGCTTCTTAGCAAAACACACCTGGAATTGGTTCATCCACGCGCTCGTGTGTATCAGAACTCCCTTTCTGTTGCGAGCAGTGTCCATTGTGTGGGCAAACCACAGCTTGCTTTTCATTCACTGGTGGAAGGACATTTGCGTTGCTTTCACTTTGGGGTGATTAATAACAAAGCTGCTGTAAACATTCTGTAGGTGTAGGTTTTTGTGTGAACATAAATTTCAATTCTCTGAGGTCATTTTTTAAGTGTTTGTTTAACTTGATAAGAAACTGCCAAACTCTTTTCTGAAGTGGCTGCACCGTGTCAGGGTCTCCTCAGCAGTGTGTGGCAAGAGTTGCTGTTCCACATCCTCACCAGGACTTGGTATCATTGGGTTTTTAAATTGCAGCTATTCCAGTAGGTGTGTAGTGGTATCGCATTGTGTTTCTGATTTGCATTTCCCTGGCGACTAATGATGTGGAGCTTTTTTTTGGAGATGGAGATTCACTCTCATTGCCCAGGCTGGGGTGCAGTGGCGCGATCTCAGCTCACTGCAACCTCTGCCTCCTGGTTAGCTGGGATTACAGGTGCCTGCCACCACGCCCCCCCAATTTTTTGTATTTTTAGTGGAGACGGAGTTTCACCATGTTGGCCAGGCTGGTCTCGAACTCCTGACCTCAAGTGATCCACCTGCTTCGGCCTCCCAAAGTGCTGGGATTACAGGCGTGAGCCACCACGCCTGGCTGTGGGGCATTTTTTAATGGGCTTCTTTGCTGTCCTGGTGTCTGTCCTCTTTGGTGAAGTTTTAGGTTTTATCCATTTGAGTTAATTTTTATACAATGTGCATGCTGTAGATCCAAGTCCATATTTCTGCATGGGATATCTGATTGCAGGCATATCCTGTCTTATTGTGCTTCGAAGCGGTTACCTGTATTTTTATAAATGGAAGGTTTGTGGGAATCTTGTCTTGAGCAAGTCTCATCTTTCCAACAGCATGTGCTCACTGTGTCTGTGTCACATGTTGGTAACTCTCAGGATATTTCAGACTTTTCCACTATTATTATATCAGCCGTGATAACCTTTGATGCTTCTATGGCAATTGTTTTGGGGCGCCATGAACCGTGCGCATAGAAGACAATGAGCTTCATCAATGTTGTGTGTGTCCTGATTGCTCCACTCACGGGCCATTCTGCCATCTCGCCCTTTCTCCTTGGGCCTCCCCAGTCCCGGTGACACAACACTATAGAAATTAGGTAAGTTAATAGCCCTGCAATGGCCTCTACGTGTTCAAGTGAAAGGAAGAGTCACACGTCTCTCACTTTACATAAAGAGCTAGAAATGGCTAAACTTAGGAAGGCATGTTGAAAGTCGAGACAGGCTGAAAGCTAGGCCTCTCACACCAGTTAGCCAAGTCAACTGCAAAGGAAAGGTTCTTGAAGGAAATTACAAGTGCTCCTCCAGTGAACACATGAAAGATAAAGAAGTGAAGCATCCTGTTGCTGATATGGAGAAAGTTGAGTCTGGATAGATCAAACCAGATATAACATCCCCTCAAGCCAGAGCCTAATCCAGAGCAAGGCTCTCACTCTGTTCAGTTCCATGAAGGCTGAGAGCTGAGGAGGCTGTAGAAGGAAAGCTTGAAGCTGGCGGAGGTTGGTTCATGGGGTTTAGGGAGAGAAGCCGTCCCAGTAACATAAAAGGGCAAATGAGGCAACAGGTGCGGGTGGAGAGGCTGCAGCGAGTTCTCCAGAAGATCTGTCTGGGATCATTGGCGAAGGTGGCTACACTGACAACATATTTTCCGTGTAGACAAAACAGCCTTCTTTTGGAAGAAGATGCCATCTAGGACTTTCATAGCTAGAGAGGAGGCCTCAGAGCCTGGCTTCAGAGGAAAGGCTGACTCTTGTTAGCGGCAGATGCAGCTGGTGACTTTAAGTCGAAGCCACTGCTCATTCAGTCTTTTAAGGCCACTACCTGCAGCTCAGAAAAAGATTCCTTCCAAAATAGTACTGCTCATTGACAGTGGACCTGGTCACCCAAGAGCTCTGATGGAGACGTACAAGGAGATGAATGTTGCTTTCATGCCTGCGGACACAGCATCCCTTCTGCAGCCCATGGATCAAGGAGCAATTTCGACTTTCAACGTTTATTATTTAAAAATATATTTCATGAGGCTATAGCTGCCATAGATAGTGATTCCCCTGATGGAACTGGGCACAGTAAATTGAAAACCTTCTAGAAAGGATTCACCATTCTGGATGCCATTAAGAACATTTGTGACTCATGGGAGAAGGGGTCAAAATATCAACATTAACAGGAGTGTGGAAGAAGTTGATTCTGACCCTCATGGATGACTTTGAGGGATTCAAGACTATTGTGGGAGGCGTGACTGCAGATGTGGTGGAAACAGCAAGGGAACTAGAATTAGAAGTGGAGCCTGAAGATGTGACCAAGTTGCTGCAATCTCAGGACAAAATTTAACAGATAAAGAGTGGCTTTTCATGGATGAGCAGTAAAGTAGTTTTTTGTTTTGTTTTGTTTTGTTTTGTTTTGTTTTGTTTTGTTTTGAGATGGAGCCTCCTTGCTCTGTCGCCCAGGCTGGAATACAGTGGTGCGGTCTTGGCTCGCTGCAACCTCCGCCTCCTGGGTTCAAGTGATTTTCCTACATCAGCCTCCCAAGTAGCTGGGATTACAGGTGCCCGCCACAATGCTCAGCTAATTTTTGTATTTTTAATAGAGACAGAGTTTCACCATATTGGTCAGGCTGGTCTCAAACTCCTGACCTCAGGTGATCCACCCGCCTTGGCCTCCCAAAGTGCTGGGATTACAGGCACAAGCCACCACGCCCAGCCCAAAAAAGTAGTTTTTTTTTTAAGATGGAGTCTCGCACTCTCGCCCAGGCTGGAGTGCAGTGGCGCGATCTTGGCTCACTGCAAGCTCCCTCCCAGGTTCACGCCATTCTCCTGCCTCAGCCTCCCGAGTAGCTGGGACTACAGGCAAGCGCCACCACACCTGGCTAATTTTCGTATTTTTAGTAGAGACAGGGTTTCACCATGTTAGCCAGGATGGTCTCGATCTCCTGACCTTGTGATCTGCCCACCTCGGCCTCCCAAAGTGCTGGGATTACAGGCGTGAGCCACCGCACCTGGCCAAAAAGTAGTTTCTTGAGATGAAAGTGAACATTGTGGAAATGACAAAGGATTGAGAATATTCCATAAACTTAGTTGCCAAAGCAGCAGCAGAATTTGAGAGGACCGACTCCAATTTTGAAAGAAGTTCTACTGTGGGTGAAATGTTATCAAACAGCATCACATGCTACAGAGTCTTTCATGGAAGGAAGAGTCAGTTGATGCAGCAAACTTCATTGTTGTCTTGTTTTAAGAAATTGCCACAGCCACCCCAACTCTCAGCAATACCACCCTGATCAGTCAGCAGCCGTTTACATTGAGGCAAGACCCTCCACCAGCAAAACGATTGCGACTCACTGAAGGCTCAGATGATCGTTAATATTTCTGAGCAATAAAACATTTTAAAATTAAGGTACATACATTGTTTTTTAGACATAATGCTGTTATGCACTTAATAGACTACAGTATAGGGTAAACCTAAGTTTTGTCTGGGTAGAGTGACTCACACCTGTAATCCCAGCACTTTGGGAGGTCAGGGTGGGTTGACTGTTTGAGCCCAGCAGTTCAAGACCAGCCTGGGCAACATGGCAAAACCCATCTTTACAACGATTACAAACATTACCTGGGCATGGTGGCGCATGCCTGTCGTCCCAGCTACTGGGAAGGCTGAGGTAGAAGGATCAATTGAGCCCCAAGAGGTCAATGCTGCAGTGAGCCATGATTGTGCCACTGCAGTCCATTCTGGGTGACAGAGTGAAATCCTGTCCCAAAATAAAAAAAATCACATAGCTTTTTTTTTTTTTGAGATGGAGTCTCACTCTGTCACTCAGGCTGGAGTGCAGTGGTGCAATCTTGGCTAACTGCAACCTCCACCTCCTGGGTTCAAGCGATTCCCTGCTTCAGCCTCCCAGGTAGCTGGGATCACAGGTGCACCCGCCACCATGCCCAGCCAATTTTTGTATTTTTAATAGAAATGGGGTTTCACTGTGTTGGCCAGGATGGTCTTGAACTCCTGACCTCAGGCCATCCACCTGCCTTGGCCTACCAAAGTGCTGGGATTACAGGCGTGAGCCACCACAAATCACGTAACTTTTATATGTACTGAGAAAACAAGCGTGAGCCAAAAATCATGTAACTTTTATATGCACTGAGAAACCAAATAATTTGTGTGATTTGCTTTATTGTGATGTTAGTCCATTGAGGTGGTTTGAAACCGAACTTGCCATATCTCCAAGATACGCTTGTATTCAAGAACCATTTGTTGAAAAGACTATTCTTTTTCTATCGAATCATCTTTGTACCTTTTTCCATAACTTAGTAACCTTATCTATGTGAGTCTCTTTCTGGATTATGTATTCTTTTTTTCGATCTTGCATTCAATTTGCTAATATCTCGTTGCGCATTTTTGTGTCTGTGCTCAGGCTGTTATTGGTCTGTAGTTTCTTAGTACGGTCTTTGGTTCTAGTATCAGGGGATGCTGGCCTCATAGAATGGGTTGAGTGCTCTCTCTCTTCAGTGTTTTGAAAGATACTGTGTAGAATCAGCAGCATTTCTTCCTTAAATGTTTAGTAAATTCCCCAGGGAAGCCTGTCCTCACCGATGGAAAACTGCTAATGTAGAGAAGTCAGCTGAGGCGTCTAAAGGGACTAAGGAAGGGAGGAAAGGACACCAGGAAACTGTAGCCTAAGGTCCAGAGGGTTCTGGTCCAGACAGAGCAGCAGGGAGGCCCCGGGAGCTCCTTCCCGATGTGGGCTGTGGTCTCTGCAGGTGCTGTCCCTGGACACCAACATCACAAACCAGGTGAATAAGCTGAACCGAGACCTGCTTCGCCTGGTGGATGTCGGCGAGTTCTCCGAGGAGGCCCAGTTCCGAGACCCCTGCCGCTCCTACGTGCTTCCTGAGGTCATCTGCCGCAGCTGTAACTTCTGCCGCGACCTGGACCTGTGTAAAGACTCTTCCTTCTCAGAGGTGCGGCTGAGCTCCAGCGGGCCCTTCACTGTGGAGCAGAACATCCGAGGGCACTGCGGTGTCTTGAGGGCTTCTGCAGCTCCAGCTCTGTGGGTCACACCTGCTGCCCCTCTGACTCACATGGATTGGCAACAGGCCCCTTCCCAGGCCTCCCCACACCATGTTCGGAATGTTGTCCTAGGAAGGGCTCAAGTGCAGGTGGGAGGCCAGAGTGCGTGCAGCTGCACTCAGGAGACTCGCCCGTCACCAGGCGCTTCTCACAGCCCCTTCCTCTCCTGAGATCCTGCCCATGGCACTGTGGTCTGGAGGCTGGGCTGGTGACCTCTCGCACTCTTGCTCTGCCTAGGATGGGGCGGTCCTGCCTCAGTGGCTCTGCTCCAACTGTCAGGCGCCCTACGACTCCTCTGCCATCGAGATGACGCTGGTGGAAGTTCTACAGAAGAAGCTGATGGCCTTCACCCTGCAGGACCTGGTGAGTCGTGCATGCCGCCTGCCCGTGTGCCCTGGAGTCCACAGGGGGGTTTCTGTGCACTCCCGGGAGCCGGGGTGTGTGCAGGTCCTGAGGCACGCCCTGGTGTCTTCCAAGGGGCCTGCCCTGCAGACCAGTCCATGCCCTGAGCCTGATGGACTGTTCTGTCCACACTGGTTGAGCACCTGCCTTGGGTCAAGAGCTGGCCTTGTGGGTGCTTCGTTCTAGCGGAAGGAGGCAGACACTCCCAAGTGTGAAGAGAAGGAAAGGAGGAAGAGGGAGTTGCACAGCTCGGCCACAGGAAGGTCTTGCCGAGGGGCATCTGAGCAGAGGCTGGGGGACGCGCCAAGCTGCCGTGTGGTGGTGCACGGCGTTCAGGCCTGCAGGATGGAGGGAGTGAGCAGGGCCTGGAGGAGGCCTCAGGACTGGGCATCTGGGGTGGAACATCCACAGCGAGGGTGGGTGTAGGGAAGGCGCTGGCACCGTGGGATGAGGTCGTGCATTTTACTCATAACCGAGGGCTGGCTGCACACAGCAGGGGCTCGAGGCTTACTGATGGGCCCACGAATGTGTCTCGCGAGCCTGTGAAGAAGCAGCAGGCAGGTCTGGCCAGCGCGGGAGGGCTGGCGCCCATCGGGGCTGCTCCCTTTCAGGTCTGCCTGAAGTGCCGCGGGGTGAAGGAGACCAGCATGCCTGTGTACTGCAGCTGCGCGGGAGACTTCGCCCTCACCATCCACACCCAGGTGGGCTCTCCCTCATCTGCCTCGGCTCAGCCTGGCCTCCTTGGCCTCCTCTCTGAGTGGACTGGGGTCTCACTGTGCCTGTTTATTCCTGCAGGTCTTCATGGAACAGATCGGAATATTCCGGAACATTGCCCAGCACTACGGCATGTCGTACCTCCTGGAGACCCTGGAGTGGCTGCTGCAGAAGAACCCACAGCTGGGCCATTAGCCAGCCCCGGGCCCCGGGTGCCTCTGCGTCCGTGCCAGGCCTCCTGATGCCAAGGCCACATCCCCGTGCTTCCAGTGACCAGACCACTGACCACCCTGACTGTCCAAACCTGTGACCCCAGGCCAGGGAACGGGGAGGAAACCAAAGAAAACCATTTTCAGGGAGCTCAGACGTCACAGGAGGGAGCGGGAGCAGGATGTGGCCCTGGCCTCGCCAGAGCACCTGAAGAAGCAGGCCGTGAGCGAGGCTGCGAGTGCCCTGGGCGCCGTTTCTCACGCAGTGAATGCTTTTCCAGGCCTCTGTTGCTTCCTGCACCACACCTGGTGGGGTGGGAGCGTCCTCTAGGTGCCCCTAGTTCTTTGTCCTGCCTCCCAGAGGGAGGAAAAGCCCCTGGGGGCTTCTGGCTCCCTGAGATTGGGCTCTGAGACGAGACGGGTTCCCAAGGCCCTGGTGGGGCTGGAGTCTCACCTGTTTGCATGGAGAAATGGGCTGGCCCCACAGCCTCACAGGAGCAGTTTGTGGGCTGGTTTCCCCAGGAATCCAGACCCTAACCCGTGAGAATCTGGATTTTGGCTTGTGAGCCCTGCTTATTTGGAGCCGGGTCTAGAGGGAACCCTCTATCAGCCTCAGGAAAACAAGACCTCTGTGCACCTCACTTTTGGCTCACTGCAGCCCTTGTCCTTCACCTCCACACAGGACCAGCTGGAAGCAGAAAGAAGAAAGGCCAATTTCACAGGGCACCAAACAAGTATGAAATGTAAATCAGAAATGCAGACACCCCAGACGAGAGCCTCACAGGAGGGAGGGGGCCCCACAGGCTCCCCAGGAGGCTCGTGTCTTTGGCCCAGAGCCAGCCTTAGTTTGTCCCTGCCATCTACTGTCTGAGGCCATCGCTGCTACACTTTGTTTTTATTTGTATTTCATACTGAAGTTTCTCTAGGTTGTCACTGTGTATTTGTGCAGAGCGCCTCAGATCGGGGACTGGGTACCACTGGGCACGTGTTTGGCCCCTGGATGCTGCTGGGGCCGCCTGCCTGGAGAAACCTGATGCCTGCTCAGATGGAGGAGTGCTGAGGCCTCCAGAGTGGAGATCAAATCAAATTAGGGCAAGCAGGGGAGGAGGGAGGCTGGCTGACTAGGCTTCATTCCTGGAAGCGAATCTGGAGAACCCTCAGGAATGAGGAGTGATGGGGCCAGGGGACAGCCGCTCGTCCCCCAGGAAGGCCACCTAGCAGGACCAGGGGTCGCCCGGTGCAGCCGTGGGCGCCAGTCAGCCTGGGTTCACTGTGAGGCTAGCTGCGGGCATTTGAGTAGTGGTGGAGGGGTCAGAAACGGGAAGCTCTGGCCCTGGTTCCCAAGCAGCGGCTCAACCAGAAGAGCCAGTTTCTCCAAAAATGAGCTGGATATTTGTGAGCCACACAGCATGTGCAGGCCGTGGGGTGACCTGAGGCCGATGCCCGAGGCTGGGAGGCCACAGTCAAGGGAAATGGGGCCCACGGAAGACATGTTCTCGCCACCTGAACACAGCGCTGGGATGAGGACTCTGGAGTTGTGCTGAGACCTCCAAACTCAGGCTTTAGGGTCAGACCAGGGTCGTCTTACCCGCCCTTCTCCGCTCTTTGACCTTTGGGCGTGGTGTTGCTCTCCTGAGACTGGGTTTCCCTTCAGAGGCAGGATGTCATCTGTCACTGGCACAGGTGACATCATGACGCTGTTCTGGGCTCCTCCCCCCACCCAGTGGGCACCAGTCTAACCACTGCAGCATCTGAGGATGCAGTAACCAGATTACCCCCAGGCCCTGATGCAGTTAGTGCTGGCTCCCGGGCTGGTGTCCTTCCACCCCCGCCTGGCCTGACTTCCCATCTCGGCATTCCTGCCCCCTCCCATGGAGTAGGAATGAACACTGGTCTGAGCACTGCTGTAGTCTGAGCTTTCGTTTTCCTTGTGTGCAGCTGTCCCGGCCTCCCTCCTATTTCTCTCTTCCTGAGTCATGCTGTCCTCCCACATTTTGAGATGAGCCAGCTTTGGTTTGGAGTCTGGGGTGGCCCTGTCAGAAGCAAGTGCACTGAGGAGGTGGCCTGGGTCCCAGTGCACTCCCAGCCTGGGCAGACCTGACCGTGGCCTGGCTGGCTGTGGGGACCATGTGTCATGGGGCAGGCAGACATGTGCCCTGCACACCTCGCAGGCTGCTTAGAGGGGAGATGACCCAGACAGAGGTCACCGTGCAGCCCAGCTCCAGGCCGACAGGGCCTGACATCCCATATTGACAGGCTCACGATGCTCCTCCCCAAGGAACGAGGCCAGAAGGTTCTGCTCACAGGTTTATTGGACTGAGTATGTTGTGACTTCTAAGGGAAGAGTCTGGGCAGATTCAAGGTTACAACGCCTGTGGGGTGGGGTGGGGTGGGGTTCCCAGGGCCCAAGACCGGGAGCAGAGCCCCTCAGAGCTCAGCTGGCTTGGGTTCCAGGTGGCTGTGAGAGGTGATGGGAAGTGAGCAGCCCTGTAGGGACCAGCTGGGGAGGAGGTGTCAGGGGCTGTATGCCAGGGTGGGGCACAAGCCTGGGGCCAGAGCGTGCCCCCAGCCCTTGCACAGGGATCCTGTGGTGCCCCGTTTCGTGGAGATGCTCCGCTACTGAGGTGCCCACGTCCACGTGCAGGTCCCTAGCTGGGGACTCTCTGGCCCCACCAGGCCGGGTCTGCAGTCCAGTGAGATGGAAAGGAGCTCAGAGTTGAGCCAAACCTTTGGGGTCTGTGGGTGTGGAGGCTTGGGCAGGCTCGGAGGCAGGAGTGTCCACCATCTGCTCAGAAGGGGCAGAGATGGGGCAAGGCCGCAGGGGCGGGAAGGCTGGGCCACACTCTGCCCCTTGTTGGCCCTCCTGGCCTGATGGAGGGCTGGGGTGCTGGTCCTCGGAGCGGTGGCCGGGTTCGGGAGGGGCCTGGCCCAATACACGGGCAAGGGTCACAGGCCAGCTACCTGAGGGGTGGCTCGGCGTACACACCTTGTCAAATTTCTTATGGCTGTAGACCTTGTTTTTGTTCATGAATGTTAGCAAGATCCAGTCGCACAGGAAGGAGCCCTGGGGCCAGCAGAGACCGGTGTGTAAGGGCCTGGTGGACCCCCCGCACCCGCTGGGACCCCAGAGAGGGTTCCTTACCACCCCGACGGAAGTCAGAGCTGTGGCCAGATTAATAATGGTGGGAATCAGGCTGAACTTCCCGGCCTGGGGAGAATGGGGGTCGTGGTCAGAATGTCTGACGGCGTCTGATGGGGCTTAAGGGAGGGGTGGGGCGTGAGGAGCTCAGACCCAGGCTAGCAGGGCTGGCCACCCACCCCCAGCAGGTGCAGGCACCTGTCCATGCACAATGACGTCAATGCGGATCCCGTAGGCCTTGATGAGCGTGCGGGTGGTGGTGCCATTGATCTTGTAGTATTTGGCAAACCTGCAATGGGAACGCCAGTGCCCACTCGTCCTCTGCACTCCAGGGCTGCCCCACAGGCATTGGGCCTCTCGGGACCCCACCACAGCTATGCCAGTGTGGACAGCGGTGTCCCAAGTACAGCACCTGAAGTTGTAGCCTGACGAGGCAGGCACGTGCTTGGGGTCAAGCCTCCGGAAGGAGTACTTGGGGTTGCACTCCGATGCAGGCAGGTCCAGGTCACAGTCCCAGTTGATAATGACCCCGATGACACCACCCTGCCAAGAAGGAGCCAGAGAAGGGGGTCAGGAGGGCACACGAGAGGCCCCTCGAGAGCCCGGGTCAGTCCCAGGCCAGGGAAGGGGGTCACAAGGGCACACGAGAGGCCCCTCGAGAGCCCGGGTCAGTCCCAGGCTGCATGTGAGGTGTGCACTGAGGGGCCCATGGGGCAGCTCAGGGGTACTGGTGGGCGTCCAGTGTCTGAGGCACAAGGGGTGCCAGCAGCCAGCCCCATGGCCAGTGTCAATAATTCAGCAAGCGCCACACCGGATGGGTTGCGCTGATCGCATTTCTTTTCCTCTGCCTGAGCGGGGCCAGCTGGTCAGGAGGGAGGAGGGACTGGTCCCCTGTACCCCAGGCCCTCTCTGTGCAGGTGGGAGCCCACCCTGGCCCCACCCTGCCTGCGCTTGCCCTGCCTTGTGTGCGAGCTCTGTGAAGCTCTCCCCAGCCTTCTCCACGATAAAGCCCAGCTTGAAGATGGGGCAGTAGAGGTCGGAGGCCTCGTGGAACGTGCAGCGCTTCAGGTACCCGTCTGTGCGGTCGGCGATGTTGCCCCTGAGGAGGCGGCAGGAGGCGAGACCTGCACCCCAAATACCCCATTCCCAGAAGGCAGCCCTCAGGCTGGGCCGTCACCACACCCCGCGGCTCTTACTTGGAGAAGTGGAATTTGGGGTAGTGGATGCTGTTCTTGATGAGGATGGTGAAATTTGGGGCCATCGTACCCAGAAATTGGCTGAGGAGGCACAGAAGGGTTGTTTAGTCCCCTCTTCCCGCAAAGCCCCCGCCTGGCATTGGCCCCCACCCCTCCCCAGATCTTGTCACTCCTGCCCCGCCCGTTTGGCCTCTGGTCAGGGGAAAAGGATCAGAGGGGAGGCTGGGCCCCAGGCCGGGGCGCAGGTGCACCTGACAGAGGCCCCATCTTCCACCGGGCACCAGCCGAACACCTCGCAGGTCTTGGAGGGCCCCTGGTAATAGGGCACACAGCGCCCAGTCCTCAGGCCTGGGAGGCAGAGGTCACTGAGGCATTAGCGGGGACGCAGCCCTGCCCCACCCGCCCAGCCCCAGCTGGCGCACACCGACCGTTTCCCAGCATGTCCAGCTCCCCAGCCACGCAGTCGGCGTCGGAGAGGCAGGTGGCGTTGTGGACCCTTATGCTCTAGGGTGGAGGCGGCCCAGTCAGGGACCCCGCAAGGGACAGCTGGCCCGCCTAGCTGAGGCGGGGTCCCCCAGCGCCGCGGGATCCCCTCACCTCGGGGCAGGTTCCCTGGGTCTGGGAGTGGGTGGCCTCGACCCTGGTGATGATGCTGAACACGCTGCCCCCCTGGGCTCAGAAAGAGGGGGCGGTCGGCCAGGCGGCAGCCGCTGCCCCCTCCGCCCACTAGGGTAGGGTGCACGGCGGGGCGGGGGGCAGGGGGCGGCCCGCACCTCGGGGGGCTTCACGTACTCCTCCACGTCCCACACTTTGTGCTCGGACGTGGTGATCCCCTTGACCTTGGTGATGATGGAGCTCTCGGGGCCCGTCTCGCTCTCCTGGTAGCTTTTCTGCACGATGAATACGTACCTGCGGGCAGGGGCGGCGCCGGCTCCGGAGGCGACCCTGGGAAGGCTGAGTCCCGCCCGCAGGCACGGCAGGGGCCCTCCCGCGACCCGGGTCCGCTCTGCGGGGCTCTTGGGGCCTGCCCCGCGCCCTCGGTCCCAGCCCCAGCCCCTGCCCCGCGCCCCCGGTCCCAGCCCCAGCCCCTGCCCCGCGCCCCTGGTCCCAGCCCCAGCCCCGCGCCTCCAGCCCAGCACCCCGAGTCCCAGCCCCTGCCCCACGCCCCCAGTCCCAGCCCCTGCCCCGCGCCCCCAATCCCAGCCCCTGCCCCGCGCCCCCGGTCCCAGCCCCAGCCCCTGCCCCGCGCCCCCGGTCCCAGCCCCAGCCCCAGCCCCGCGCCTCCAGCCCAGCGCCCCCAATCCCAGCCCCTCCCCTGCGCCCCGCACCCCGCGCCCCGCACCCCGCGCCCCGCGCACCACACGAAGTAGAGCAGGATGAGCAGCTGCACGGCGCGGTACAGGACCCCCAGGCGCCGGTTCCTCACCACGATCACCTTGGGCGTCTCGTAGTCCCAGAGGGCGGACCAGCAGCCCCGGGCCAGGCGCCGGGCGGTCGCCCCGGCGGGGTACTTGGGCTGGGCGGCGGCCATGGCGCGGGCGGCCCCCACCTCCAGGAAGGCGCTGCAGGGCTGAGGGTCGGCCCCGCTGCGCACCGAGAGCGGGGGGCGCGCGGCGGGCGGGTAGCTCGCGGCTCCGCCTCCGGGGTGCGGCCTCGAGCCCGCCCCGCCTCGCCCCGGCCCCGCCCCGCCCCGCAGGTGTCCCGGGAGTCCCGGGTGTCCCAGGTGGGGCTGGGAGCGGGGCCTCGCGGGGACAGAGCCGGGGGCGCGGCAGCCCAGCCCCAGCTCTTGGTCCAGGTGGGGGCCGAGCGCGGAACCGGCGGTCTCGAAGTTGGAGGGTCGGGATTCCCCGGGTGGGAACTTTTTCCGAGCTCGAGGAGAAAGACATGGGAAGTCCCGCCGGCCTCCGCGGCGCCCCCCACCCCGTCCAGGCCGGTTCCTGCCGCGGCTGCCGGGGCTTCGAGCGCAACCTGCACTCCCGCCTTTGCCAGCAGACGCCTCGCTTCCAGCTCCTGCCTCCGCCGCAGCTCCAGCCCTCGAGCTGGAGAGGGATCCACGGCCGATCCGTTTTCTTCTTTGCAAGCCAGAGTTTTCTTTCTTTCTTTCTTTCTTTTTTTTTTTTTTTGGTAACTTTTCGAACCTCCACCCCACCCACATTATTTTGAAGCAAATCCCAAGCATCACAGTTTTTCACAAAATAATTTTAAAATAGTTTATTATGATAAAATCAGCATAGCATGTAATTAACTATTTTAAAGTAAACAATTCAGTGACATTCACAACATTGTGCAACCACCACCGCCTCTGTTTCGTCCCCAAACACTTTCCCCACCCCAAAATAAAACTCCCATCCATTAAGCAGTCACGACCCGTTCCACACTCCTCCCATGCCCTGGCAACCACTGGTCGCTTTTCTGTCTCAGTGAATGGACTTGCCTGTTCTGGATATTTCATATCAAGGAAATGCAATATTTGTTTCTGGGTTAATGCCTTTTCTGTCTGGCTTCATTCACTGAGCATGTTTTCAAGGTTCATCCACATTGTAGCATGTGTCAGGGCATCACCCCTTCTTATGGCCAGGAGAAATGTCTAGGCTATCCAAAGAAGGAATTTAGATTGCTTTCAAACTAACTCTGTGAATAGTGCTGTTATAAACACTGGTGCATAAGTATTTGTTTGAACTGTTAAATTAACTCAATTAACAGGCTGCCTCTGTGCCTTGAGTTTCTAGGTAACAACAAACTGCAACCTAATGTACCACAGAAACAAGCTAAAAGCTTAACCTATGAGTATATTTTGGAACAAATAGCTGGGTCTCAGCCAGTCACAGGCTGCTAACTGATCTGATCATGCCATATAAGGCAAACATTTCAAGCAGTAACAAAATCAAGCTAATTGTGATTTTTTTTTTTTTGTATCTCACTTCTGTGTTCTATCTATAAAAACTTCCTGCCCACATTACAGAGTGGAGCTCTCGAACCTCCCCCATTGGTTCTGAGTGCTGCCCAATTCATGAGTTGTGTTTTGCTCAATTAAACTCTGTTGGCTGGGCACAGTGGCTCATACCTGTAATCCCAGCACTTTGGGAGGCCAACATGGGTGGATCACTTGAGATCAGGGGTTCGAGACCAGCCTGGCCAACATGGCGAAACCTCGTCTCCACTAAAAACACAAAAGTTAGCCAGGTGTTGTGGCATCTGTAATCTCAGCTACTCGGGAGGCTGAGGCAGGAGAATCACTGGAATCTGGGAGGTGGAGGTTGCAGTGAACTGAGATTGCACCACTGCACTCCAGCCTGCATGACAGAGGGAGACTCTGTCACACACACACACACACACACACACACACACACACACACACACAAACTCTTAAATTTAATTTGTCCAAAGTTTTTGTTTTAACAGTTTGGTGTCAGAAGTGGGATCTGAAGTAGACCTCCAGCCACCCCCTAGGAGCACTGAATGCTCAGTAGGGCCTGTGTGCCTGCTGATCTCTCAAAGCATCTAGAGTCATAGGTGAGTTCTCTCTGCTGGATTTGTGCTCTATGACCATGTGTTTTGAGCCCTCTACTTTGAGCAATTCTTTTTTTTTTTGAGATGGAGTCTCACTCTGTTGCCCAGGCTGGAGTGCGGTGGCGTGATCTCAGCTCACTGCAACCTCCGCCTCCCAGATTCAAGCAATTATCCTGTCTCAGCCTCCCAAGTAGCTGGGATTACAGGCACATGCCACCGCGCCCGGCTAATTTTTTTGTATTTTAGTGGAGACGGGGTTTCACTGTGTTGCCTGGGCTGGTCTCAAACTCCTGAGCTCAGGCAATCCACCTGCCTTGGCCTCCCAAAGTGCTGGGATTACAGGCATGAGCCACGGCGCCCGGCCTTGAGCAATTCTTAGACCGGAATGGGTCCAGGATTGAATTGGATCCAAAACTTAACTCTATTGTATCCAGTTAGAGGCCTTGAGTAGGTCCCTTTTGGCTTGGGTTTGTCTGAATCCAAGGAGTCTGCGTGCCGCCTTCTGGGACGTTTGCTAATTATGTGTGTAAGAACTATGGACCCAGAACTTGTGCACATTTTAGAAAAATCGGCTAACCCCAAACTCAAAAAGACCCCTCCAGATTCTTGGAACCGTACACCTTTCGGAGACCTTAAGGTGAAGCTAACCAGGGAAGTTTTCCCCAGAAGCAGACGGGATCCTAAATGTGGACAGCTTTTCCAAGATCATGGGTTGAGACTTCTCTGCCATCATGACAGCCTTAGCCTCCCCCTGGCCCCTTATTTCCTGCTGTCTGAATCTTTTCCTTTTCATTACAGGAAAATCCACAGCACCATAATGTGTGGATGGCGTCAGCTAAGGCTTACGCTCTAGGAAAAACCCAGAGTGGTAGTTGGGTTTGTGGGTTAATGTCAAAAGCCAGGAAACTACATCAATCCCTGTCATTTTTCACGATGACGGTCACTCTGGAACTCCCAGGGGAGAGTGGAGAGCGTCCCCATGTGTCCCAGGGGAGACTGGAGAGTGTCCCCATGTGTCCCAGGGAAGAGTGGAGAGAGTCCTCGTGTGTCCCAGGGAAGACTAGAGAGCGTCCCCGTGTGTCCCGGGGGAGAGTGGACAGCCCATATGTCCCAGGGGAGAGTATCCCCGTGTGTCCCAGGGAAGAGTGGAGAGCGTCCCCGTGTGTCCCGGGAGAGAATGGACAGTGTCCCCGTGTGTCCCAGGGGAGAGTGGACAGTGTCCCCCTGTGTCCCGGGGGAGAGTGGGGAGCGTCCCCATGTGTCCCAGGGAAGAGTGTTCCCGTCCCTGTGTCCCAGGGGAGAGTGGAGAGCATTCCCGTGTCCCAGGGGAGAGTGGGGAGTGTCCCCGTCCCTGTGTCCCTAGGAAGAGTGGACAAACACACTCTCCTTTATGTTCCAGACACCGCTGCTATCACTTTCATATACCCGCTGAAACGGTGTTCTGACCTTTCCAATTAATAATCCAAACACTGCTCATATGTAAAGCGTGCCTGAACGATGCCTTCAGAAGGTAGATGAGGCTCCAGGCATCACATACTCAAGACCTGGGAGTTCTCTCTGTGGGTGGGAGACACGGCATGTGTGATGTCACTGGATTGAGTCCAGTGAGGTCCCTTTCCATTAACTGTGGTTACACACCCTCACAGCACACTGTAAAGGGAAAAGCTTCATACCGGAGCTTTTCCGCTGGACCTGCTTCGGGAGCTGTACTGACATGTGGGTGAAAACGTGTCACTGACTTCTGCTCAGATGCCACCAGGTGGCGCCCTTTTCCAGCCCCCGAGAGCTTCTGCTGGGTCTGTGGAGAATCCGCTGTTGGGCCTCCTCACTGGTTTGAATCTTGCAATTTGGTCCGGCTCAGTCCTGCCTTCCAAGTAGCTTCCCCTGACAGTTCCCACCCAGGATACCTCCCATAATCGGAGGCCAAAGCAGTCAACAACCAAAATTAGCACCAGCCTTGAAATAAATGAAGTTAGTTTTCACTGAAGAAAGTTTCCATTAGAATTCTTGGTGGTGGTGAGGTGCTGGTTGTGTGGAATTCTAACCTAATTAGTAAATTGGGGAACATCTTGGGCTTTGTGGCCAACCCGACCTCCCAGGATTTTTTTTCCCCCCAGAACTCCATGAGTTCACTCCCAGGGATTTAGACGGGTGGAAGTCACGCTCTGAAAGGTGGATTACTAGAAATCACACAGCTTTAGGTCTGTTAAAGGATATCTGCAAAACAACAAACAAACAAACAAAAACCCAGTTAACAACTTTCTTCCTAAAAATTATTTTTTATTGTAATAAAACATTTAACATGAGACCCACCCTTTTAACAACATTTTAATTGAACAATACAGTATTGTTAACTACAGGTGTGATGTTGTATAGCAGACCTGGAACATACTCATTTTGCATAACTGAAACTGAAACTTTATCCCTGTTCAGGAGCAATTCCCTTTTACCCTCTCTGCAGCCTCTGGCAACCACCATTCTACTCTCCACTTCTATGAGTTTGACAACATAATTTTTTTTCATAATTTTTTTTGAGATAGGATCTCACTCTGTTGCCCAGGCTGGAGTGCAGTGGTGCAATCCTAGCTCACTGCAGCCTTGACCTCCGGGCTCAAGTGACCCTCCCACCTCAGCCTCCTGAGTAGTTGGGACCACAGGCACGTGCCACCACGCTAGGCTACTTTTTCCATTTTCTGTAGAGACAGGGTCTCACTGGGTTACCCATCAGCCTGGTCTCGAACTCCTGGGCTCAACTGATCTTGCCTTGGCCTCCAAAAGTTCTGGAATTATAGGCACGAGCCACTGTGCTCAAGTGACAACATAATTCTTTTTTTTTTTTTGAGATAGTATTTGACTCTGTCACCCAGGCTGGAGTGTGGTGGTACGATCTTGGCTCACTGCAACCTCCACCTCCTGGGTTCAAGCGATACTCTTGCCTCAGCCTCCTGAGTAGCTGAGACTCCAGGTGTAAGACACCATGCCTGGCTAATTTTTTATTTATTTTTTGGTAGAGATGGGGTCTCCCTATGTTACCCACGCTGGTCTCGAACTCCTGGGCTCAAGCGATCCTCCCACCTTGCTCTCCCAAAGTGCTGGGATTACAGGTGTGAGCCACTGTGCCCGGTTGACATAATTTTTTTTTTTTGAGACAGAGTTTCTCTCTTGTTGCCCAGGGTGGAGTAAAATGGTGTGATCTCGGCCCACCGCAACCTGCACCTCCCAGGTTCAAGCTATTCTCCTGCCTCAGCCCCCCGAGTAGCTGGGATTACAGGCATGCACCACTATGCCTGGCTAATTTTGTATTTTTAGTAGAGACAGGGTTTCTCCATGTTGGTCAGGCTGGTCTCAAACTCCAGACCTCAGGTGATCCACCCCCTTCGGCCTCCCAAAGTGCTGGGATTACAGGCCTGAGCCACAGCACCCAGCCAGCATGGTCTTTCTTAAAGGCTCTTAAAAGAGGGCTCTTGGCCCCTGCTGGGATTACAGGTTTGAGCCACCCCACCTGACCTGGTTGACATAGTTTTGAATGGTGAAGAGAATAATTGCTTTTCCCCTGCACTCAAGAGTAAGACAAAAGTGTCCTCTCTTGCCACTTCTATTCAATATTATGCTGAAATTCTAGTTATGACAAGTAGGTAATAAATTGAGAAAAACTGCAAAAGAAGAAAGATCATCTCTATATGCAGATGGTATGATATTGTATAAGGGAAACCCTAAGGAATCCACTGGAAACTGTTAGAGCTATTAAGTTCAGAGAGGTTTCAGGATACAACATAAACATACAAAAATCAGTTATATTTTCTTTCTTTTTTTTTTTTTTTGAGACAGGGTCTCACTCTGTCACCTAGACTAGAGTACAATGGTACCATCTTTGCTCACTGCAACCTCCGCTTCCTGGATTCAGGCAATCCTCCCATCTCAGCTTCCTGAGTGGCTGGGAATACAGGCATGCACCACCACACCCAGCTAATTTCTTATTTTTGTATGTTTTGTAGAGACAGGGTTTCCCATGTCTTGAACTCCTGGACTCAAGCAATCCACCCTCCCCAGCCTCCCAAAGTGCTGGAATGACAGGTGTGAGCCGCCACGCCTGGCCAAGTTTAATTATTTTAGATTCTTCAGGCAAGTGGAATCATGTAGCATTTGTGTTTCTGTGCCTGGCCTGTCTCACTGCATACTGCCCTCAAGGGACACCCATGTTGTAGCATATGGCAGCAGTTTCTTCTTTTTTAAGGCTGAACAGTATTATGTTGCCTGGACACACCACACTTTATCCATCATTCATCCATCAACGGGCATTTAGGTTGTTTCCCACTAATCTACTTTCTGTATCTATGGATTTGCCTGTTCTGGACATTTTCTATACACTAACAGATTTATTTTTATTTGTTTAAAGCCTTCTCTCTCAAAAAAGTTTATAACATTTCTGAGATATAAGTCACATATTATACAATTCACCCATTTAAAGTGTACCTTCATTGTTATTAGTATAATTACAAGATTGTGCAAACTCCACCATGATGTAAATTTAGGATACTTTCATCACTCCAAAAAGCTTGCTCCCCTCCCCTCCCCATCCCGCCCTGCCTCCCCTTGCCTCCTGCCCTACACGCTTCCACTGGGTGAGGAAGTGTGTAGTCCCTGAGCTGTCTCTGGGACTCACTTTTGGCCAATAGAATGTGGTTGAGGTGATGTTGTGTGACCTCTGGGTAGGTCAGAAGAAGCCTTGCAGATCCTCCTGGGGCTCTTGCTCTGGGGAAGGTGCTAGCCACCCTGGGGCCGTCATGTTGTGAGGAAGCCTCTGCGAGCCTCATGGGGGCCGCGTGAAGAGGAGAAGAGTTGATGGGCTCCCAGCCCATCAGTCCCTCCAGCTACCAGATGCAGGAGTGAAGGAGCCATCTTGGACACAGCCCTGTTGAGTCTTCAGATAATTGTCGGCAGCCTAGCTGCTACCTGAAAGCTGATGCCTAAGCAACACGTGTGAGAACCGCCCAGCTGAGCACAGTCAAACTACCTGAAAGCTGATGCCTAAGCAACACGTGTGAGAACCGCCCAGCTGAGCACAGTCAACCCACAGACACAGCGACCATCACAAGTCATGTTTTTGGGCTAACTGAGTTTTGGGTGCTTTGTTTTCTGGTGGTCGACAGTGCAGGTGCTGCATTAGACTGGGTACATGTGCTCCTCGTTCCTGTTGCCAGAGGCCAGGGCTCACTCTGAATTCCCACCCTGACTCCCCACATTCACACCCCTCAGCGTCCCCACTGCTCTTCCCTGCCTCTCTCTCTGCTCCTTGTTCCCCCAGCCCTGCCTGACTGAGCCTCCTATCCCCTCTGGCCGGGCATGCATGCTATCGCATGGGTCCTCTTGCTTCCAGCCTCGCCCTGCCCATTACAGAGGCCACCATGCACCCAGGAGCTTCCACATCCTGCCTGTGGTTCTCACCCGAGACCCCTTTAATGGTCTCGGCGTTCAAAAGGGCAGCATGACTGGCACTCGAGCTCCAGGGCTGGCTCCTCCCCGCCCTCTCTAGTGTCCCCCTGGGCTGTCCCTGGCCTCCCCACCCTCCCCGCCTCAGCTCCCCAGACACTGGGCCGTGCCCCGCCCCTCCTCCCCGTGCCCGGCGCTCTCCTCGCTCTCCCATCCCCACTGGGCCGTGCTCCTGGCAGCAGGTGTCCTGCAGGTGTCTCTGTGAAGTCTCCCTGGCATCCCTGCTGTGCGGTGTCCCCCTGGCACCTCCGTCGTGCCCCTAACGACGCCCACCACTCTCTGCGCAGTGTGTTCGTTGCCAGGCCCAGCTCTTGCACTGGACTGAGAGCACCAAGTTGACACCGGGGCACAGCCTGCTCCCCCGCTGAGCCTGCCGCGGCGCCTGGCACATGGTCGATCACAAATAAATAACGAGCAAACAGCCCATACGTGTGTACTGCATAAGCAGATGCATGTGGAGATAAAGAAAGACCACCCAGACGACAGCAAGCCCAGGCTCTGAGTTCGGAGCTTGGGAGCGCCCCACCCTGAGATCAGCAGGCAGGGGGAGGGGCACAGGTCCCTCCGCTTAGGGTGGTGGGGATGCTGTGGGGAAGGCAGGGGCGGCTGATGGAGAGTCAGGTGTCCGGTGGTTGGTGATAGGACGTGTTTGGCGTCCTCTGGTTGGTCCTGAGTTGGAAGTGGGGGCAGAACACAGAGAAAAAAGCTCTGCAATTGGCTGCAGAGGCGGAGCTGCTGCTTCCAGCTTCTTTGTGGTCCGGAGTCAGTAGCCTTGTGGGACTGGCCCCTGTCCAGACGCCTACACTGAGCCTCTCATGTGGGGAGATGAGCGTCTTTCTCCTGGGACCGAAGGAGGGAACAAGACGGAGAAGGAAGAGGCGGGGCTGCGACTGTGCCCAGCGTACTGCCGGGCTGCCGGGTCCCTGCTCTGGGTACTTCTCTGCTTTCGGGCGTCTCGTCTAGAAGCTGCAGCTTGGCCTGTCTCACCTCTACACAGAGGGGCTGCTGGCGCCTGACGGAAAAAGGTAGGGCCGCTGAATGTCCACGCAGCTGTCAGCCACCAGGGAAGTTTTCAGCAAGGGAGGCCCAATCTCACGAGTCACTCGCACGTCCTGTCCTCGGGGTGTCAATAGGACGTGTGCACAGCCCAGAGCCCAGGATCGACCCTGCGGCGGAACCAGCTCTGCCCTCGGCCGGGGTGCCCTGTGGGGATGACCCCACCTGCCAGGTGCCCGGCCCTGCCCTGCTGGGCCGCCGAAACTCAGAAGAGTCTGGGCAGGGGTTACAGCACCAGCCCCAGGGTCTTACGCTCAAAACATGAAAGCTGTGGTTTCGCAGACGATCTATGGAGATTTGCAATGTCTTTGACAAGATTTAGCATCGAGCTTTTTACTTAGCTGATTGAACTACTATAGAAACAAACTAGATATTGATAATTGCAGGAAAAACTGAAGAAGGGTCTGATCCAAGAGATTTTTAAGCAAATGTCCCGGAATAGAGACCCCCATATATAGAACATTTGAAAATAATGAGCTTCCATCCCAGGGGCAACAGCACCTCCAGGGCACTCATGAGGTCTGCCTGTGACCTTTGCTTTTATTGTGGTAAAATACCTTTAACATAAAGTTGACCATTTTAACAATTTTTTTTTGAGATGGAGTCTCACTCTGTTGCCCAGGCTGGAATGTAGTGGTGTGATCTCGGCTCACTGCAACCTTTGCCTCCAGGGTTCAAGCGATTCTCCTGCCTCAGCCTCCTAAGTAGCTGGGACTACCGGGATGCACCACCACACCCAGCTAATTTTGTATTTTTAGTAGAGACAGGGTTTCACCATGTTGGTCAGGCTGGTTTTGAACTCCCGACCTCAGGTAATCGCCCACCTTGGCCTCCCAAAGTGCTGGGATTACAGGCGTGAGCCACCCCATGCCCGGGCCGTCTTAATGATTTTTAAGTGCACAGGTCAGTGGCATGAAGCACATTCACGTTGCCGTGCAGCCATCACTGCCATCCACCTGCAGAGCTTTACATCTTCCCAAATGTCAACCGGCCCCATCAAACACCAACCCCCACCTGCCCTGGGCACCACCATCGTACTGTCTGTCTCTGTAGGTTTGACGACTCTGGAGACCTCACACGTGGGATCAAACGGTATTTGAGCTTCTGAGAGGGGCTCGTTCCCTCAGCATCAGGTCCTCAGGGTGGCTGTGTGGCCCCTGGGTCCGAGGTGCCTTCCATTTCTGGGACCACTGACGTCCCATTGTGCGTACATATCACATTCGGGGCAGGGGTCATGTAACACATTCGTCCACCCTCTGGCCGTCGTGAAAAACGCTGCTGTGAACGGTGTGACCTGTGACCTGTTAGACACCGGACTTTCCCAGCACAGGCAGCTGCCTGTTCCTGGGCTGAGCAGGGCCCTTTGATCTGTCAGGCACATCGTGCTCCATTTGGAAACGAAGCCTGTGAACTTTGCAAGGACCTACGAAAAGGTTTGAGACCAGAAAAAAATTTTTCCTGGTTCCAAGTACAGGAAAGATACTGCAAGCTTGAAATTTAGAAAAGTTCTAGTTGTGATTCAATTTAGCTTTTATGTAGTTACATTAAAAATTATATTTAAGACGGGCACAGTGGCTCACACCTCTCATTCCAGCTACTCGGGAGGCTGAGCTGGGAGGATCACCTGAGCCCAGGAGGTTGAGTCTGCAGTGAGCTGCGATTGTGCCACTGCACTCCAGCCTGGGCAACAGAGCAAGGCCCCATCTCTAAACAAAGTTATATTGAACAGGCTTGATATGATTGGAAACAGGGCTTACTAAGTTTGCCTGATGGCTGGGGATGTGGCCATTCATCTTGGAAAGTGTCGACATGACTCATTTGTCTGGGGTCAGGGCTCCAGGATCAGGTGCCAGGGGCATCTAAGACCTTTGACCTTTGACTTCCTGTGAGGGAGGTAAAATCAGTTCCTGACCTCGTGGTGCTCACGCAGTGGCAGGAAAGACAGGAGGGAGTGCTGGGAGCGGGGAGGCTGCCCAGCCGCAGGCAGAGGTGTGGGTGCGGGGACTGATCACGTGGGGAGGCCACTGCCGGGGCTCAGCTGCCCCTGCGATGGGCATGGGGGAGGTGGGCATCCATATTTGGGTTCCTCTGGCTGGTCTTGAGTGTGGAGTGGGGTCACTGACTGAGTCCTGATCTGCTGCGGCTTCCCCAGCAGGTGGCTATAGGTTGTGGCCAGAGCTCCACCTTTCCCCTGAGTGCACGCGAGATAACATGAGGAATTTAAGAAAAATAATAATCAAGGGGATTCAAGAGACAGAGACAGAGAGAGACAGAGACAGAGAGAGACAGAGACAGAGAGAGACAGAGACAGGGAGACAGAAAGAGACAGAGAGAGGGAGAGGCAGAGAAAGAGAGGGAGAGACAGAGAGAGACAGACGGAGAGAGGGAGAGACAGAGAGACAGAGACAGAGGGAGAGACAGAGACAGAGAGGCAGAGAGAGACAGAGACAGAAAGAGACAGAGACAGAAAGAGACAGAGAGAGGGAGACAGAGACAGAGAGAGGGAGAGGCAGAGAAAGAGAGGGAGAGACAGAGAGAGACAGAGACGGAGAGAGGGAGAGACAGAGAGACAGAGACAGAGGGAGAGACAGAGACAGAGAGGCAGAGAGAGACAGAGACAGAAAGAGACAGAGACAGAAAGAGACAGAGAGAGGGAGACAGAGGGAGAGACAGAGAGACAGGGAGAGACAGAGGCAGAGACAGAGAGACAGGGAGACCCTGCCCAGCCCCCTGGCCCTAGCGCAGCCCTGAGTGATATGTGGTCTCACAGCACGGGGTGAGGGAGCCGAGGGGGAGGCCAAGGGTGGACTTTCTTTGTGTGGACTTCATATTCGCCCTTCATCTTACATAACGAATGGTTTATCTTGTTATCGTGCATGGTGTTCATTTTCTATTTTCTGGTTATTTATGGCCAGTGTGGAGAAATCGTTTTGAATTTTGTGTTGATCTTGGTCTGGCCTCTCCTGTCAGTTTTCATGAATTGTGGAGTCTACTGGGTTTTCCCGTATGGCTTTGGAACCCAGGAGGAAAAGAGAGACCCTCCTAATGACGTCTCCGCCTGGGCCCGGCTGGAAGAGTCCCGAGGAAGGGTTCCTGTCATCCACCCTGTACTGGGCCGGTCGCTGTGGTGGGGGCAGCGCCGTCCGGGCATGGGGCTCACAATGAGCATAGCTTGGCCGCTGACCACACGCAGGGCAATGCCGCTGCTTCATCTGATGCCCGCACTGCTGCGGGGCTGGGCAGCAAGGGCCCCTCCAGGAGGGACCCCAGGCTGAGGCCCCCGCTCCCGCTCACAGCAGGTGCTCACGTTCAAATTCATCAGGGGAACCACTGTCCGCTGGGAAAAGTCTTCTTCAAAATCCATTTTTCACGTTTTGCCTCGATGTGTTAAAAAAAATCCATTTTCCATGCAGTGCTAAAAAGAAATGAGTCATTATGCCACGAAAAGCCACAGAGGAACCTTAAATGGCACTTAGTGAAATAAGCCAACCCGAAAAGGCTACAGACCGATTCCAACCAAACGGGATTCTGGAGAAGGCAAAACCAAGCTGACAGTGAAAAGCTCGGTGGCTGTCAGCAGCTGGGGAGGGAGGAGCGAATAGACGGGGCACGGGGATGTTTAGGGCATCGGATCGGCTTTGCAGGATACTGAAATGGCAGTTATGAGAACGCACTCACCCAAACCCGCAGCAGGCACACACCGGCTGAGCTGTGGACTCCGGGTGATGATGGCACGTCCCTGTGGGTCTATCAATGGTGGACAGATGTGTCACACGAGTGCAGCATGTTTATAATAGGGGAAACTGAGGCAGGGGAAAGAAGGTGGCATATGAGAATTATATTTTCTGCACTTTTTTTGTAAGCATAAAACTGCTTTAGAAAATAAAGTCCATTAAGTTTTTAAAAGTCTGTCTTGCAAGAGAAAGGATCGGGAAGGGATGGGAAGGGAGTGGGGAGGCCAGCACCAGGTGCCAGGCAGGACAAGGCTGGCGTGGACACACTCCCACACAATCCTGGGTCTCTGCAGGTCCACACACCCGATGGCCGGCCCGGGGTGGACGCTGCTGCTACTGCTGCTGCTGCTGCTGCTGCTGGGGTCCATGGCAGGGTATGGGCCACAGAAGAAGTTGAACCTGTCCCATAAGGTGGGTGCCGGGCACCCCTGATGCCCCTGCAGGCCCCACACGCGCCATAAGGTGGGTGCCGGGCGCCCCTGAGGCCCTTGCAGTCCCCACCCGCGAGGGCTGCCACTTTCCGTCAGGAGGGTCTCAAAGGGACACAAAGCGCCTTCCTGGATGAAACCCTCCCTGAGGCTGCACTCGCTCTCCTGGCCACACGCCCGGCTGTGCTGCCCAAGCACACTTGAGGCTATGGGACGGCGACCCCAGCACCAGGAGCAGCCCTGGGGCCACCACGGCCACCGTCAACCAGGCAGGAGAGAGCGGGGCCACATGGGAGCTGCACCAGTGTGCACTTCTGTTTTTGAAAATATACCCATTTTTCTTTTTTATTTTATTACTTTTTAAATTGTGTGCGTGTGTGTGTAAGAGAGAGAGAGAGAGAGAGATGAAGCCTCGCTCTGTCGCCCAGGCTGGAGTGCAGTGGCACGATCTCAGCTCACTGCAACCTTCACCTTCTGGGTTCAGGCGATTCTCCTGCCTCTGCCTCCCGAGTAGCTGGGATTACAGGCGCGCGCCACCACGCCTGGCTAAATTTTGCATTTTTGGTAGAGATGGGGTTTCACCATGTTGACGAGGCTGTTCTCAAACTCCTGACCTCAGGTGATCCACCGGCCTCACCCTCCCAAAGTGCTGGGATTACAGGCATGAGCCACTGCGCCTGGCCAGAAAATATACCCACTTTTAATAAAAAGTTGTTATTTATGTTAACATGCAATGGGATTACTGTTTTTATCTTAAAATTCTCTCAGTTTTAGGGTGGAATCCAGTAACGTCAATAGACATAGCCTCATCCACAACACTCTGAGCAAACAAGACCAGAGGTCGCGCACACAGCAGCACCTTGCGTGTGTGTGGGTGGGGGGTGGCTACAAGCCGTGGTGCAGGGGGGAGGCCTGGCTCTCAGCTCACCTCTGCCAGCTGTGCAATCCTGGGCACCTTGCTCGCCTTCCCTGAGCCTGTTTCTTCTCCTGTAAAATGCCAGGCACTGGGCTGGCCTGAGAGCTTCACCCATGCTCTGCTGCTGCATCCTTGCCCTCAGTGCCTTGGTTTACCCTCTTCCACGTGGCTCACAGTAGACATTCCCTTTCTCAGCCCCGGGCCCCCAGCACTGACCTGCCAGAACCACGGCAGTCTGGGTTTGTTCCAGAAACTTCTCAGGAAACCCAAGTTTGAAGGATGGTGACACAGGGGAGCCAAGGAGAGGGCAGGCCTTTCCTGAGTGCTGAGTCTGCAGGCCCTGCCCAGGAACAGGTGAGCGAGCTGGTGAGTGGTGTTTCAGGGCATCGGGGAGCCATGCAGGAGACACGAGGAGTGCCAGAGCAACTGCTGTACCATCAACAGCCTGGCCCCACACACGCTCTGCACCCCTAAGACCATCTTCCTGCAGTGCCTGCCCTGGAGGAAGGTGAGGTGCGTGCAGGGGCGGGGGTGGAGGAGCGAGACTGCCTGTGGCCCCCTCCTACCTGCCCCTGAAGAGCCAGGGAGTGGATGGTGGGTGCAGGGATGACGCGTCTCCTGTCCCATAGCCCAATGGGTACAGATGCTCGCACGACTCAGAGTGCCAGAGCAGCTGCTGCGTCCGCAACAACAGCCCGCAGGAGTTGTGCACGCCCCAAAGCGTCTTCCTGCAGTGTGTGCCCTGGCGCAAGGTGAGCTGCGGGCACCCGGGGCAGATGGAGCAGGGGTAGCCGGAGACAGCCCCTCTCCACGACTGCTGCCTGGCTGCCTCCCCAGCCCAACGGCGACTTCTGCAGCAGCCATCAGGAGTGTCACAGCCAGTGCTGCATCCAGCTGAGGGAGTACAGCCCCTTCCGCTGCATTCCCCGGACCGGGATCCTGGCCCAGTGCCTGCCCCTGGTAAGTCCCGGGCGGGGGCTCAGCCTCCAGGCCCTCCCTTGGCCGCCACAGGGAAGTCGCACAGAAACACAGCAACTGGACCGGGACCGCGGCTGTGAGAGGTGGGCTCTGAGCACCCAGGCACCCCTGCTGGGAGAGGCCGGCGCTTCACCGCCCATCTCATAAGGTGGGGGCCGCAGAGAAGGCTCCTGGGCTGGCACTGAGCCCACCAGGCCCCGCAGGGCACGGGTGCCCGGTCAGAGACCGTCAGAGCCTGCGGAGCCGCGGGGAGGGGGACCCAGGACCATCCCCCGTGGGAGCTGGGGTTGGACGTCTTCAGGCCGGAGAGGGAACAGCCTCACCAGCCCTGGAGGAGGAGGGTCCTGGCTTCTCCCCTCCCTCCCCCGACCTCTGCTGTGGCTTTTCCTGACGGGAAATCCATGGGACAAGCCGTGCTCGGTGCAGGCTCCCGCTCTGCTGAGCCCTGGGGCCAGGGGAGGGGGCCAGGTCGCCAGCGGCGCAAACGCGGTGGGGGCGCAAGTGCGTGTTTGCTGGAGCCCAGAGCTCCCGTCTGGGGTGAAAGGGTCGTGGCACCCAGAGGTGAGGTTTGTTCACAGCCCTCGGGTACCACCAGGCGCCCTCGGGTACCACCAGGCGCCCTCGTGGGCGCTGGGAGCAGCTCCGGGCGCCTGGCGCGGCTCGTGGGCGTCCCTCTCGCGAGCTGAGCGTGGGCGTCGGCCTCTGGGTGCTGTCCCGACCCCCACGAGGCTGGTGCCGGGAGATGCTGTGGCCCCGGGTTCCCGTCCTCCTTCCGCGGCCGCTTCGAGGCCCGTCCCCTGCACGTTTCCTCAGCTTTGGCTTCTCCTTCAGTGATGTGAGCTCGAACCTGGGCGCGAGGGACCGGCCTGGGCCCTGGGATGTTCACGCAGGACCGCGTTGCGCGGGGGCTGGTTCCAGCGGAAGCTTCCCTTACGGTTTGTGCTGCTGTTTCTGGGGCTCTGAAAATCTGTGGGAACTGAAAGGCTGTGACCAGCCTGGTGGCGCGAAGTGTCTGTGAGAACAAATCCCAGGCACTGGGGTGTAGCCTGATTGTTAAACATCAATAAAGGCTCCTGGCCGACTGAGCAGCCGTGTCTCACCCCTTCTGTGTTTTGAATAATAAAAGCATAAAATCTGAAGGAAACCTGGAGGTCACAGAGAGGTGGCGTCGGCTGGGTCCGTGCCAGAGCGGCCTTCTGGGAAGCCTGGGGAGGCACAGGCCATGCTGTGGGAGGCGAGGCCAGGGCCAGAGTATCGGGTTTGCTGTCACCTCCCCACACTGCAGGGGCGTCAAATAAAGGGGTGCAAGCCCGTGTGGTCACCGCAGGTAAAAATCGCTCCCTCCCTGTCCCTGGCACGGGCAGTCCTCAGCACATAGGCACCCGCGTCCGGGACGCAAGCCCAGGCCCCTTCCCCTTCCCCAGGCCCTGGCTGAGCTTCCATGGTCACCTCCCCTCCCCTCGGAGGATCCCTGGTTCAGGCCGAGAACTCTTCTGGCCGCTGACTCCCCAGGGCAGCACTGGGCTCTGCGCGGCTGGGGGCGGGTCTCTCTGCCTCGTTCGGTTTCTGATTCCATCTGCCTGACCTTCCCGGAAATGCCTCCATCCCCAGCCCACCCCATCCCTGCCGTTTTCAGCCTGGGCTGCTGTGTATTTGTTTTTGTCTTGTTCCCGAGTCCTTCCCTGGCACGTGGGTCTTCCTTTCCTAACTAATCATAAACGATTTCCATCTCTGTGACTGCCGGACCATCTGAGGCTCCCCCAGGAGAGACCTGCAGGGGCAGGAACACCTGGCCGCGGTCAACTCTGCACAGCCTGAAGTTACATAGTTTTGGCGACTTCCTTAAGAAAAGTCATATGACATTATGAACACAGTGTTAGGCCTAAAACTGAACATACTTACGGTGAAAGACCCAGCACACCATGAGTGTAGGAAGCTCACATAGGCAGCATCACACACAGAATCGGAGGCTCACACAGGCGGCGTCACACACAGAATCGGAGGCTCACACAGGCGGCGTCACACACAGAATCAGAGGCTCACACAGGCGGCGTCACACACAGAATCGGAGGCTCACACAGGCGGCGTCACACACAGAATCGGAGGCTCACACAGGCGGCGTCACACACAGAATCGGAGGCTCACACAGGCGGCGTCACACACAGAATCGGAGGCTCACACAGGCGGCGTCACACACAGAATCGCACAGCACGTTTTTTACCCTAAAGTTCCTGACTGCACAGCCTTGGATCACGTTTACAAAACGGCAATTTGGTAACGTTTTCTATGGGAGAATGGAAAATCAACTTAGTCTTCCCACGGATGGGGCTGAGCGATGTTTTCTGTGGATACAAGTTGCTCAGGTGTGAACCTCCCTGGGCGTGTGTGGGCGACAGACACAGCCTCCATCACGCGATTCCCATAAGAAGTCAAAACAAACCTCCATCCTGATTAGAAGCTGCTGAGAACTGAATTTTCCACGCATACCTCTACCTGTCTGAAGCCGTCCCACACCCCAGTGTCTAGATCCGGAATCTTCAAACAGGATTGCCCAATGCCAGCAGGACACGTCGGAGACACCATCAGGCTCCTACCTTCATGTTGATGTCAGATGGGTGAGCCCAGCACGGGGGCCATCCCTATGTGGGTGAGCTGAGGTTTGCAGGCTGTCCCCACAGAGGTGAGCCAGGGCTCGGGGGCCGACCCCACGGGGGTGAGCCAGGGAGTGGGGGCCGACCCCATGGGGGTGAGCCAGGGAGTGGGGACCGACCCCACGGGGGCGAGCCAGGGCTCGGGGGCCGTCCTCACGGGGGTGACCCAGGGAATGGGGGCCGTCCCCATGGAAGTGAGCCATGGCGCGGGGCCCATTCCCACGGGGGTGAGCCCAGCAACACCAGGGAAAAGCTTCCTCAACTCACCTTCCCCACAGGTAGCTCCCGGCTGCTTGGCGCTCCTCCTCCCGCAGAGATACCGGAAGCACACGGGGGCCGTGCCGAGTAGGGACAGGTCTTGACCCAGTACAGTGAAAAGATCTTATTTTCCCAAACTTCACAGAAACATCAACCGTGTGTTTGTCAGAGTCAGTTGGCGGCAGACGCCACACCAACATGGGGACAGGGGCGTCTACGGTGAGGGGTTGTGCGCTGGTTCCAGGAGGAGCAAAGTGAGCCCAGCAGGCAGCCCCCAGGGTGGATGCAGAAGGGGTTCCCTGCCTGGCGCTCGGGAGACGGTGGGGCCACAGCCACTGATTTGGAGAAGCTCTCTGGGTTGAGGCCGGGGGCCCACAGCGGGGCCAGCAGCACTGTGCGCTAGAGGGAAGCACCTCTGGGTCTACGCGGCCAGGGGAGCCACTGAACCGGGAAGCCCCCGCTGCACCCACCCATGGCAGAGGGGCTGCCGGTGGGCAGTTCCAGAACCATCTATCAGTGTGAGGCTGCCGGCCCCAGGATACCGATGATCCCCCCATCTGTCCAAACCCCTCGAATCCTGTTTGTTGTCATGTTGGGTCAACTTCACTATGAATTTGGAAGTCTAAGAAAATTACAAAACGAAACAACATCGTGAAAGGGCGTCAGACGCCACCGCTTCTGAGTGCGCCTGTCCGTTCCTTCCACATGGGCGCCCTCTCCCGGCCTCTGCCTGGCTGTTCCTTCCGCATGGGCCCCCTCTCCCGGCCGCTGCCTGGCCAGAGTGTGGCCAGGGTCCGCCCCTGCTCCTCAGGGACACAGCCTTGCTGTGGACTGATCGTGTCCTCGCATTCATGGGTTCAGGCCCTGAGCCTCAGCGTGACGGGACTGGAGTGGGGTTCTGGGAGGTGACTGAGGTTTTGATGAGGCCGTGAGGGGCCTTACGAGAAGGGAATTCACGCCCTTGTAATAAGAGGCTCCAGGTGACCATGGTGGTAAACAGTCACGCACTGTGAGAAAAAAGAGACAACAGAGCCGAGCGTGCCAGCTCCCCCTGCCCTGCCATGCCCACCTGCCGGGGGAGGACGCCCTGGGAAGGCAGCTGCCTGCAACCCAGAGGGGGGCCCTCATGGAGCTTGTCCTGCTGGCACCCGGATCTCAATGTCATTATTTTAGCTGCTGGGTGTGTGGTGTTCCGCACGGCAGTCCAAGAAGGCTGAGACGATCCTTGTAGCGAAATCCTGAGAAACCGTTGCTTCCACCCTAACAGTGAGAACAAGCCAGATACGCCGCAACGTGATCGTTGTTATTTTGACCACTCATCCTCAAGTTCTAACAAAATGATAATTTTTAAAAGACAGAACAGAATAGGTAAACATAACCCATCAAACTTGAAAGCATCTGGAAGAAGTGTGGCTCCCAGCACTTCGGGAGGCTGAGGTAGGAGGACTGCTTGAGCCCAGGGGTTTGAGACCACCTTTGGCAACATACCAAGATTCCATCTCTACAAAAAATACAAAACTTAGCTGGGTGTGGTGGTGCATGCTTGTGGTCCCAGCTACTAGGGAGGCTGAGGCAGGAGGATCACTTGAGTCCAGGAGGTCGAGGCTGCAGTGAGCTGTGATTGCATCACTGCCCTCCAGCCTGGGCAACAGAGCAGGAACTTGTCTGAAAAGAAAGGGCCGGGCGTGGTGGCTCATGTCTGTAATCCCAACACTTTGGGAGGCCGAGGTGGGCGGATCACAAGGTCAGGAGATGGAGACCATCCTGGCTAACACAGTGAAACTCCATCTCTACTAAAAATACAAAAACAAAATTAGCTGGGCATGGTGGCGGGCGCCTGTAGTCCCAGCTACTCAGGAGGTTGAGGTGGGAGAATGGTGTGAACCCGGGAGGCAGAGGTTGCAGTGAGCCGAGATCACGCCACTGCACTCCAGCCTGGGCGACAGAAGGAGACTCCATCTCAAAAAAAAAAAAAAAAAAAAAGAACAAGTTGTGTTGGTTTGGTTTTCCGGTTGTTTTTTCTTTTTTCTTTTTCTTTCTTTCTTTCTTTCTTTTTTTTTTTTTTTTGAGACAGAGTCTCGCTCTGTTGCCCAGGCTGGAGTGCAATGGCGCGATCTCGGCTCACTGCAACCTCTGCCTCCTGTGTTCAAGCGATTCTCCTGCCTCAGCCTCCCGAGTAGCTGGGATTACAGGCGCGGGCCACTACGCCCGGCTAATTTTTGCATTTTTTTTCAAGATGAAGCCCCCCCGCACAGTGCTCTAGTCCCCGGAGGGGCCATCAGCTCCAGGGAACGTGTAAAGTGCTTTGTGGCTTTAATAACGCGGTGGGGGAAGGCGGGCGCTTGCTGGTGTGTAATGTCTGCCGGGGGAGATGGAAGTCTGCAATTGCAGGAGGAAACTCGGTCTCCGCACAGCTGCCCAGTGGAGGTTCAGCCGTGAAGGGTCCCGAGAGCCCGCGGTCTGGGCCCAGGTGAGGAAGCGACTGTGAGGGCTGTGGCCACCGTAGGGACGCCAGGAGGCCAGGACCCTCACTCACAGCAGAGGAGGCCAGTCAGCCTGGTCGCTAGGAGGGTTTCTCAGAGCAGGAAGAGCAACAGTGAGGATGCAAACTTGGAAACCTCCTGCATCCTGACTGTGGGTGGAGAGGAGGGGCGCGCGGAGAGGAGCAGGGGCGCGCGGAGAGGAGGGGCGAGCGGAGAGGAGGGGCGCGCGGAGAGGAGGGGCGAGCGGAGAGGAGGGGCGAGCGGAGAGGAGGGGCGCGCGGAGAGGAGCAGGGGCGCGCGGAGAGGAGGGGACGCGCGGAGAGGAGGGGGCGCGCGGAGAGGAGGAGGGGCGCGCGGAGAGGAGGGGGCGCGCGGAGAGGAGGCGGGGCGCGCGGAGAGGAGGGGCGCGCGGAGAGGAGGAGGGGCGCGCGGAGAGGAGGAGGGGCGCGCGGAGAGGAGCAGGGGCGCGCGGAGAGGAGGGGCGCGCGGAGAGGAGGGGCGAGCGGAGAGGAGGAGGGGCGCGCGGAGAGGAGGGGCGCGCGGAGAGGAGGAGGGGCGCGCGGAGAGGAGCAGGGGCGCGCGGAGAGGAGCAGGGGCGCGCGGAGAGGAGGGGCGAGCGGAGAGGAGGGGCGAGCGGAGAGGAGGAGGGGCGCGCGGAGAGGAGGAGGGGCGGGCGGAGAGGAGGGGCGAGCGGAGAGGAGGGGCGAGCGGAGAGGAGGAGGGGCGCGCGGAGAGGAGGGGCGAGCGGAGAGGAGGAGGGGCGCGCGGAGAGGAGGAGGGGCGCGCGGAGAGGAGGCGGGGCGCGCGGAGAGGAGCAGGGGCGCGCGGAGAGGAGGGGCGAGCGGAGAGGAGGAGGGGCGCGCGGAGAGGAGGGGCGCGCGGAGAGGAGGCGGGGCGCGTAGTGAGCACTTCAGTAGACGGTGCGATGGCAGGATGGACAGAGACAGAGAAGGAGAGACACAGAGACAGAGACACAGAGAGATACACAGAGAGAAGGAGAGACACAGAGACAGAGAAGGAGAGGCAGAGACAGAGAAGGAGAGACAGTCAGAGAAGGAGAGACAGAGACACACAAAGACAGAGACAGAGATACACAGAGACAGAGATGGAGAGACAGAGACAGAAGAGACACAGAGACAGAGAGACAGAGATACACAGAGACAGAAGGAGAGACAGAGACAAAGAGACACAGAGACAGGGACACACAGAGACAAGGAGAGACACAGGGACACAGAGAGAAGGAGAGACACAGAGACAGACACATGGAGACAGAGATACACAGAGACAGAGGAGAGACACAGAGACAGAGACACAGAGACACGCAGAGACAGAGGACAGAGACAGAGACACACAAAGAGACATAGAGACAGAGACACACAAAGAGACACAGAGACAGAGACATACAAGGACAGAGACACAAAGAGAGAGACAGAGAGAGTGGGGGGAGAAGAAGAGAAAACCCCAAATTTGTTTTTCACCAAATAGAACAAGGTAGACAAGCGTTGAATTGACAAAAGAAATAGCAATCAGCATTAGAAATGTGACAGGTAAAAAAGCCACAGAAAAAAGGAAGATTTAAAAATTATAAACAGGCCAGGCGCAGTGGCTCACACCTGTAATCCCAGCACTTTGGGAGGCCGAGACAGGCAGATCACGAGGTCAGGAGTTCGAGACCAGCCTGGCCAACATAGTGAAACCCCGTCTCTACTAAAAATACAAAAATTAGCCAAGCATGGTGGTACATGCTTGTAGTCCCAGCTACTCGGAAGGCTGAGGAAGGAGAATCACTTGAACCCGGGAGGCGGAGGTTGTGGTGAGCTGAGATTGCACCACTGCACTTCAGCCTGGGCAGTAGAACAAGACTTCATCTCAAAAAATAAATAAATAAATAAATAAAATAAGCTAACATCACTAGGTGCAGTGGCTCATGCCTGTAATCCCAGCACTTTGGGAGGCTGAGGCGGGTGGATCAACTGAGGTCAGGAATTTGAGATCATCCTGGCCAACATGGCAAAACCCCGTCTGTACTAAAAATACAAAAATTAGACGGGCGTGGTGGTGGGCGCCTGTAATCCCAGCTACTTGGGAGGCTGAGGCAGGAGAATCGCTTGAACCCAGGAGGTGGAGGTTGCAGTGAGCTGAGATCGCACCATTGCACTCCAGCCTGGGCAACAGAGTGAGATTCCGTGTCAAAAAGAAAACAAAAACAAAAACAAAAGCTAACATTGAAGAAAATCTAGTAATTGAATATTAAACTCTTCCGCATACACCTACAGCAAGCATCATACTTTCCTGGAAGCATTAGGAACGTCCCCACCAAAGACAGGAGCAAGGAAAGTCATGCCCGCTGCCCGTCCTACTCACCGTGACCGGGAAGTCCCAGCTGGCGTCAAAAAGCACAGGAGACACGTGAGACCACCACGACGACCGATGAGCCACCCCTGATGGCGCTGGCCCAGTATCTTCCTGGGAAGAAAGAAAAGCACTGGAAACGCTGCTGGAAGGCGTCAGAGGGGTCAGCCGGCCTGTCAGCAAGGGCAGGTGAGGCCATGCTGCCTTGAGGAGCAGCCCTGCTCCCAGGGTTGGGACAGCCACACGCCCTTGCCGTCCAACGTGTGCCCCTCGGGCGCCCTGCTCTATCTTCCTCACCGAGAGCCAGGCTGCTGGAGATATCCTTGTAATGTCACCCTTGGAAACATTCCTGGCTGCTGTGTCAGAGAACACGAGAGGCTCTGGAGAGGATGATGCCAGCGCTGAGTGCTCCGGGCCCAAGGCAGCGCACGCTCCCCAACGGGCCTGTAACCAGAACAGCCATGAGGGCTGGACGCACAGTCCTGCGTGTGCTCGCGGTGTGGGGAGCTGAGTATACCTGGCAAGTGGAGCATCTGCCATAGCCAGGGAGCAAGATACAAACAGAAAACGTCCAGTCACCCGGGCCACAGTGGCCCGCGACAACTCACCACCGTCGTCAAAGCTTGAACACCTGGAAGTAAACTCACCAGGAGCTCCGAGACTTAGATGAGGAAAATCAAAACCTTCACCAGATGACGAAAGAGGAAACGGAATCAGCCCTGAGAGCTGTGTGGTGTTTCAGATCCACATCGATTCTCCCCCAAATTCACTTATAAATCCAGTGCTATCCCAACATAAAGGTCACAGCTAAAAAATTTAACACAATTTGACAAGCTAATTGTCGAGTTCATGGGGTGAGAAATCAGGAACTTTATGCTGCATGTTTTCTTCCCCGATGCCTCTTCCCTTAGCATGAGGTTCCTGTGTCTCGTGAGGACAGATATGGTTGCCCAGGCTGGAGTGCAGTGGTGCAATCCCGGCTCGCTGCAGCCTCCGCTTCCTGGGCTCAAGGGGTCCTCCCGCCTCAGCCTCTCAAGTAGTTGGGACCACAGGCACGTATCTCCATGCCCAGCTAATTTATTTATTTGTAGAGATGGGGTCTTGCTATGTTGCCCAGACTGGTCTCAAACTCCTGGCCTCAAACGAACCTCCCATCCTGGCCTCCCAAAGGGATTACAGGCGTAAGCCGCTGCAGCCAGCCCAGACTCCACCTCTAACTGCTGCGAGGCGGTCATCTGGAGCTTCTCTTTGCTGTCCTTCCAGTTGGGTTCTTTTTGTTGGTGTGCACTCTTATTTTACTTAAATGTTTCCTCTGGTAGCTTCCAAAGAAAATATGCAGGGAATAAATGTGTGCCTGAACCCTTGCCTGCCTGAGACTGCCTGAGAGCATCTTCATCCTTGATAGCTCTTTGCCTGGGAATTCTTTTTTTTTTTTTTTTTTTTGAGATGGAGTCTCACTCTGTCGCCCAGGCTGGAGTGCAGTGGCGGGATTTCGGCTCACTGCAACCTTTGCTTCCTGGGTTCAAGTGATTCTCCTGCCTCAGCCTCCCAAGTAGCTGGGATTACAGGCGCCCGCCACCATGCCCAGCTAATTTTTGTATTTTTAGTAGAGACGGGGTTTCACCATGTTGGCCAGGCTGGTCTAGAACTCCTGACCTCAGGTGATCCACCTGCCTCGGCCTCTCGAAGTGCTGGGATTACAGGCGTGAGCCACCGTGTCCAGCTGCAATTTTTTAAAATTTTAATATATATTTGTTTTTATTTTATTTTATTTGAGACAAGGTCTCGCTCTGTTGCCCAGGCTGGAGTGCAGTGGCACGATCTCGGCTCACTGCAACCTCTGTTTCCCAGGTTCAAGTGATTCTCCTGCCTCAGCCTCCCAAGTAGCTGGGATTACAGGCGCCCACCACCATGCCCAGCTACTTTTTGTATTTTTCGTAGAGATAGGGTTTCGCCATGTTGGCCAGGCTGGACTCGAACTCCTGACCTCAAGTCATCTGCCCGCCTCAGCTTCCCAAAGTGTTGGGATTACAGGCGTGAGCCACCGTGCTCGGCCCCTGAAGTTACTTTGATATTGACATAGTCACTGCAGGTTTTAAAAATTTTTGTTTGCATGGCATAGCTTTTCCTGTCCTTTTGACTTATTGGTGTCCATATCTAAAGTGCATTTCTCATGAGCAGTTTAGCGTTGGGTTTTGCTGTCCTACCCTCCCTGGCAATCTCTGCTCTTAACTGGGGCTGTCTGACCACTTGCTCCGGTGTGGCTGTGGCTGCGTGGAGGCCACGCCTGCTGTCCTGCTCTGTTCCCATTGGTCTCAGTGTGCAGTTGCCACGCCCACCTTCCTGTTCTCTGCTCCCTTTGGTCTCACTATGCAGAGGCCACGCCTGCCATCCTGTTCTCTGCTCCCATTGGTCTCACTGTGTAGAGGCCACGCCCGCCGTCCTGCTCTCTGCTCCCGCTGCTGTCACCGGCTCTCCCTTTCCCATTTCCTCTTCCTTCCTTGGATTCTGTTTGATGATCCTGTTTGATTGCAGTTGTTGGCTTATGAGCCAGAATTTTGTTTTGTTGTTTTAGTGGTTGCTTCAGGGTTCACAGTAAACATCTTTAACTCACACGGTGAACCTTTTTGAGTGGGGCTGCACCTCCACCAGGGCAGATGCTCCGCAGCGCACGTCACCCACCCTCTCCCCGCCGGGGCCATCGCCGCAGGGCGGTTCCCTGGTGACTGCACTCCGCGCGGGTGCCATTGGTATGGTCTGGGTTGAACACTCTGATATTTCACCTGAAAGGCAGGTGCCCCAGCCCCGGGAGGCCCTCCTCAAGCCCTTGCCTGCTCTGGGACCCCTGGCTGCGGGCTGACCCTGAAGGGGCATCTTGAGGCCAGGACTGGACCTGGCAAGGCCCCGGCCGAGGTCACGGCTCGAGTGTGACTGTGAACTTGGACATCTGACCCCAAAGCTCACTCCTGGGACAAACCCAAGAGAATCGGAAACAGACGTCACACAAATTGTTGTCCACAGATGTTCAAAGCAGACTCTTCATAGCTGCTCAGGTGTCCACAAACGATCGACAGATAAGCCCAGCGTGGCCCTCCACACCAGGGAACAGGATTCCACCAGGAAAAGAATGAGGCCCGCACGGCTGCAGGGGGTGAGCCTGGAGAATGGCGATGGGGGACAGAAGCCAGACACACAGCCCCGACTGTGAGCTTCCGTTTCTATGCAGGCCCAGAACAGGCGGGTCCGGAGGCGGGAGGAGGCCCGGGTTGCCAGGGCGGCGGTGGGAGAGATGCTCACGGGGAGGGAGTTCTCTTCCAGGTGGAGAGCGTTTGGAACCAGACGGGAGTGAGGGTCACTCAACATCGCAAATGGACTAAATGCTACCGAATTGTACGCTTTAAAACGGTTCATTTTATGTGATGTGAATTTCAGCTCAATAAAGAAAAAAGATTTAAAATGTGTCTTGAGGAGCCACGAGCATCTGTACCAGGGAGGTGGAATTGTGTCAGGAAGGCTGAGGCCTGGAGATGAGCAAGGGTTGGGGCAAATCCTGGAGATAAATGTGTTATTTCTGCAACTTAAATAGGGGCAGGCTTGTGCTATGAACTCTAAATACTCGCTGCAGCTGCAGGACGGCTGCTGTGCTCCAGAAATCTCAGCCGCATCCAAGACAGGAAGGGGCCGGGAGGGCTGCGTGGTCGGCTGAGCGACGGCACGGAGACGCATCCCCGCCGTGGAACCTGGGAGTGCTGCCACATGTGGTAACAGGAGCTTCGCAGGTGTAAGTAAGTTAAGGGTCTTGAGATGGAGAGGCGAGTCTGCACTTCCAGGAGGCCCTAAGTGCAGTCAGGCGCCGGTAGGATGCAGGCAGTGGGGGCAGGAAGCTCGAATCGGGGACCTGAGGGCGCAGCCAGGAGAGGCGAGAAGAGGCCGCACAGCTTGTCTGCCCGCCCCCTTCCTCCCGCTCGCCTTCCCTTCCTGGACAATTTCGTCCTGAGACCTTTGCATGAGGCTGAGCATCCTCACGGGCCGTGGGGAGCCAGGGGTTGGGAGTACAGCATGGACCCTGCGCCGGCTTGGGGTGGCCGGGGCCGAGCAGAGGGCAGGCGCTGTGCCGGGTGGGCGGCCCCGGGTGGGTGCTGGGCTCAGGTGAGGAGTAGGGGCATCTGCAAGGGGAGCAGGCGGGCTCCCCGCCGTGGGGAAGCCAGTGGATGCCAGGAGCACGGGATGAGCCCTGTGCGGTCGGACTGGAATTCCAGGGTTTTCTTTTTTTTCTTTTTTTGAGATGGAGTCTCGCTCTGTCGCCCAGGCTGGAGTGCAGTGGCGCGATCTCGGCTCACTGCAAGTTCCACCTCCCGTGTTCAAGCCATTCTCCTGCCTCGGCCTCCCCAGTAGCTGGGACCACAGGCGCCCGCCACCACACCCGGATAATTTTTTTTTTTTTTTGTATTTTTAGTGGAGACGGGATTTCACCATGTTGGCCAGGATGGTCTTGATCTCCTGACCTCGTGATCTGCCCGTCTCGGCCTCCCAAAGTGCTGGGATTACAGGCGTGAGCTGCCGCGCCTGGCCTGGAATTCCAGGGTTTTCAACACACCTTGGTGGTTTTGGAAGTAAATAAATATAGATGTGAAGAAACACAGGTAACTTTCCCAAGAGCACGAGGCACACACGACACCCAGGCTGAGCCTCCAGGGCTCCGGGAGATGGGGCCGGGCAGGGAGCGCCTGGTGCGTGGGGGCCCCGGAGGTCAGGGGCTGTGAGTGGGGACGGGCACGCGCAGGAAGCCACTGGCCTCGCCCCTGGACATCACGCTCAGGGGAAGGCCCAGCTGCGCTGATGTAATTGATGCGTGCAGGGAACGTTTGAGGGGAAAGAGGTTTCATATGGGTTCAGGCATCTTCCCCTCAATGCTCAATTACAAAACCGGGGGCAGGTGGCTGAGTGCAGGTCGGGACCAACGCCTGATGGGACAAGCTGGCATCGGGCGCTGCCGGCGGCTTCGAGGATCCCCAGCAATTCTACGTATTTCCACTCCAATGCCCACGCTCCGGAGAAAGCCAGTGAGGGCGTCCCCGAATTGCGGTCCAGAACCTTCTGCGCACCAAGGTTGTGAGAGTCCCTGAGAGGCGGGGCGGGCTCTCCCAGGAGGAAGCAGCGTGAATGCTGAGGCCCTGCACCAGGCAGGGAGCTGTGCTGCTCGTTGATGCTGGGGGGCTGCGGTGTGGACTGGGACGGACAGCCTGCCTGCCGGAACGGACAGAAGGTGCCGAGAGCGAAGGTGGAGGGTTACCAGCTCGCTCTGAGGTCAGGAAAGAGTTATGTGAACGGCGCTTGCAACTTTTCAAGCTGAAATTTTTAAAATAACAAATACAAGTTACAGATAAGCACCGTTTCTGAACCCACAGTTCCACGTTGGAGAATCAAATCCCACAAAAAATGTTTGTCCCAGAAGGTGCAGTTTGATAGACAAGACTTAATCCACGAACCGGACACAGCCACAGGGGCTGGCATCATGGAGCACCCGCGGTTCTTCCTGGAGCATGAGGAGTCCAGCTCCCTCGGACGGTTCCACAGCACAGGTAGTGTCCCCAGAGGGAGTGGCTGCTTTCCTGATCACTCATGGATTCTTTTGCTTGTGACAAGGAACATGCATCAGTCCTATAATTTCTTTTTCTAAAATCTAGGCTGGCGCAGTGGCTCACGCCTGTACTCCCAGGACTTTGGGAGGCCAGGGTGGGTGGATCACCTGAGGTCAGAAGTTTGAGACCAGCCTGGCCAACATGGCAAAACCCTGTCTCTATTAAAAAATACAAAATTAGGCCGGGTGTGGTGGCTCACGCCTGTAATCCCAGCACTTTGAGAGGCCGAGGCTGGCGGATCATGAGGTTAGGAGGTGGAGACCATCCTGGCCAACATGGTGAAACCCCGTCTCTAATAAAATACAAAAAATTAGCCAGGCGTGGTGGTGGGCACCTGTAATCTCAGCTACTGCCTGTAATCTCAGCTACTTGGGAGGCTGAGGCAGGAGAATCGCTTGAATGTGGGAGGCGGAGGTTGCAGTGAGCCGAGATTGCGCCACTGCACTCCAGCCGGGGTGACAGGGCGAGATTCTGTCTCCAAAAAAAAAATTTTAGAACAAAAATGTAAAGGAGGGAAATCCCAACAGTTGAGTTGCTGTTTCCATTTACACGTTGAACTTGATGAGCAGGGGTGCCAGATCTGCTTCTCTGGGGCAGAAACAGGAGCCGTGAGTGTCAGGCCCAGGGACCATGCAGCCTCTGGGCCGCCCAGGTGCAGACACCTGGCCCCTGCTTGGTCAACTCAGCCCTCGAGCCTCTTCCTGACTAGGAGGCAGCCGTGTCCTGGTGGCCTCCCTAGTGGCAGGGTGGGGGGACAGGCGGTCACAATCCTCAGCCGCAAGCCGCTGCAGGATTACGAGATGTGGTTCTGACCCTCCCTGCCCCCAGAACCCTCCGGCCTGGCGGCTGGATGCTGAGCCTCTCGTGGGGCTGGGGTGAGGTTTCCAGGGGGCCACACGGGCTCAGCTGTTTCCATGAGGCCTCTTTTCCTGTTTGCTGCTGTGTTCAGCAAGGCCACATCCATCCCCCCGAACCCTGTCGAAGGGGACCCTGTTCAGCTCCGAGCAGCCCCGAGACCACCCAGGAAGGAAGGAATTGGGGTCAGTGTGAGGCAGTCGGTCTGAAGCCTTCATGGTAAATATTTTATGATGCTTTCTTTTCTATCTAGAAATGAAATTCAGTTCTTAAAAGCTTCACATATAATTTTAGGGAAAAAATATCTAAGGCCCCCAAATATATAAGCCCCAAACTGTGGTATAACAGAAAAATAAAAATAATTTATAGTAAAATGTTGTGGATTTGAAGTCCATGAAGGTCTCAGGTGTGCGGATGCCGGATGTAAAATGACCTTCAGGTTTCCCAAAGGCCCCTGGGTTAGTCCAGCTCCCACCAAGAACCTGGGCCCTTAGCCAGCAGGCCAGGTGCGGCCCACCTCCCCTGCCCTGTTGACGAGGGGTGCAGGCCCCCCAGTGTCAGCCGATGACACCTCAGCAGAGACCCTCTGGTGGTGAGGGGGAACCCTGGGGAGGCCCTGTCTTTCCAGACAAGGTTGGCACTCACCATCTCCCCTTCACTGATCTCTCTCCTTGGCAGGTGGATGTAATGCCTGGAGCTACAGCAGCTATTTCATAACTATGAGGCAATGAGCAAGGAAAGGCCAAGAGAATCACAGAAATGCCAGGCCTGACTCAAGCTCCTGCAGCACCTCCTGAACCTCTGCCTCCAGAACACGTGTCCTGTGGGAAAACCCTGTGTGTTGACAGCGTCGTGGTCATAGATCCTGTACTTGCAGGCACACTCCTTTCTCTCTGGGCCTTCCCCAGCGTGTAGAGCCTGTTGGACACAAGAGCACTGGCCACTGGCCTCTCCCAGCAGCGCCATGTGCCCTTGGGCTGTGGATAGGATCCCAGCCGACGCTGCAGAGAACTCAGCGTTGTCAGCTGTGAATACTTACAGCCTGCGTCAAGATCCTTGAATTCCAGGTTCCCGTCAGTGGTAGGAAGATCTCCATGGCACGATCTCTGGAACCTGCGAGTACGTCACCTAGAAGGCCACGTCTGAGCAAATGTGATTAAAGTAAGGATGTGGAGGCTGTGCAGCTTTCCTGGATTACCCAGGTAGAGTGTAAACGCAGACTAGTCCTCACGAGAGAGCAGGGGAAGCCCCGACACAGAGGTGGCCACCTGAGGACAAGGCACGGAGAACAGGCTAGTTTGGACACCCAGGGCATTCCAGGGTCCATGCCTGTCCTGGGACTCCACTCCCTTGCTGGTGAGGGGTCCAGGCATTGCCAGGAGGAGCCCAGCAGGGCGTCTGGGAGGCTTCCTCCTTCTTCGGTGCCTTTGCCCGTCCAGGACACACCTGGCCCCTGTTGCGTGCCAGGCCCTGAGTCTCGTAGTAACAGAATGGACTTTGATGCTGTTCCTCTCTCTCCTGGGCTGGCCAGGAGTCACTGCAGCTGCTTGACAAATGTCACCCAGGTTGAGTGTTTTTAAAACCCTGTATCTATTCTATGAAGGATAGAATGTTAAAACATATATTAAAACCTTTATTTTTCTGTCAACATCAGATGTACTTCCATTTGCCTGACCGCATCTTTCAGGTCTTGTTGAAATAAAGTAGAATTTCAACTCCTGATTTTTACAGCAGGGTCAGTCTTACCCAAGTTCTAAGTTACCCAGGTTCCAAGTTTTACAGGAGGGTAACTTAGCCCAAGTTCTAAGTTACCAGGTGAGATGGAAATAGCCTGACCAAAATCCTCCAGGGCCAGGGGGTGGGTTGCTTGGACTGCTGACCTTCTGAGCTGTGTGCCCCCTCACAGTGTTTCCAGGAGCGTGTACCCTCACAGAATGCTCCCGGGAAGGGGCTCCTCCTCACAGAGTGCTCCCAGGAGGGTGCTCCCTCACAGAGTACTCCCAGGAAGGTGCCCCTCCTCACAGAGTGCTCCCAGGAGGGTGCTCCCTCACAGAGTGCTCCCAGGAGGGTGCTCCCTCACAGAGTGCTCCCAGGAAGGTGCCCCTCCTCACAGAGTGCTCCCAGGAGGGTGCTCCCTCACGAATGCTCCCAAGAAGGTACTCTTATCACAGAGTGCTCCCAGGAGTGTACCCCCCACAGAGTGCTCCTGGGAAGAAGTCTACCTTGGATTCTGCACCATCAGAGATTACTCCCCTCAAGGATGATGCCTGGGGAGGGATGGCTGCCTCAGTGCCAGGGCTGGCCCTACATTGGAAGGCAGCCCAGAGGGACTGCCTGGATGGGGTCCCCTCCCCCCTTCTCTGTGCCTCAATGCAGGCTGTGTGCTTTGACTTAAAGGCGGACATTTCACCATTTCACTCCTTCACATGGCATCCCTGGGCTCGCAGGTAGTTCTGGCCAGCGGATGGCCCTGGAGTGCTGCCCACCCTCCAGCTGCCCACCCTCCAGCTGCACTGCCGTCCTCCCTCCAGCCGCACTGCCGTCCTCCCTCCAGCCGCACTGCCGTCCTCCCTTCAGCTGCACTGCCGTCCTCCCTCCAGCTGCACTGCCACCCTCCCTCCAGCTGCACTGCCGTCCTCCCTCCAGCTGCACTGCTGTCCACCCTCCAGCTGCTGCCCTCCCTCCAGTCACACTGCTGTCCTCCCTCCAGCCACACTGCTCTCTACCCTCCAGCCGCACTGCCGCCCTCCCTCCAGCCGCACTGCCACCCTCCCTCCAGCTGCACTGCCGTCCTCCAGCCACACTGCAGTCCTCCCTCCAGCCGCACTGCCGTCCACCCTCCAGCCGCACTGCCGTCCACCCTCCAGCTGCACTGCCGCCCTCCCTCCAGCTGCACTGCCGCCCTCCCTCCAGCCGCACTGCTGCCCTCCCTCCAGCCGCACTGCCGTCCACCCTCCAGCTGCCGTCCTCCCTCCAGCCGCACTGCCGCCCTCCCTCCAGCCGCACTGCTGACCACCTTCCAGCTGCGCTTTACAGGTATGTTCCCAGATCTCTGGGGCCACAGGGCTGGGCCCTGGCCCTGCCTCCTCCTCGCCGCTGGGCCCTGGCCCTGCCTCCTCCTCGCCGCTGGGCCCTGGCCCTGCCTCCTCCTCGCCGCTGGGTCCTGGCCTTGCCTCCTACTCGCTGCTGGGCTGCCCTGCAGGGGCCTTGGGGCTTTGGGTCAGACCAGCCCCAGGGCAGAGCAGGCCTGTGTGGGTGACTAACACAATCAGCTCACTCAGGGCAGAATATGCATTCCTGGGGTCTTCCTGAAGATTAGATGCATAGGTTGGAATAACCAAGACAAGGGGACGTGAAGCATAGCCATGTGCCGTCCAGCCGCGCTGTGGGAAAGGGCAGGCTGCATAGGCAGGGGCGGCCCTAGAAGATTAGAATGCTGGATTCTTTTCTTTCTGTCTTTTTTTTGAGACAGAGTCTCCCTCTGTCTCCCAGGCTGGAGTACAGTGGTGCCATCTCAGCTCACCGCAACCTCTGCCTCCTGGGTTAAAGCGATTCTCTTGCCTCAGCTGGGATTACAGGCGAGCGCCACCACGCCCGGCTAATTTTTTGTATTTTTAGTAGAGATGGGGTTTCACCATGTTGGTCAGGCTAGTCTCAAACTCCTGATCTCAGGTGATCTGCCCACCTCAGCCTCCCAAAGTGCTGGGATTATAGGCGTGAGCCATCACGTCTGGCCAGAATGCTGCATTCTTACTGTACCTTTTCATGCGCCGGGTTACAGCTGCCGATGGGATTCAGGAGTCACATGGGGTGCAGCCCAGGAGCAATAGGCTGCCCCATCCAGGTGTGTGCCACGCGCTGTGATATTCACACAGTGGCAAAATCGCATGACACATTTCCCAGTGTCTCCCCATCGCTAAGTGGCAGCTCACCGTAAAGGCTGAAGCCCAAGTTGGGACACACAGGCCTGCAGGGTGGTGGGGCTGACTCCATAGGAAGCAAACCCTTATATAGAAGCCCCACATGGCAGATGGTCCAGGCCCCAGACAATGACCTGGTGGGGCGTGGATTGGGACCTGCCCCTCCTGCCAGCCTGGAAGGGTCTTGTGGGACGCAGGGCACTCCTTGCTGGGCGCGCGGTGGGCCCACGAGGCCTCCTTCTTAGGTTGCAGCCCTGGGGCCCCTTAGTGAGGAGTGAATTGGCAGGGACAGGGTGGGGGTGACACTCAGGTCAAGGCCAGGTGTGCACCTGGAGCTTTCCTGACCATCACTCAAGGCAGGTGGGCCTGGCGCTCACTGCACTGGAGGGTGGGGGCTGCCACCTCTGCACCTGGCTCCTGCCCTCTGAGCTCCTGTTCCTTCGGGCACAGCCAGGGCAAAGCCAATCCCACAAGTCCCTGCGGGGCCAGAACTCTCTGGCACAAAGGCGGGAACTAAGAGCACCTTCTATGCAGAAAACCCCGTGGATGTGAGGGAAGGCGGCCAGCGGGGTCGCTGGGGGTGGGACGACGGGAGGCCGCGTGACACCCCCAAGAACGAAGGAGCACAATGGGGCATCCGGCAGAGCCAGGAGCTGGGGTTTCCACCGGGAGAGGTGGCACTGGGGGAGGGGGCTGGGCAGAGCCGGGGTGGCAGCAGGGCTGGGAAGCTGGGACCTGCTGTGCTTCACTTCCGGGGCGATGGCACCGGACAGCGTGGGGCCGCCGAGGCGCCCAGCATCCCAAGGTGCTGCAGGAGGGACGCACGGCTGCAGGGGTCAGCCTGGGTGAGCCTGGCCCCCCAACACCACAGAACACGCGACCACAGTTTCATCCAAATCAAGGCTGTATTTATCGTCACTGATTGACATGGGAACAGAATATTTAAAACAAACAGGGTCCACCGTGGAAATGTGGCTGAAACACAGAACTGAGCAAAGCAAGTGGCTCGACGGCTGACCCCGAAGGCTGGGAATCCCGGCAGGGACACAGCCCAGACATCGGGGAACACAAAAGGCCGCAAGGGGGGCAGGGCATGGGGGGGCTCATGTGGGTGAGGGCAAAACCCAAACTGAGAGGAGGCCAGGCCAAGGGCCTGGGAGGCGACGACCACACCGAGGTGACGCTGATGCCTCAGGCGGAAGAAAACACACAGCAGTGATTTTGTGTGTGTGTGTGTGTGTGTGTGTGTGTGTGTAAAATCAGCCTTTAGACTCTTGCACTTCTATACCTCCACCGATCTGGTCTACAGATTCCAAGAACACTGCACCATCCACACAAACGTCCACAGCATCGCCCTTGCGGCTGGAGCCGGCCAGTCCTGAAGCCCACAGGAGCCGCCCAGGAGTGCTGTTCTGCTGGCCCAGGGGCTCTGCTGGGGGACCCAACCCCTCCACGGACCCAGGGGCTGGGAGGTCGCTGGCGGAACCTTCCTCCCCCAACCAGCAGAGCCGCCGGGAAGCGCTTGCATAGTTGAAGGAAAGTTGCTGCCATTAAACTTCTGATAATGTTTACAGCCAGCAGCGCCTGGGTTTTTGTGACCATGTTAGACAAACAACCAGAGGGGTTTCTGGAAACGGTTTTTATAAAGTCTATCTAGATTAAGAATTTAGTAACGTCATATATTTATATCAACAGACTATTTACACGTTTCGTTTGCTTTTAAAAAAACAAACCAAAAAAGAAATTACACTTCTGCATAATAAGGCAAAAAAACAAAGTTTTGTACATTATTATTTTAATATAATCTGTAACTTCGGTTCCAAGTACCAAGGGGGGGCCAGGGCTGGCCTGAGTGGGGGCCTCACAGTGCGCTGGACAAAGTGACCGGTTTTTCTCCATAAATAAGACAAAGAAACCCTGGGGATCTGGAGAAGGATCTGAGGCCATTAAACTGCAAATCCCAACCGAAAACGAAGAAGCAAAAGTTTCTTTTTTGGTTCTTTTAAACGTCTAAAGAGCATAAAATTAAGAAAAATACAAATCCATTACAAACACTTCTCATCTGTGGGGGGAAAAGGTACAAACGCGATTTTTTTTTCCCAACAGCCGAATCCCAAACTCGGAAAACAAAAGATCACCCTCAGAAAAGCCGACACCCAAGTCCCCGCCTCCGCAGGCTGCGGGTGGAGAGGCGGCGCCGCCCCAGGATCGGCGGGAGCTGTGCTTGAGTTCTAGGAACTGATGGAGAGACGGACAGCGGTGCGCTCCGCTCGGAGAGGCGTCTGCGGCCCCGGGGCTACCGCGCCTCCACCTCCGGGGGATTTCGGGACGGGGAGTAGTCGCGCGCCTCGCCCGGCCCGAGGCCCCCCAGCGGAGTAGTCCGGCTCCGCGGCGGCCCGGGGGGCGTGGGGGGCCCGGCCGCCGTCACCAGGGGGGGCGGTGCGCCGAGGGCGGCGGCGGCGGGCGGGGTCCGCGCCAGGAGCCCATTGTGCAGCGCGGCGGGCGAGAGGCGCGGGAAGTGCAGGGCTCCCAGCGAGGGCAGCAGCGCGCCGTCCAAGGCGGGGGCGGCGGGCGGCAGGTGCGGGGCCCGCGCGCGCTCCAGCTCCCCGCGCAGGCGCTCGGGGCTGTAGCCGTGGGGCTCGCGGTCGCGGTAGGGGCGCTCCGGGGGCTCCAAGAGGGCGGCGGAGCCCGGGGCGGGGGCGGCAGCGGGGAAGGCGCGACGTGGCAGCTCCAGGCCGCGGAAAGGCTCCCACGCGAAGCCCGGCGCGCCCAGGCGCTCGCGGCCCAGGCCGAGCTGCAGGGGCGCGGGGTGCAGGCCGCCCGCCGGGGGCTCGGAGGCCTCGTCCTCCCCGCGCTCCTCCTTGACCTTCACGTCTCCAGGGGCCGCCTTGCTGTGGGGCGGGGATGCGCGCGCGGGCATCTTGGCGGCCTCCTCCTTGGCCGGGGAGCGGCTCTCCTTGACCCGAGGTTCGGCCTCGCGCTCCGCGGGGGCCCCGGACCGGCCCAGCTCGCTCTGGGCCCGGAGCAGGAGGCCGCTGACGGGGTGGCCAGCGGGGGTGGCGGGCGAGGCCCGGCTCAGCAGGCGCGTCTTCTCCAGGAGGTCCCTGGGGGCGGCAGGGCGGACCCGTCACTCCCGAGACCTCCGTCCTGCCGCGCGGCGCAGCCCCGGGATGTTCCCGTTGCTTGTCGGGGCCTCCAGTTTCTGGGTGGCCGGTGACCCCTCAGCACCCACAGCTCCCGCACCCCCACAGGCTCCCAAAACCTACGCGTCCTCTCCCCGCTGGGCGGCCTGGAAACCTTGGCCGGGAGACGGAAGCGGGATGAGCCGCCTGCAGCGACTTCGGCTCCCCACGGGCCCCTCCCTGTTAGGACAGGGGGGCCTCCCGGCAGCCGCACCCCCGAACTCCTCCCTCAAACTCCGTGGGTCAGGGCGCGGCCACCTGGAGGTCTCCCGGATGGCAGGTGTGGGTGCCTGTGGTGGGGTCTTCACCCTCCTCATCCTTCCTAGCCCCAGGGCCCAGGCTTCACTCCCCACCGCAGGGAGGAGTCGCCGGGGAGCAGAGCTTTGGCCCCCGTACCCCGGGGCTCAGCAGAGCTGGACAGACTGTGAGTGCGCAGCAGTGGGGCGAGGAGGGTGAGAGGGAATGGGGGAGGGGGAACGGGGAAGGGGAACAGGGGGAGGGGGAACGGTGAGGGAGAGGAAACGGGGAGAAGAGGGAACGGGGGAGGGGGAACCGGGGATGACGGGAGGGGGGAAAGAACGGGGTAGGGGTGTGTGGTGGGGATACGGAACAAGAGGGCCACTCACCGTTCCTGCTCCTCCTTGCCATTGTCCGGCTCTCGGTCATGGTTGGTCAGGGCTGACACCCGCTCCGCGTCCACGGACTTGGGCCACGGGGGCGGAGCCGGGAAGGAGGGCGGTGCCCGGTGCAGTCGGTTCCAGGCCTCATGGGGGCTGGGCAGGCCGTGCACGGAGGAGCCCTCCTTGGGGGCAAAGATGCTGCCACCGGGAGCTGGGGGCAGAGGCCGGGGAGCATGAGGTTGGGTCTGTCTGCTCCCCAGCCACTCCCCAGGAGAACCCGGTAGGGGTTTTAGAAGGGTCCCAGGCTGACACTGAGAAGGGGGTGCCCCAAGGAGGCCCAGCCCAGAGAGGAGGGAGGTCAGCCAGGCATCGGGGTTCCTGCAGAGGACACAGGCATGGGGGAGGGGCGCGGGCATCGGGGGAGGGGGGCACAGGCTGGGTCACTCACCCAGTGCATGGCTGCCCAGGCCCCCAAAGGCGTGGCTGCTCAGGCTGCCCAGGCCCCCAAAGGTGCTCGGTCTGCTGAAAGGGTCTGTGGGGGCAACCGCGGGACCCAGAGGTCTGTGAGGCGTGGGCTGCGGCTCCCACCTGGCCCAGTGGGGGCTGCTGTAGAGGCTTTGGGCCTGGTGGGTACTGCCTGCATGACCCAAGGGGCTCCCTGGGGCTCGGGGCCACCTTCCCGCCCACCTAATTCCCCCGCCACAAGGCTGCTGAGGAACCAGCCAGGCTGCGTGGGCTGAATTCAGAGACACCCACCTGTCAGGGGGCCAGTGGGCAGGAAGCTGCCAGGATGGGCTGAGGGTCCAAATGGGTTGGAGGCAGGATGGGCGGCACCTGGGGGGGGCAGCCAGGTTTGACAGAAGCCAGGAGAGAGCACCAGGGCCTCCCATCTGCAGCTCTGTTCACAGGGAGCACCCCAATTTCCTCTGTGAACCTTCACCTCCCATTCTCTCGCATGCCCTGAGGGGTGAAGCGTGTCCAGTCAGAGTAAGAGGTGGAATCTACCCCACAATTCGGAGGAGGTTTGACTTGGAGCCGCAGTGGCAGCCATCCTGGGACCCCAAGGGGGGCAGGGAGGGAGGTGCTGAGTGCGATGCAACCCTCGGAGCAAAGGGGCTGCAACTTGGGCAGAGACAAAGTCCAAGTAACATGCACCTTGATCGGACCACTCCTGAAGCCTTTATCTCAGAGCTTTCACCTGGGAGCTGATAGATGGTCCTCACTTCTTAATGTGGTGCTGGGCCTCAGGCCTGGATGGACACGGTTCTGTCTTGGAGGCTGCACATGGCAGCCCCTTGTGGCATTCCTGGGCACAGGCCCAGCCCACAGCACCACGTCAACATCAGCCCTGGCCCCCCAACAACCCTTGGAGAGCAACCGTGTGGGGCCTGGGCCCGGGCCCTGGGAGGGGCTGCTGCAGGGGATTCAGTGCTGTTGGTCAGGGGCCGTCCTCCACATGGGTCCAGAGAGCAGGTTTCTGGTAAAGACCAGCAGGGCGTCATCTTTAGGTTACTCCGACTCCCTCCCAGCCCTAATCTTAGGGACCTCAAAGATGGGGTGCTCATGCCTCCCATGTAGGACGCGGCAAGTTGTATTCAGAGCTTCTGGTCTCCACTGAGCTGTGGCATGAAAGCTGATGCCACTCTTCTAAACTAGAGAGGAAGACAGCCTGCCCCATGCTACGAAAACACAGCTTGTCAAAGCGTGTGCAGGAGGAGATGGAGAGTACACTGCCTCAAATGCCCGCACTGGGAGAGGCTGAGGAATTAATATTCTCAACCACCAGATCAAGCTAGACAGGGCCAGAAAAGTGAGCGACACACAGGGAAACACACAGAGAAGGCAGCGAGGTCAGAGCTGCTCCTTTAAAAATACTGGTGAAATTGGCCGGGCGCAGTGGCTCACGCCTGTAATCCCAGCACTTTGGGAGGCCGAGGCAGGAGGATCATCTGAGGTCAGGAGTTTGAGACCAGCCTGGCCAACATGGTGAAACCATGTCTCTACTAAAAATACAAAAATTAGCCAGGTGTAGTGGCGCCTGCCTGTAGTCCCAGCCACTTGGGAGGCTGAGGCAGGAGAATCGCTTGAACCCGGGAGGTGGAGGTCGCAGTGAGCCAAGATCGCACCACTGCACTCCAGCCTGGCGACACAGCAAGACTTCGTCTCAAAATAAATAAATTAAAATAAAATACTGGTGAAATGGACAAACTTCTGGTGAGATTAATGAAGGAAAAAAGACGACACAGCCAAGCAACATTAAGAATTGCCAGGGCCTGCGGAGTTCAGGCGTGACGGATGGACACCGACAGCTACGGAGCCTGCCCCAAATCAACTTACTGGAAACACTCGCGTTACTGAAACCGATGCCAGAAGAAACAGCTTGAGGAATACCACACCCAGTGGAGAAAAAAAATCAGTACTTGGAACCTGAACTGTGAGCCTCCAAGCCTTGAAGGCAGTGAGGATCAGACCTCACAAGAGCTCTTCCAGAGAGCAGAAAAAAGGAAAGCGCCTTAACTCACTGAAGACGGCAAAGAGCCCTCGTGACAAAACCTGCCAGGTGCAGCACAGGAAAGTAAAGGCCAGGCTTACTCAGGAAACTCATCTGGAACAAAGCGCTGGAACAGTGGCTCCAGAAACGTACCGACAGTTTACACAAGGGGGCAAACCACCCACTCCTAGATATGACTTTCTACACAGAAAAGGTAAAGGAATTGACAGACAAATGTCTTTGCATTCGTAAGAATTTAGCAGGATTGCTAGTTACAGCATCAAGAGATGGCATACAAATCTTCAAAACAGATACGCACTTCTGTTTTCTAGCAACAGCTTAAGAATGTAACTTACAAATTCCAATCATAATATTAGTAAAATATAAAGCATCTATGAGTAATTCTACTAATACCTAAATAAATGAGATACACCATGATCAGGGATAGGAAAATGATACCGGAGATGACGTACGAATCCCTCTTAGGTCGATGTACCCCTTTAACCCAACTCCAGTGAAAGCTGGAACCTAACAGGCAGATTGAAAGTTTATATGGAAGAGAGAAAAGAGCAACAAGGAATCATCCTGCCCCCTGCCAGCAAGATATCAAGACCTGCCAAGGAGATGGAGGAGGCAGCACTGGCCCCGGGACTGAGGGGGCCCAGCCTCGCAGGACAAATGGCAGAGCACCGAGGGACAGCCACCAGGTATCCAGAGGAGGGAAGGGGAGGCGGGGGAGGAGCAGGGTCGGTGGGGCGGGCAGTGTGGAGGGCCCAGAACTGGGCGCCACACTGAGCACGTGTCCGGGGGGCTTGAGCCAGGATGCGGACAGCCAGAAACTGCAGCCTGGACTTCTGCTTTCTGAGAAAGCCAGACTACTGGGATGCTCCATGGCCCAGAGGCCACCATGCTTGTGAAGCCAGCCTCATGTGGCTGCTGGGCACGCCCATCACCCTTATGTGGACAGGGCTCTGCCTTCACACGTCCACATGCAACGTGCCATCAAATGCTCATGAACATGGAAGAGACCAAACACGGTGAGGGGAGAGTGAGGGGGGGCTGCAGCGGGGGTTGGGAGCTCTGAGGAAGGGACAGGCCTCAAGGACCTGGTGGCTGGGAAAGGTTCCATCAGCAGGACAACTGGGCAACGCAGTGCCCATGTGTGTGCCTGTGCCTGTGTGTACGTGTGCCTGTACACGTGGGTATGTACGTGTGCATGCAGCTGACCCTTGAACAACATGGGTTTGAACTGTGCGGGCCACTTAGACACAGATTTCCTCCCATCCCTGCCACCTGAGACAGCGAGACCGGCCCCTCCTCCTCCTCAGCCCACTCCGTGTGAGGACGAGGATGAAGACCTTTAGGATGATTCACTTCCACACAGCGAATGGCAAATATCTTTTCTCTATGATTTTGTGTGTGTGTGTGTGTGTGTGTGAGACAGGGTCTTGCTCTGTTGCCCAGGCTGGAGAGCAGTGGTGCAATCACGGCTCACTGCAACCTTGACCTCCTGGGCTCAAGCGACCCTCCTGCCTCAGCCTCCTGAGGAGCTGGGACCACGGGCGTGCGCCACCACGCCTGGTCATGGTCTGCCTCATAAGGTTTTCTTTTCTCTAGTGGACTTCATTGTAAGAATACAGTCCATCATACATGTAACACACAAAACAGGTGTTCAGCAACTGTTTATGCTATCGTAAGGATTCCTGTCAACAGTAGGCTAAGTTTCGGGGGAGTCAAAAGTTATACCTGGATTTTCAACTGTGTGGTGGGGAGTGTCCCAGCCTCTGTGTGGTTCAAGGGTCAGCTGTATGTGGATGCTCATGCTTCACGTGTGCGTACACGCGTGGATGTGGATGTGTAACTGTGTGTAACTGTGTATGTGTAGAAAGGCGTGCACCGTGCAGGCTGAGACACCATCTTTGGAAAGGTCTGTGCACACAGCTGGCCCTCAGCCAGCCTCTAGGCACCCAGACTGTGTCCATCCCACACTGTGGGTTGAACTTCGAGCCCACTTTCCTCCTGGGGGCCTGTGCCAGGCAGTGGTGCCTACAGATCAGCACCCCAGAGTCTTCGTGCCTCTGCGTGCCTGGAGGATGACACTCGGGTGTGGTCACGTTGTGTTGCTGGGGGAGGGGTGACCCGGGGGAGGGGGTGACTCGGGGGAGTGGGTGACTGAGGGCAGGGAGGCCCTCGCTGCTCCCGGCAGATCCCACCCTGGGCCGTGCTACTGAGGACAGTACAGGCCAAGTCCTGGAACCCTTCCTAGGAAACCACCGCAGCTGGGCCCGTCCTGGGACCCCGGGAGCAACCATGCATGTGAGGAAGGGGCACTGGGGTGTGGGCCCAGCCTGGCCTCAGGAGCAGCTTCCTACTGTTCAGCGAGAGGCCAAACTCCTCCTGGGAAAGCGGGGGCTGGGAGACAGAAAGGGGCAGCCTCGCGTGGGCCTGGGTCCCTGCCATTCCTTTGCCTCTGGTGGGGCCAGAACAGGGAGCCCCAGGGAGGAGGGGTGGCCAGGACCAGCCGCCTCAGAGCCGTGTGGCGTGGGCTGAAGGCCCCCCAGGACACACTGGGCAGGACTTGGTGGGGAGGAGCAGCAGCCCCAGGCCCAGGTCCACCCTGGGGAGGCTGGTGGGGAGGACAGGAGAGGAGAGGTGAGGAGAAGAGAGGTGAGGGGTGGGGTGAGGTGAGGGAGTTGCCAGGCTTTGACCTGAATAAGTGGTGAGCATCAAGAAGCAAAGGCTGGTGCTGCGGTCCAGAGAGCGCTCTCACTCCTGGCACAGGAAGGCAGGCTCAGCTGGGCACGAGCGGGAGGTTTCTGTGCCCCCCACCTGGCCCGACTCCAGTCTCACCTGTGCTGGGGAAGAGGGGCCGGGCCAGGTCCTGTGGGTAGTGGAAGCCTGCAAACACGCCCGGGGCAGGGGGTCTGCCGAACAGGTCCAGCTTTGCACCCACCTCCAGCTTGTGGGGGTCCAGCTGCATCTCCTGGGAGGATAGAACGGGTGAGGGCCGCCTGCCCGGGGACTGGCCCTGAACACAGGGAGCCCAGGCCTGAGGGGCCACAGGGACTGGGTGTGAGCCAGTCCAGTAAGGGGAGCAGGTGGGATGGATTTCAAGGGTGTATTCTCTACTCAGGATGACGGAAATGTTACACATGATCAGCAAAAAAGCTGAACGGGAGAGCTCACGTCCTCTGAACTGTGGTACGTACTTGGCACATGGCAGCTGGGATGCTACGCTGTCATGGAAAATAACTTACTTTTTTTGTATTTAGATTCTTTTAAAAGTTAAGGCCAGGCACGGTGGCTCACGCCTGTAATCCCAGCACTTTGGGAGGCTGATACGGGCGGATCACCTGAGGTCAGGAGTTCGAGACCAGCCTGGCCAACATGGCGAAACCCCGTCTTTACTAAAAATACAAAAATTAGCTGGGCGCAGTGGCGGGCGCCTGTAATCCCAGCTGCTCAGGAGGCTGAGACAGGAGAATCACTTGAAGCCGGGAGGTGGAGGTTACAGTGAGCCGAGATCATGCCACTGCACTCTAGCCTGGGTGACAGAGCGAGACTCTATCTCAAGAAAAAAAAAAAGAAACTGAAAAAGCATGCTCACGTGCCCAAGTTGTTCCAAATATGCTGAAAAGTTTCTCAGTGACTGAATTTGGTATCAGTTTTCAAAGTTAAATGTGTTAAAAATTATATGAAACTACAACATGTGCCCCTCACCTGCACTGGCCACACTTCAGGTGCCCACGCTGCCAGGCGGCTGTGGGAGGCAGGGCCAGGCTTGGGTGGAGACTGGGGATGCCCATGCCCTCCCATGGGAGCAGAGGGGCCCAGAGCCAGGAGGGGTGTAGCCAAACAAGACCCCACTGTCCTGGTGACTGCGCTGCCTCTGCCTGTCCTGCCTCTGACCCGCACTCAGGCTGGCCTGGGCCGGCCCCTCCTGGTCCCTGCAGTGTGCTCTGGCACTGGGGTGGTTTCACTGGCCATGATGATGCTGGGGTACTCTGGCACTACGTGGGGGCAGGCGTGAGGGCTGGGCAGACCCTGTGTGCGCCCTCTCCCTGGACCGCCGGCCTCTTGCAGGATCTGCCCTCCTCTGTGGAGCAACCATGCCCCGAGTTCCAAGGACAAAACCAGGAGTGATGAGGTCTCCCGACTCTGCCGTGGACGGCCCCCCACCAGGAGCACCTGATCCCTCTGCTGTGTGTCCAGAAGTTCCACCCAGACATGCAAGTATAAAGACATGCAGCATTCTGGCCGGGCACAGTGGCTCACGCCTGTAATCCCAGCACTTTGGGAGGCCGAGGTGGGTGGATCATGAGGCCAAGAGATTGAGACCATCCTGGCCAACATGGTGAAACCCCGTCTCTACAAAAAATACAAAAAATTAGCCGGGTGTGGTGACGGTCGCCTGTAGTCCCAGCTACTCGGGAGGCCGAGGTAGGAGAATGGCGTGAACCCGGGAGGCGGAGCTTGCAGTGAGCCGAGATCGCGCCACTGCACTCCAGCCTGGGCGACAGAGCGAGACTCCGTCTCAAAAAAAAAGAAAGACATACAGCATTCTGCTCTGAGTCCCGTCCCAAAGGGCATTTAGGACAATGATTTTTCAGAGTTGTGTGCGGAGGTGACGTGCGTCATCAGGACAGCGCAGGGACAGCAGAGGTGCAGGGTCCCACGGGGCTGAGGCAACAGTCCCCCTGTCCTGGCCTCCCAGGACCCTCTCCCGCTCCCGCAGCTCCTAGCCTGGTGGGACCTGCACCGAGCTGCCCGCGGGGCTCCCGCCTTCCTCAGCCTTCCCAGGTGCACATCAGTTGTGAGCACTCACGGTCCCCCTGGGTCACTGCTGAAGACCGAAGAACACAGCAGACACTCAATCACTGTGGGGAGTGGGGGCGGCAGAGGACCCCAGAGGCACCCCAGTGACGTGGGGAGCTGGTGCGGCACCCCGTGCCCCTGCTCTGCTCCCCGTGGCCCAGCCGGCACACCTTGCCGAGGAGAGGGCCTTGCGGCACCCGGGCACCCAGCACTGCCCTGTGGCCTCGCTGACCTGCTTACGGTAAAAGCCCAGTACCCAGAGGAAGGGGCAGGCGGCTCACGCGTGAGGATCACACCCGTGCACACGCGTGTGAACACACACAGCCTCATGCCTGGCCTTCAGGGCCCGACCAGGCTGGAGTCGGGTTCACAAGCGCCCTGCCCCAGCCCAGGTGGTCTCACCTTTATCTTCTGCTGGTGACGGTAGATCTGCCAGGCGATCTGCACGTGCACGGCACACCACCTCCCCGGCTTCTGCGACAGGATGGAAGCGCTCAGTGGGGCTGGTGCCACCCCCACCCATGTTTTCTGCAGACTCCTGCTGTCACGGGCCCCCCGAGGCCGCCCCGGGGGCACCAGAGTCCTCCCTTGCCACGGGCCTTCCCAACACGTGCTCACCTTGACCACCGCCCGGTACGGGTCAGACACCTGTGGAGACAGGAAAGGAGTGTGAGGTCCGGGCCCCTCAGGAGGCTGAGTCCTGGGGGTGCAGGGGACACAGCCCGTCTGCTGTGGCCACCAGCCCGCACAGGGCCCGGCCGGGGCAGGCCATCCCCCGGGGTGGGGACGGGCGCCCACTAACACCTACCCCAGGCGCTTTCTGCAGGAGTGTGTGAACCGCACCAGCCCGGCGGGCCACCTCAATGGGGCTTGAAGTCTGAGGGGAGAAAGAGACAGCTTGTGTGCGCCTGGGGCCGCCCAGGCAGGAGGACGCCTCGGGCTTCCTGGTTCTGGCGTGGGCCTGTGCCCTGCTTTGCCTTGCCGTGGGGCCCCGCACGCTGTCTCCCAGGGACAGCCTGCCCTCCCTCGCAGGACCACCACACTTTTGGCCCGCCAGTTTCTGCAAAGGTGGGAAGCAGGTGCTCTTGCCAGGGAAGGTGGGCGACCCTCCCCGGGGAGCCACTTGCCACCAGGGCCGAGACAGCCCCACCCAGAGGGGGAGTGGTGCACACCTAGTCTCCAGCCCAGGAGGAGCTGCTGTGAGCCTGGATGGGCCAAGGGGAGATGGTCGTTTCCCACCAGGGGCGCCAGGGAAAGGGGGGTCCCACAGCAAAGACCGGCCATCACACCACAGCCCCCTCCTCCCCAGACTGGCTCTACCGCCCCTTCCCTCTGGGCTACCACCCTGCCCAGAAGCAGCTGTGCTCGGGGTGCGGCCGGGACAGATTCCTTCCCTCCCAGACTCAGGGCCTCAGCGTCCTGGCTGTCTGGGCTCAGGGCAGTACCCCCGAGTCCCAGTCTGGGGGTCCCTGCTCGACACCTGCAGGTGGGCCACATACATCCCTTCTCCATTCCTCTGAATTCCTCAACCACGGGGTCTGGGGGTCCAAGACCCTCTAGTGCCCAGGGGTGCCTGGTCCTCGGAAGCACTATCTGCCCGTCCACGATGTGGGCGGTGCCCCAGGGGAGCCCAGGGGTGCGTGCTGGGCCCTTCAGGGCAGCTGTGGGCAATGAGTGGGCGCTGCAGGATCCTGGGAGGTCAAGGGCTTGGCAGCTACCGGGGATGGTCCAGGCCCCGTCTTCAGAACCTGAGGCCCACAGGTGAGGCGGCTTCAGGACTGAGAGCTGTGTGCCCCTCCGCAGAGGGTGGGGTTACAGCACAAGGCCAGGAACAGTGAGGAGGGTCACGGGGTTCCCTCTCCCCTGGCTGAGATGGCACACAACCTCCTGCTACCCAGGTCCCCTGCGGGTGTGGACGGCCCCGTAAGGCCCGGGTCCCCCACGGTGTGGACGGCCCCGTAAGAACCTCCTCGCAGTGTGGATGGCCCCGTAAGAACCTCCTTGCGGTAAGGACGGCCTGTGAGGCTGCTGTCCACACCAGGGCCTCCTGCCAAGGACTGGAATGTTCTCCTTCGAGGCTTCCACAGTGTGCTCTCCACACGGTCCCACCACCTCCCAGGGCTGCTCCCAGGCTGGACCCCCTGTCCCTCCCACGGTGGCCACACACAGACCGCAGGGCCCCCCATCCTGGCAGGGGCTGCTCACGCCAGCACCCAGATGACGACAGGTACAAGGGAGGGAAAGGGGGGTGGTTGTGGGCAGAGAGTTTGGCGAGGTTGTCATGCACTCCCCCCAAAATCCACCCACCCGCTGTGCCCGCCCCACCTGCCAGGGGCAGCGGTACCTTAGGCTGAAAAGCGCCCTGCAGGGACCCGAAGGGGCCGGGGTGTGGGAGCAGGGTGGGCAGTCCCGGGATGGCAGGAGGGAAGGACGGGAAGAACTGTAAGAGAAGGAGAGCGGATGGAGGGGGGGCCCAAGTCCTCACCCCACCCTCTGCCTGTAACCAGAAGGTGGCACCAATGCAGCAGGGGCGAGGCCAGGCGAGGGGCAGCCCCACCCACCGCCCCGTGGCCAGGACCTGCGTGCACAGCGACACGCGCCGGGCCCCTCGGGGACACTCACACTCACGCTGGAATGTCGGAAGTAGGGGCTGTCCAGCTTGGGCGCATACTTGTCAAACTGGAAGGGAAGGAGAGGAGGGTGAGGCCCCGCACACACGACACCGTTGCTGGGCCCCGGGCCCCGCCCACCTGGCCGGGCTGGGCAGTGACAGGACGGCGTTGTGCTTCCTGAGGCTGGCGGCTTCGGCCAGCCGTCCCAGGCTCCTCTAGAGCGCCAGCCCCACGGCTCTGAACTCAGTCTCAGACCAGGGCGGCCCTGCCATTCTAAGGGTCCCCTTGCATGGGGTGGGAACTCGGCCCCCCCAGGCAGTCTGTGTGCCTGGCTGAGGCCTGGGGCGTGAAGCCCTGGCTGCTGGGTCGCGCTGGGGACACACCGGGTTACTGACAAACTGGCCAGTTTCCGAATAAAACTCGAGAGAGTGGAGGGGACTCCAGCCCCCAGCAACTCCCTCCTCAGACCGGGCCTCCGGGGCGGGGAACACGGGAGGCACCCTGAGTCATGGTCCCTGTGCCCTCAGGCCTGTCTGGGCCTCCAGCCCTGGCACTGGGGATCTAGTGCAGGCGTGAGGGTGTCCCATGCACGTGGGCACGGGGTGCCTGCCTAAGTCCAGGACCACTGCCGAGGGTGGGGGCCTCATGGCACAGCTTGGGGTGGGGACACCAGAAGGCACGTTGGGGACCGGACAGACGACAGAGAGGTGCCGCCGGCCCCCCACCTCCTCCTGGGCTGGTGTGTGTGCGAGCGTGTGTCTGTGTGTGCCTGCTGCGTGTCCCCGCCCCACGCCCGCCCCCGCCCCCTGCCAGCACGCGGGCCTACGCACCGGCGGGGGTGCGGCGGGCGGCGTCGGGGGCAGCCCTGCGGGGAAGGGGGCGAATGTGTGTTGGTGCTGGTGTGTGTGTTGGTGCGTGTGCTGGTGTGTGTGCTGGTGCTGATGGAACTCCGCCCGCAGCAGAGCCCCCGGGCCCAGGGAGGCGCCAGGCCGCTCGGCGCTCTGCACCAG